>NC_000015.10:18355108-18667477 GCF_000001405.40 Homo sapiens
AGCATTCTCAGAATCTTCTTTGTGATGTATGCCCTCAATTCACAGAGTTGAACCTTTGTTTGGATACAGCATTTTGGAAACATTCCTTTTGCAGAATCTGCAAGTTGATATTTGGATAGCTTTGAGGATTTCGTTGGAAACGGGAATATCTACATATAAAATCTAGACAGAAGGATTCTCAGTAACTTCTTTGTGATGTTTGCATTCAACTCATAGATTTCAACATTCCCTATCATAGCGCAGGTTTGAAACTCTCCTTTTGTAGTATGTGGAAGTGGACATTTGGAGCGCTTTGAGGCCTACGGTGAAAAAGGAAATATCTTCCCATAAAAACTAGACAGAAGCATTCTCAGAAACTTGTTTCTGACGTGTGTATTCAACTAACAGAGTTGAACCTTTCTTTTTACAGAGCAGCTTTGAAACACCCTTTTTGTGGAATCTGCAAGTGGAAATTTCGATAGTTCTGAGGATTTCGTTGGAAACGGGATTACATATAAAAAGTACACAGCAGCATTCTCAGAAACTGCTTTGTGATGTTTGCATTCAAGTCACCTAGTTGAACATTCCCTTTCATAGAGCAGGTTTGAATCACTGTTTCTGTAGTATCTGGAAGTGGGTATTTCGAGCGCTTTCAGGCCTAAGGTGAGAAAGGAAATGTCTTCAAATAAGAACTAGACAGAAGCATTCTCAGAAACTTATTTGTGATGTGTGTCCTCAACTAACAGAGTTGAATCTTTGTTTTGATACAGCAGTTTGGAAACACTCTTTTTGTAGAATCTACAAGTGGATATTCTGAGAGAATTGAAAATTTCGATGGAAACGGGAAAACCTTCATATAAATTCTAGACAGAAGCATTCTCAGAAACTTCTTTGTAATGTTTGCATTCAACTCATAGAGTTGAACATTCCCTTTCATACAGCAGGTTTGAAACACTCTTTTTGTAGTATGTGGAAGTGGACATTTGGAGCGCTTTGAGGCCTCCCGGTGAAAAAGGAAATATCTTCCCATAAAAACTAGACAGAAGCATTCTCAGAAAAATCTTTGTGATGTGTTCACTCAACTAACAGAGATGAAATTTTCTTTCGATAGAGCAGTATTGAAACACGCATTTTGTAGAATCTGCAAGAGGATATTTGGATAGATTTGAGGATTTCTTTGGAAACAGGAATATTTTCATACAGAAGCTAGACCAAAACATTCTCAGAAACTTCTTTGTGATGTTTCCATTCAAGTCACAGAGTTGAACATTCCCTTTCATAGAGCAGGTTTGAAACACTCTTTTTGTAGTATGTGGAAGTGGACATTTGGAGCGCTTGGAGGCCTATGGTGAAAAAGGAAATATCTTCCCATAAAAACTAGACAGAAGCATTGTTAGAAACATGTTTGTGATGTGTGTACTCAACTAACAGAGTTAAACCTTTCTTTTGATAGAATAGCTTTGAAATACTCTTTTTGGGGAATCCACAAGTGGATATTTGGATAGCTTTGAGGATTTCGTTGGAAACGGGAATATCATCATATAAAATCTAGACAGAAGCATTCTCAGAAACTTCTTTGTAATGTTTGCATTCAACTCATAGAGTTGAACATTCCCTTTCATACAGCAGGTTTGAAACACTCTTTTTGTAGTATGTGGAAGTGGACATTTGGAGCGCTTTGAGGCCTCCCGGTGAAAAAGGAAATATCTTCCCATAAAAACTAGACAGAAGCATTCTCGCAATCTTGTTTGCCATGTGTGTACTCAACTAACAGAGTTGAACCTATCTTTTGACAGAGCAGTTTTGAAACACTCTTTTTGTGGAATCTGCAAGTGGATATTTGGATAGCTTCGAGGATTTCGTTGGAAACGGGAATATCCTCATTTAAAATACTAGACGGAGCATTCTCAGAACCTACTTTGTGATGTTTGCATTCAACTCACAGAGCTGAACATTCCCTTTCATAGAGCAGGTTTGAAACACTCTGTCTGTACTATCTGGAAGTGGACATTTCGAGCGCTTTCAGGCCTATGGTGAAAAAGGAAATATCTTCAAATAAAAACTAGACAGAAGCATTCTCAGAAACTTGTTTGTGATGTGACCTCAACTAACAGAGTTGAACCTTTGTTTTGATACAGCAGTTTGGAAACACTATTTTCGTAGAATCTACAAATGGATATTTGGAAACCTTTGAAAATTTCGTTGGACACGGGAAAATCTTCATATAAAATCTAGACAAAAGCATTCTCAGAATCTGCTTTGTGATGTTTGCATTCAACTCATAGAGTTGAATATTCCCTTTCATACAACAGGTTTGAAACACACTTTGTGTAGTATGTGGAAATGGACATTTAGAGTGCTCTTAGGCCTAAGGTGAAAAGGGAAATATCTTCAAATAAAAACTAGTCAGGAGCATTCTCACAAACCTCTTTGTGATGTGTGTACTCAACTAACGGAGTTGAACCTTCCTTTTGACAGAGCAGTTTTGAAACACTCTTTTTGTGGAATTTGCAAGTGGATATTTGGATAGATTTGAGGATTTCATTGGAAACGGGAATATCTTCATATAAAATCAACACAGAAGCATTCTCAGAATCTTCTTTGTGATGTATGCCCTCAATTCACAGAGTTGAACCTTTGTTTGGATACAGCACTTTGGAAACATTCCTTTTGTAGAATCTGCAAGTTGATATTTGGATAGCTTTGAGGATTTCGTTGGAAACGGGAATATCTACATATAAAATCTAGACAGAAGCATTCTCAGAAACCTCTTTGTAATGCTTGCATTCAACTCATAGGTTTCAACATTCCCTATCATAGAGCAGGTTTGAAACACTCTTTTTGTAGTATGTGGAAGTGGACATTTTGAGCGCTTTGAGGCCTACCGTGAAAAAGGAAATATCTTCCCATAAAAACTAGACAGAAAGCATTCTCAGAAACTTGTTTGTGACGTGTGTATTCAACTAACAGAGTTGAACCTTTCTTTTTACAGGGCAGCTTTGAAACACTCTTTTTGTGGAATCTGCAATTGAAAATTTCCATAGTTCTGAGGATTTCGATGGAAACGGGATTACAAATAGAAAGTAGACAGCAGCATTCTGAGAAACTGCTTTGTGATGTTTGCATTAAAGTCACCTAGTTGAACATTCCCTTTCATAGAGCAGGTTTGAATCACTATTTCTGTACTATCTGGAAGTGGACATTTCGAGCGCTTTCAGGCCTAAGGTGAGAAAGGAAACGTCTTCAAATAAGAACTAGACAGAAGCATTCTCAGAAACTTATTTGTGATGTGTGTCCTCAACTAACAGAGTTGAACATTTGTTTTGATACAGCAGTTTGGAAACACTCTTTTTGTAGAATCTACAAGTGGATATTTTGAGAGCATTGAAAATTTCGTTGGAAGCGGGAATACCTTCATATAAAATCTAGACAGAAGCATTCTCAGAAACTTCTTTGTAATGTTTGCATTCAACTCATAGAGTTGAACATTCCCTTTCATACAGCAGGTTTGAAACACTCTTTTTGTAGTATGTGGACGTGGACATTTGGAGCGCTTTGAGGCCTACGGTGAAAAAGGAAATATCTTCCCATAAAAACTAGACAGAAGCATTCTCAGAAACTTGTTTGTGACGTGTGTATTCAACTAACAGAGTTGAACCTTTCTTTTTACAGAGCAGCTTTGAAACCCTGTTTCTGTGGAATCTGCAATTGGAAATTTCGATAGTTCTGAGGATTTCGTTGGAAACGGGATTACAAATAGAAAGTAGACAGCACAGCATTCTCAGAAACTGCTTTGTGATGTTTGCATTCAAGTCACCTAGTTGAACATTCCCTTTCATAGAGCAGGTTTGAATCACTGTTTCTGTCGTATCTGGAAGTGGATATTTCGAGCGTTTTCAGGCCTAAGGTGAGAAAGGAAATGTCTTCAAATAAGAACTAGACAGAGCATTCTCAGAAACTTATTTGTGATGTGTGTCCTCAACTAACAGAGTTGAACCTTTCTTTTGACACAGCAGTTTGGAAACACTCTTTTTGTAGAATCTACAAGTGGATATTTTGAGAGCATTGAAAATTTCGTTGGAAACGGGAAAACCTTCATATAAAATCTAGACAGAAGCATTCTCAGAAACTTCTTTGTAATGTTTGCATTCAACTCATAGAGTTGAACATTCCCTTTCATACAGCAGGTTTGAAACACTCTTTTTGTAGTATGTGGACGTGGACATTTGGAGCGCTTTGAGGCCTACGGTGAAAAAGGAAATATCTTCCCATAAAAACTAGACAGAAACATTCTCAGAAACTTGTTTGTGACGTGTGTATTCAACTAACAGAGTTGAACCTTTCTTTTTACAGAGCAGCTTTGAAACCCTGTTTCTGTGGAATCTGCAATTGGAAATTTCGATAGTTCTGAGGATTTCGTTGGAAACGGGATTACAAATAGAAAGTAGACAGCAGCATTCTCAGAAACTGCTTTGTGATGTTTGCATTCAAGTCACCTAGTTGAACATTCCCTTTCATAGAGCAGGTTTGAATCACTGTTTCTGTGGTATCTGGAAGTGGGTATTTCGAGCGCTTTCAGGCCTAAGGTGAGAAAGGAAATGTCTTCAAATAAGAACTAGACAGAAGCATTCTCAGAAACTTATTTCTGATGTGTGTCCTCAACTAACAGAGATGAACCTTTGTTTTGATACAGCAGTTTGGAAACACTCTTTTTGTAGAATCTACAAGAGGATATTTTGAGAGCATTGAAAATTTCGTTGGAAGCGGGAAAACCTTCATATAAAATCTAGACAGTAGCATTCTCAGAAATTTCTTTGTGATGTTTGCATTCAACTCATAGAGTTGAACGTTCCCTTTCATACAGCAGGTTTGAGACACTCTTTCTATAGTATGTGGAAATGGATATTTGGAGCGATTGAGGCCTATGGTGAAGAAGGAAATATCTTCCCAAAAAAACTAGACGAAATCATTCTCGGAATCTTGTTTGCCATGTGTGTACTCAACTAACAGAGTTGAACCTATCTTTTGACAGAGCAGTTTTGAAACACTCTTTTTGTGGAATCTGCAAATGGATATTTGGATAGCTTCGAGGATTTCGTTGGAAACGGGACTATCCTCATTTAAAATCTAGACGGAAGCATTCTCAGAACCTGCTTTGTGATGTTTGCATTCTACTCACAGAGCTGAACATTCCCGTTCATAGAGCAGGTTTGAAACACTCTTTCTGTACTATCTGGAAGTGGATATTTCGAGCGCTTTCAGGCCTATGGTGAAAAAGGAAACATCTTCAAATAAAAACTAGACAGAAGCATTCTCAGAAACTTATTTGTGATGTGTGTCCTCAACTCACAGAGTTCAACCTTTGTTTTGATACAGCAGTTTGGAAACACTCTTTTTGTAGAATCTACAAATGGATATTTGGAGACCTTTGAAAATTTCGTTGGACACGGGAATATCTTCATATAAAATCTAGACAAAAGCATTCTCAGAATCTTCTTTGTGATGTTTGCATTCAACTCATAGAGTTGAACATTACCTTTCATACAGCACGTTTGAAACACACTTTGTGGAGTATGTGGAAATGGACATTTCGAGCACTCTTAGGCCTAAGGTGAAAAGGGAAATATCTTCAAATAAAAACTAGTCAGCAGCATTCTCAGAAACCTCTTTGTGATGTGTGTACTCAACTAACAGAGTTGAACCTTCCTTTTCACAGAGCAGTTTGGAAACACTCTTTTTGTGGCATTTGCAAGTGGATATTTGGATAGCTTTGAGGATTTCGTTGGAAACGGGAATATTTTCATATAAAATCTAGACAGAAGCATTCTCAGAATCTTCTTTGTGATGTATGCCCTCAATTCACAGAGTTGAACCTTTGTTTGGATACAGCATTTTGGAAACATTCCTTTTGTAGAATCTGCAAGTTGATATTTGGATAGCTTTGAGGATTTCGTTGGAAACGGGAATATCTACATATAAAATCTAGACAGAAGCATTCTCAGAAACCTCTTTGTAATGCTTGCATTCAACTCATAGGTTTCAACATTCCCTATCATAGAGCAGGTTTGAAACACTCTTTTTGTAGTATGTGGAAGTGGACATTTGGAGCGCTTTGAGGCCTACGGTGAAAAAGGAAATATCTTCCCATAAAAACTAGACAGAAGCATTCTCAGAAACTTGTTTCTGCCGTGTATTCAACTAACAGAGTTGAAACTTTCTTTTTACAGAGCAGCTTTGAAACACTCTTTTTGTGGAATCTGCAATTGGAAATTTCGATAGTTCTGAGGATTTCGTTGGAAACGGGATTACAAATAGAAAGTAGACAGCAGCATTCTCAGAAACTGCTTTGTGATGTCTGCATTCAAGTCACATAGTTGAACATTCCCTTTCATAGAGCAGGTTTGAATCACTGTCTCTGTAGTATCTGGAAGTGGATATTTCGAGCGCTTTGAGGCCTAAGGTGAGAAAGGAAATGTCTTCAAATAAGAACTAGACAGAAGCATTCTCAGAATCTGCTTTGTGATGTATGTCCTCAATTCCCAGAGTTGAACCTTTGTTTGGATACAGCATTTTGGAAACATTCCTTTTGTAGAATCTGCAAGTTGATATTTGGATAGCTTTGAGGATTTCGTTGGAAACGGGAATATCTACATATAAAATCTAGACAGAAGCATTCTCAGAAACTTCTTTGTAATGTTTGCATTCAACTCATAGAGTTGAACGTTCCCTTTCATACAGCAGGTTTGAAACACTCTTTTTGTAGTATGTGGGAGTGGACATTTGGAGCGCTTTGAGGCCCACGGTGAAAAAGGAAATATCTTCCCATAAAAACTAGACAGAAGCATTCTCAGAAACTTGTTTGTGACGTGTGTATTCAACTAACAGAGTTGAACCTTTCTTTTTACAGAGCAGCTTTGAAACCCTGTTTCTGTGGAATCTGCAATTGGAAATTTCGATAGTTCTGAGGATTTCGTTGCAAACGGGATTACAAATAGAAAGTAGACAGCAGCATTCTCAGAAACTGCTTTGTGATGTTTGCATTCAAGTCACATAGTTGAACATTCCCTTTCATAGAGCAGGTTTGAATCACTGTTTCTGTAGTATCTGGAAGTGGGTATTTCGAGCGCTTTCAGGCCTAAGGTGAGAAAGGAAATGTCTTCAAATAAGAACTAGACAGAAGCATTCTCAGAAACTTATTTGTGATGTGTGTCCTCAACTAACAGAGATGAACCTTTGTTTTGATACAGCAGTTTGGAAACACTCTTTTTGTAGAATCTACAAGAGGACATTTTGAGAGCATTCAAAATTTCGTTGGAAGCGGGAAAACCTTCATATAAAATCTAGACAGCAGCATTCTCAGAAACTTCTTTGTGATGTTTGCATTCAACTCATAGAGTTGAACATTCCCATTCATACAGCAGGTTTGAGTCACTCTTTGTATAGCATGTGGAAATGGATATTTGGAGCGCTTTGAGGCCTATGGTGAAGAAGGAAATATCTTCCCAAAAAAACTAGACGAAAGCATTCTCGGAATCTTGTTTGCCATGTGTGTACTCAACTAACAGAGTTGAACCTATCTTTTGAGAGAGCAGTTTTGAAACACTCTTTCTGTGGAATCTGCAAGTGGATATTTGGATAGCTTCGAGGATTTCGTTGGAAACGGGAATATCCTCATTTAAAATCTAGACGGAAGCATTCTCAGAACCTGCTTTGTGATGTTTGCATTCAACTCACGGAGCTGAACATTCCCGTTCATAGAGCAGGTTTGAAACACTCTTTCTGTACTATCTGGAAGTGGACATTTCGAGCGCTTTCAGGCCTATGGTGAAAAAGGAAACATCTTCAAATAAAAACTAGACAGAAGCATTCTCAGAAACTTATTTGTGATGTGTGTCCTCAACTCACAGAGTTCAACCTTTGTTTTGATACAGCAGTTTGGAAACACTCTTTTTGTAGAATCTACAAATGGATATTTGGAGACCTTTGAAAATTTCGTTGGACACGGGAATATCTTCATATAAAATCTAGACAAAAGCATTCTCAGAATCTTCTTTGTGATGTTTGCATTCAACTCATAGAGTTGAACATTCCCTTTCATACAGCACGTTTGAAACACACTTTGTGGAGTATGTGGAAATGGACATTTCGAGCACTCTTAGGCCTAAGGTGAAAAGGGAAATATCTTCAAATAAAAACTAGTCAGCAGCATTCTCAGAAACCTCTTTGTGATGTGTGTACTCAACTAACAGAGTTGAACCTTCCTTTTCACAGAGCAGTTTGGAAACACTCTTTTTGTGGCATTTGCAAGTGGATATTTGGATAGCTTTGAGGATTTCGTTGGAAACGGGAATATTTTCATATAAAATCTAGACAGAAGCATTCTCAGAATCTTCTTTGTGATGTATGCCCTCAATTCCCAGAGTTGAACCTTTGTTTGGATACAGCATTTTGGAAACATTCCTTTTGTAGAATCTGCAAGTTGATATTTGGATAGCTTTGAGGATTTCGTTGGAAACGGGAATATCTACATATAAAATCTAGACAGAAGCATTCTCAGAAACTTCTTTGTAATGTTTGCATTCAACTCATAGAGTTGAACATTCCCTTTCATACAGCAGGTTTGAAACACTCTTTTTGTAGTATGTGGACGTGGACATTTGGAGCGCTTTGAGGCCTACGGTGAAAAAGGAAATATCTTCCCATAAAAACTAGACAGAAGCATTCTCAGAAACTTGTTTGTGACGTGTGTATTCAACTAACAGAGTTGAACCTTTCTTTTTACAGAGCAGCTTTGAAACCCTGTTTCTGTGGAATCTGCAATTGGAAATTTCGATAGTTCTGAGGATTTCGTTGCAAACGGGATTACAAATAGAAAGTAGACAGCAGCATTCTCAGAAACTGCTTTGTGATGTTTGCATTCAAGTCACCTAGTTGAACATTCCCTTTCATAGAGCAGGTTTGAATCACTGTTTCTGTAGTATCTGGAAGTGGGTATTTCGAGGGCTTTCAGGCCTAAGGTGAGAAAGGAAATGTCTTCAAATAAGAACTAGACAGAAGCATTCTCAGAAACTTATTTGTGATGTGTGTCCTCAACTAACAGAGATGAACCTTTGTTTTGATACAGCAGTTTGGAAACACTCTTTTTGTAGAATCTACAAGAGGATATTTTGAGAGCATTGAAAATTTCGTTGGAAGCGGGAAAACCTTCATATAAAATCTAGACAGCAGCATTGTGAGAAACTTCTTTGTGAAGTTTGCATTCAACTCATAGAGTTGAAAATTTCTTTTCATACAGCAGGTTTGAGACACTCTTTGTATAGTATGTGGAAATGGATATTTGGAGCACTTTGAGGCCTATGGTGAAGAAGGAAATATCTTCCCAAAAAAACTAGACGAAAGCATTCTCGGAATCTTCTTTGCCATGTGTGTACTCAACTAACAGAGTTGACCCTATCTTTTGACAGAGCAGTTTTGAAACACTCTTTTTGTGGAATCTGCAAATGGATATTTGGATAGCTTCGAGGATTTCGTTGGAAACGGGAATATCCTCATATAAAATCTAGACGGAAGCATTCTCAGAACCTGCTTTGTGATGTTTGCATTCAACTCACAGAGCTGAACATTCCCGTTCATAGAGCAGGTTTGAAACACTCTTTCTGGACTTCCTGGAAGTGGATATTTCGAGCGCTTTCAGGCCTATGGTGAAAAAGGAAATATCTTCAAATAAAAACTAGACAGAAGCATTCTCAGAAACTTATTTGTGATGTGTGTCCTCAACTCACAGAGTTCAACCTTTGTTTTGATACAGCAGTTTGGAAACACTCTTTTTGTAGAATCTACAAATGGATATTTGGAGACCTTTGAAAATTTCGTTGGACACGGGAATATCTTCATATAAAATCTAGACAAAAGCATTCTCAGAATCTTCTTTGTGATGTTTGCATTCAACTCATAGAGTTGAACATTCCCTTTCATACAGCACGTTTGAAACACACTTTGTGGAGTATGTGGAAATGGACATTTCGAGCACTCTTAGGCCTAAGGTGAAAAGGGAAATATCTTCAAATAAAAACTAGTCAGCAGCATTCTCAGAAACCTCTTTGTGATGTGTGTACTCAACTAACAGAGTTGAACCTTCCTTTTCACAGAGCAGTTTGGAAACACTCTTTTTGTGGCATTTGCAAGTGGATATTTGGATAGCTTTGAGGATTTCGTTGGAAACGGGAATATTTTCATATAAAATCTAGACAGAAGCATTCTCAGAATCTTCTTTGTGATGTATGCCCTCAATTCACAGAGTTGAACCTTTGTTTGGATACAGCATTTTGGAAACATTCCTTTTGTAGAATCTGCAAGTTGATATTTGGATAGCTTTGAGGATTTCGTTGGAAACGGGAATATCTACATATAAAATCTAGACAGAAGCATTCTCAGAAACCTCTTTGTAATGTTTGCATTCAACTCATAGGTTTCAACATTCCCTATCATAGAGCAGGTTTGAAACACTCTTTTTGTAGTATGTGGAAGTGGACATTTGGAGCGCTTTGAGGCCTACGGTGAAAAAGGAAATATCTTCCCATAAAAACTAGACAGAAGCATTCTCAGAAACTTGTTTGTGACGTGTGTATTCAACTAACAGAGTTGACCCTTTCTTTTTACAGAGCAGCTTTGAAACACGCTTTTTGTGGAATCTGCAATTGGAAATTTCGATAGTTCTGAGGATTTCGTTGGAAACGGGATTACAAATAGAAAGTAGACAGCAGCATTCTCAGAAACTGCTTTGTGATGTTTGCATTCAAGTCACATAGTTGAACATTCCCTTTCATAGATCAGGTTTGAATCACTGTTTCTGTAGTATCTGGAAGTGGGTATTACGAGCGCTTTCAGGCCTAAGGTGAGAAAGGA
Organism: Homo sapiens; assembly: GCF_000001405.40. Classification (NCBI taxonomy): domain Eukaryota; kingdom Metazoa; phylum Chordata; class Mammalia; order Primates; family Hominidae; genus Homo; species Homo sapiens. Next base: position 18,365,993 of record NC_000015.10, read on the forward strand.
AATGTCTTCAAATAAGAACTAGACAGAAGCATTCTCAGAAACCTATTTGTGATGTGTGTCCTCAACTGACAGAGTTGAACCTTTCTTTTGACACAGCAGTTTGGAAACACTCTTTTTGTAGAATCTACAAGTGGATATTTTGAGAGCATTGAAAATTTCGTTGGAAACGGGAAAACCTTCATATAAAATCTAGACAGAAGCATTCTCAGAAACTTCTTTGTAATGTTTGCATTCAACTCATAGAGTTGAACATTCCCTTTCATACAGCAGGTTTGAAACACTCTTTTTGTAGTATGTGGAAGTGGACATTTGGAGCGCTTTCAGGCCTACGGTGAAAAAGGAAATATCTTCCCATAAAAACTAGACAGAAGCATTCTCAGAAACTTGTTTGTGACGTGTGTATTCAACTAACAGAGTTGAACCTTTCTTTTTACAGAGCAGCTTTGAAACCCTGTTTCTGTGGAATCTGCAATTGGAAATTTCGATAGTTCTGAGGATTTCGTTGGAAACGGGATTACAAATAGAAAGTAGACAGCAGCATTCTCAGAAACTGCTTTGTGATGTTTGCATTCAAGTCACATAGTTGAACATTCCCTTTCATAGAGCAGGTTTGAATCACTGTTTCTGTAGTATCTGGAAGTGGGTATTTCGAGCGCTTTCAGGCCTAAGGTGAGAAAGGAAATGTCTTCAAATAAGAACTAGACAGAAGCATTCTCAGAAACTTATTTGTGATGTGTGTCCTCAACTAACAGAGATGAACCTTTGTTTTGATACAGCAGTTTGGAAACACTCTTTTTGTAGAATCTACAAGAGGATATTTTGAGAGCATTGAAAATTTCGTTGGAAGCGGGAAAACCTTCATATAAAATCTAGACAGCAGCATTCTCAGAAACTTCTTTGTGATGTTTGCATTCAACTCATAGAGTTGAACATTCCCATTCATACAGCAGGTTTGAGACACTCTTTGTATAGCATGTGGAAATGGATATTTGGAGCGCTTTGAGGCCTATGGTGAAGAAGGAAATATCTTCCCAAAAAAACTAGACGAAAGCATTCTCGCAATCTTGTTTGCCATGTGTGTACTCAACTAACAGAGTTGAACCTATCTTTTGACAGAGCAGTTTTGAAACACTCTTTTTGTGGAATCTGCAAGTGGATATTTGGATAGCTTCGAGGATTTCGTTGGAAACGGGAATATCCTCATTTAAAATCTAGACGGAAGCATTCTCAGAACCTGCTTTGTGATGTTTGCATTCAACTCACAGAGCTGAACATTCCCGTTCATAGAGCAGGTTTGAAACACTCTTTCTGTACTATCTGGAAGTGGACATTTCGAGCGCTTTCAGGCCTATGGTGAAAAAGGAAACATCTTCAAATAAAAACTAGACAGAAGCATTCTCAGAAACTTATTTGTGATGTGTGTCCTCAACTCACAGAGTTCAACCTTTGTTTTGATACAGCAGTTTGGAAACACTCTTTTTGTAGAATCTACAAATGGATATTTGGAGACCTTTGAAAATTTCGTTGGACACGGGAATATCTTCATATAAAATCTAGACAAAAGCATTCTCAGAATCTTCTTTGTGATGTTTGCATTCAACTCATAGAGTTGAACATTCCCTTTCATACAGCACGTTTGAAACACACTTTGTGGAGTATGTGGAAATGGACATTTCGAGCACTCTTAGGCCTAAGGTGAAAAGGGAAATATCTTCAAATAAAAACTAGTCAGCAGCATTCTCAGAAACCTCTTTGTGATGTGTGTACTCAACTAACAGAGTTGAACCTTCCTTTTCACAGAGCAGTTTGGAAACACTCTTTTTGTGGCATTTGCAAGTGGATATTTGGATAGCTTTGAGGATTTCGTTGGAAACGGGAATATTTTCATATAAAATCTAGACAGAAGCATTCTCAGAATCTTCTTTGTGATGTATGCCCTCAATTCACAGAGTTGAACCTTTGTTTGGATACAGCATTTTGGAAACATTCCTTTTGTAGAATCTGCAAGTTGATATTTGGATAGCTTTGAGGATTTCGTTGGAAACGGGAATATCTACATATAAAATCTAGACAGAAGCATTCTCAGAAACCTCTTTGTAATGCTTGCATTCAACTCATAGGTTTCAACATTCCCTATCATAGAGCAGGTTTGAAACACTCTTTTTGTAGTATGTGGAAGTGGACATTTGGAGCGCTTTGAGGCCTACCGTGAAAAAGGAAATATCTTCCCATAAAAACTAGACAGAAGCATTCTCAGAAACTTGTTTGTGACGTGTGTATTCAACTAACAGAGATGAACCTTTCTTTTTACAGAGCAGCTTTGAAACACGCTTTTTGTGGAATCTGCAATTGGAAATTTCGATAGTTCTGAGGATTTCGTTGGAAACGGGATTACAAATAGAAAGTAGACAGCAGCATTCTCAGAAACTGCTTTGTGATGTTTGCATTCAAGTCACCTAGTTGAACATTCCCTTTCATAGAGCAGGTTTGAATCACTGTTTCTGTCGTATCTGGAAGTGGATATTTCGAGCGTTTTCAGGCCTAAGGTGAGAAAGGAAATGTCTTCAAATAAGAACTAGACAGAAGCATTCTCAGAAACTTATTTGTGATGTGTGTCCTCAACTAACAGAGATGAACCTTTGTTTTGATACAGCAGTTTGGAAACACTCTTTTTGTAGAATCTACAAGAGGATATTTTGAGAGCATTGAAAATTTCGTTGGAAGCGGGAAAACCTTCATATAAAATCTAGACAGCAGCATTCTCAGAAACTTCTTTGTGATGTTTGCATTCAACTCATAGAGTTGAACATTCCCATTCATACAGCAGGTTTGAGACACTCTTTGTATAGCATGTGGAAATGGATATTTGGAGCGCTTTGAGGCCTATGGTGAAGAAGGAAATATCTTCCCAAAAAACTAGACGAAAGCATTCTCGCAATCTTGTTTGCCATGTGTGTACTCAACTAACAGAGTTGAACCTATCTTTTGACACAGCAGTTTTGAAACACTCTTTTTGTGGAATCTGCAAGTGGATATTTGGATAGCTTCGAGGATTTCGTTGGAAACGGGAATATCCTCATTTAAAATCTAGACGGAAGCATTCTCAGAACCTGCTTTGTGATGTTTGCATTCAACTCACAGAGCTGAACATTCCCGTTCATAGAGCAGGTTTGAAACACTCTTTCTGTACTATCTGGAAGTGGACATTTCGAGCGCTTTCAGGCCTATGGTGAAAAAGGAAACATCTTCAAATAAAAACTAGACAGAAGCATTCTCAGAAACTTATTTGTGATGTGTGTCCTCAACTCACAGAGTTCAACCTTTGTTTTGATACAGCAGTTTGGAAACACTCTTTTTGTAGAATCTACAAATGGATATTTGGAGACCTTTGAAAATTTCGTTGGACACGGGAATATCTTCATATAAAATCTAGACAAAAGCATTCTCAGAATCTTCTTTGTGATGTTTGCATTCAACTCATAGAGTTGAACATTCCCTTTCATACAGCACGTTTGAAACACACTTTGTGGAGTATGTGGAAATGGACATTTCGAGCACTCTTAGGCCTAAGGTGAAAAGGGAAATATCTTCAAATAAAAACTAGTCAGCAGCATTCTCAGAAACCTCTTTGTGATGTGTGTACTCAACTAACAGAGTTGAACCTTCCTTTTCACAGAGCAGTTTGGAAACACTCTTTTTGTGGCATTTGCAAGTGGATATTTGGATAGCTTTGAGGATTTCGTTGGAAACGGGAATATTATCATTTAAATCTAGACAGAAGCATTCTCAGAATCTTCTTTGTGATGTATGCCCTCAATTCACAGAGTTGAACCTTTGTTTGGATACAGCATTTTGGAAACATTCCTTTTGTAGAATCTGCAAGTTGATATTTGGATAGTTTGAGGATTTCGTTGGAAACGGGAATATCTACATATAAAATCTAGACAGAAGCATTCTCAGAAACCTCTTTGTAATGCTTGCATTCAACTCATAGGTTTCAACATTCCCTATCATAGAGCAGGTTTGAAACACTCTTTTTGTAGTATGTGGAAGTGGACATTTGGAGCGCTTTGAGGCCTACCGTGAAAAAGGAAATATCTTCCCATAAAAACTAGACAGAAGCATTCTCAGAAACTTGTTTGTGACGTGTGTATTCAACTAACAGAGTTGAACCTTTCTTTTTACAGAGCAGCTTTGAAACCCTGTTTCTGTGGAATCTGCAATTGGAAATTTCGATAGTTCTGAGGATTTCGTTGCAAACGGGATTACAAATAGAAAGTAGACAGCAGCATTCTCAGAAACTGCTTTGTGATGTTTGCATTCAAGTCACCTAGTTGAACATTCCCTTTCATAGAGCAGGTTTGAATCACTGTTTCTGTAGTATCTGGAAGTGGGTATTTCGAGCGCTTTCAGGCCTAAGGTGAGAAAGGAAATGTCTTCAAATAAGAACTAGACAGAAGCATTCTCAGAAACTTATTTGTGATGTGTGTCCTCAACTAACAGAGATGAACCTTTGTTTTGATACAGCAGTTTGGAAACACTCTTTTTGTAGAATCTACAAGAGGATATTTTGAGAGCATTGAAAATTTCGTTGGAAGCGGGAAAACCTTCATATAAAATCTAGACAGCAGCATTCTCAGAAACTTCTTTGTGATGTTTGCATTCAACTCATAGAGTTGAACATTCCCATTCATACAGCAGGTTTGAGACACTCTTTGTATAGCATGTGGAAATGGATATTTGGAGCGCTTTGAGGCCTATGGTGAAGAAGGAAATATCTTCCCAAAAAAACTAGACGAAAGCATTCTCGGAATCTTGTTTGCCATGTGTGTACTCAACTAACAGAGTTGAACCTATCTTTTGACAGAGCAGTTTTGAAACACTCTTTTTGTGGAATCTGCAAGTGGATATTTGGATAGCTTCGAGGATTTCGTTGGAAACGGGAATATCCTCATTTAAAACCTAGACGGAAGCATTCTCAGAACCTGCTTTGTGATGTTTGCATTCAACTCACAGAGCTGAACATTCCCGTTCATAGAGCAGGTTTGAAACACTCTTTCTGTACTATCTGGAAGTGGACATTTCGAGCGCTTTCAGGCCTATGGTGAAAAAGGAAACATCTTCAAATAAAAACTAGACAGAAGCATTCTCAGAAACTTATTTGTGATGTGTGTCCTCAACTCACAGAGTTCAACCTTTGTTTTGATACAGCAGTTTGGAAACACTCTTTTTGTAGAATCTACAAATGGATATTTGGAGACCTTTGAAAATTTCGTTGGACACGGGAATATCTTCATATAAAATCTAGACAAAAGCATTCTCAGAATCTTCTTTGTGATGTTTGCATTCAACTCATAGAGTTGAACATTCCCTTTCATACAGCACGTTTGAAACACACTTTGTGGAGTATGTGGAAATGGACATTTCGAGCACTCTTAGGCCTAAGGTGAAAAGGGAAATATCTTCAAATAAAAACTAGTCAGCAGCATTCTCAGAAACCTCTTTGTGATGTGTGTACTCAACTAACAGAGTTGAACCTTCCTTTTCACAGAGCAGTTTGGAAACACTCTTTTTGTGGCATTTGCAAGTGGATATTTGGATAGCTTTGAGGATTTCGTTGGAAGCGGGAATATTTTCATATAAAATCTAGACAGAAGCATTCTCACAATCTTCTTTGTGATGTATGCCCTCAATTCACAGAGTTGAACCTTTGTTTGGATACAGCATTTTGGAAACATTCCTTTTGTAGAATCTGCAAGTTGATATTTGGATAGCTTTGAGGATTTCGTTGGAAACGGGAATATCTACATATAAAATCTAGACAGAAGCATTCTCAGAAACCTCTTTGTAATGTTTGCATTCAACTCATAGGTTTCAACATTCCCTATCATAGAGCAGGTTTGAAACACTCTTTTTGTAGTATGTGGAAGTGGACATTTGGAGCGCTTTGAGGCCTACGGTGAAAAAGGAAATATCTTCCCATAAAAACTAGACAGAAGCATTCTCAGAAACTTGTTTGTGACGTGTGTATTCAACTAACAGAGTTGAACCTTTCTTTTTACAGAGCAGCTTTGAAACACGCTTTTTGTGGAATCTGCAATTGGAAATTTCGATAGTTCTGAGGATTTCGTTGGAAACGGGATTACAAATAGAAAGTAGACAGCAGCATTCTCAGAAACTGCTTTGTGATGTTTGCATTCAAGTCACCTAGTTGAACATTCCCTTTCATAGAGCAGGTTTGAATCACTGTTTCTGTCGTATCTGGAAGTGGATATTTCGAGCGTTTTCAGGCCTAATGTGAGAAAGGAAATGTCTTCAAATAAGAACTAGACAGAAGCATTCTCAGAAACTTATTTGTGATGTGTGTCCTCAACTAACAGAGTTGAACCTTTCTTTTGACACAGCAGTTTGGAAACACTCTTTTTGTAGAATCTACAAGTGGATATTTTGAGAGCATTGAAAATTTCGTTGGAAACGGGAAAACCTTCATATAAAATCTAGACAGAAGCATCCTCAGAAACTTCTTTGTAATGTTTGCATTCAACTCATAGAGTTGAACGTTCCCTTTCATAGAGCAGGTTTGAAACACTCTTTTTGTAGTATGTGGGAGTGGACATTTGGAGCGCTTTGAGGCCCACGGTGAAAAAGGAAATATCTTCCCATAAAAACTAGACAGAAGCAATCTCAGAAACTTGTTTGTGACGTGTGTATTCAACTAACAGAGTTGAACCTTTCTTTTTACAGAGCAGCTTTGAAACACGCTTTTTGTGGAATCTGCAATTGGAAATTTCGATAGTTCTGAGGATTTCGGTGGAAACGGGATTACAAATAGAAAGTAGACAGCAGCATTCTCAGAAACTGCTTTGTGATGTTTGCATTCAAGTCACCTAGTTGAACATTCCCTTTCATAGAGCAGGTTTGAATCACAGTTTCTGTCGTATCTGGAAGTGGATATTTCGAGCGTTTTCAGGCCTAAGGTGAGAAAGGAAATGTCTTCAAATAAGAACTAGACAGAAGCATTCTCAGAAACTTATTTGTGATGTGTGTCCTCAACTAACAGAGATGAACCTTTGTTTTGATACAGCAGTTTGGAAACACTCTTTTTGTAGAATCTACAAGAGGATATTTTGAGAGCATTGAAAATTTCGTTGGAAGCGGGAAAACCTTCATATAAAATCTAGACAGCAGCATTCTCAGAAACTTCTTTGTGATGTTTGCATTCAACTCATAGAGTTGAACATTCCCATTCATACAGCAGGTTTGAGACACTCTTTGTATAGCATGTGGAAATGGATATTTGGAGCGCTTTGAGGCCTATGGTGAAGAAGGAAATATCTTCCCAAAAAAACTAGACGAAAGCATTCTCGCAATCTTGTTTGCCATGTGTGTACTCAACTAACAGAGTTGAACCTATCTTTTGACAGAGCAGTTTTGAAACACTCTTTTTGTGGAATCTGCAAGTGGATATTTGGATAGCTTCGAGGATTTCGTTGGAAACGGGAATATCCTCATTTAAAATCTAGACGGAAGCATTCTCAGAACCTGCTTTGTGATGTTTGCATTCAACTCACAGAGCTGAACATTCCCGTTCATAGAGCAGGTTTGAAACACTCTTTCTGTACTATCTGGAAGTGGACATTTCGAGCGCTTTCAGGCCTATGGTGAAAAAGGAAACATCTTCAAATAAAAACTAGACAGAAGCATTCTCAGAAACTTATTTGTGATGTGTGTCCTCAACTCACAGAGTTCAACCTTTGTTTTGATACAGCAGTTTGGAAACACTCTTTTTGTAGAATCTACAAATGGATATTTGGAGACCTTTGAAAATTTCGTTGGACACGGGAATATCTTCATATAAAATCTAGACAAAAGCATTCTCAGAATCTTCTTTGTGATCTTTGCATTCAACTCATAGAGTTGAACATTCCCTTTCATACAGCACGTTTGAAACACACTTTGTGGAGTATGTGGAAATGGACATTTCGAGCACTCTTAGGCCTAAGGTGAAAAGGGAAATATCTTCAAATAAAAACTAGTCAGCAGCATTCTCAGAAACCTCTTTGTGATGTGTGTACTCAACTAACAGAGTTGAACCTTCCTTTTCACAGAGCAGTTTGGAAACACTCTTTTTGTGGCATTTGCAAGTGGATATTTGGATAGCTTTGAGGATTTCGTTGGAAACGGGAATATTTTCATATAAAATCTAGACAGAAGCATTCTCAGAATCTTCTTTGTGATGTATGCCCTCAATTCACAGAGTTGAACCTTTGTTTGGATACAGCATTTTGGAAACATTCCTTTTGTAGAATCTGCAAGTTGATATTTGGATAGCTTTGAGGATTTCGTTGGAAACGGGAATATCTATCTACATATAAAATCTAGACAGAAGCATTCTCAGAAACTTCTTTGTAATGTTTGCATTCAACTCATAGAGTTGAACATTCCCTTTCATACAGCAGGTTTGAAACACTCTTTTTGTAGTATGTGGAAGTGGACATTTGGAGCGCTTTGAGGCCTACGGTGAAAAAGGAAATATCTTCCCATAAAAACTAGACAGAAGCATTCTCAGAAACTTGTTTGTGACGTGTGTATTCAACTAACAGAGTTGAACCTTTCTTTTTACAGAGCAGCTTTGAAACACGCTTTTTGTGGAATCTGCAATTGGAAATTTCGATAGTTCTGAGGATTTCGTTGGAAACGGGATTACAAATAGAAAGTAGACAGCAGCATTCTCAGAAACTGCTTTGTGATGTTTGCATTCAAGTCACCTAGTTGAACATTCCCTTTCATAGAGCAGGTTTGAATCACTGTTTCTGTCGTATCTGGAAGTGGATATTTCGAGCGTTTTCAGGCCTAAGGTGAGAAAGGAAATGTCTTCAAATAAGAACTAGACAGAAGCATTCTCAGAAACTTATTTGTGATGTGTGTCCTCAACTAACAGAGTTGAACCTTTCTTTTGACACAGCAGTTTGGAAACACTCTTTTTGTAGAATCTACAAGTGGATATTTTGAGAGCATTGAAAATTTCGTTGGAAACGGGAAAACCTTCATATAAAATCTAGACAGCAGCATTCTCAGAAACTTCTTTGTAATGTTTGCATTCAACTCATAGAGTTGAACATTCCCTTTCATACAGCAGGTTTCAAACACTCTTTTTGTAGTATGTGGAAGCGGACATTTGGAGCACTTTGAGGCCTACGGTGAAAAAGGAAATATCTTCCCGTAAAAACTAGATAGAACCATTCTCAGAAACTTGTTTGTGACGTGTGTATTCAACTAACAGAGTTGAACCTTTCTTTTTACAGAGCAGCTTTGAAACACTCTTTTTGTGGAATCTGCAATTGGAAATTTCGATAGTTCTGAGGATTTCGTTGGAAACGGGATTACAAATAGAAAGTAGACAGCAGCATTCTCAGAATCTGCTTTGTGATGTTTGCATTCAAGTCACCTAGTTGAACATTCCCTTTCATAGAGCAGGTTTGAATCACTGTTTCTGTAGTACCTGGAAGTGGGTATTTCGATCGCTTTCAGGCCTAAGGTGAGAAAGGAAATGTCTTCAAATCAGAACTAGACAGAAGCATTCTCAGAAACTTATTTGTGATGTGTGTCCTCAACTAAGAGTGTTGTACATTTGTTTGGATACAGCATTTTGGAAACATTCTTTTGTAGAATCTGCAAGTTGATATTTGGATAGCTTTGAGGATTTCGTTGGAAACGGTAATATCTACATATAAAATCTAGACAGAAGCATTCTCAGTAACTTCTTTGTGATGTTTGCATTCAACTCATAGGTTTCAACATTCCCTTTCATAGAGCAGGTTTGAAACACTCTTTTTGTAGTATGTGGAAGTGGACATTTGGAGCGCTTTGACGCCTACGGTGAAAAAGGAAATATCTTCCCATAAAAACTAGACAAAAGCATTCTCAGAAACTTGTTTGTGACGTGTGTATTCAACTAACAGAGTTGAACCTTTCTTTTTACAGAGCAGCTTTGAAACACTCTTTTTGTGGAATCTGCAAGTGGAAATTTCGATAGTTCTGAGGATTTCGTTGGAAACGGGATTACATATAAAAAGTACACAGCAGCATTCTCAGAAACTGCTTTGTGGTGTTTGCATTCAAGTCACATAGTTGAACATTCCCTTTCATAGAGCAGGTTTGAATCACTGTTTCTGTAGTATCTGGAAGTGGATATTTCGTGCGCTTTCAGGCCTAAGGTGAGAAAGGAAATGTTTTCAAATAAGAACTAGACAGACGCATTCTCAGAAACTTATTTGTGATGTGTGTCCTCAACTGAGTTGAACCTTTGTTTTGATACAGCAGTTTGGAAACACTATTTTTGTAGAATCTACAAGTGGATAATTGGAGAGCATTGAAAATTTCGTTGGAAGCGGGAAAACCTTCATATGAAATCTAGACAGAAGCATTCTCAGAAACTTCTTTGTAATGTTTGCATTCAACTCATAGAGTTGAACATTCCCTTTCATACAGCAGGCTTGAAACACTCTTTTTGTAGTATGTGGAAGTGGACATTTGGACCGATTTGAGGCCTACGGTGAAAAAGGAAATATCTTCCCATAAAAACTAGACAGAAGCATTGTCAGAAACTTGTTTGTTATGTCTATACTCAACTGACAGATTTGAACCTTCCCTTTGAACGAGCAGTTTTGAAACACTCTTTTTGTAGAATCTGCAGGTGGATATTTGGATAGGTCTGAGGATTTCCTTGGAAACGGGATTATATATAAAAACTAGACAGCAGCATTCTCAGAACCTGCTTTGTGATGTTTGCATTCAACTCACAGGAGGCTGAACATTCCCGTTCATAGAGCAGGTTTGAAACACTCTTTCTGTACTATCTGGAAGTGGACATTTCGAGCGCTTTCAGGCCTATGGTGGAAAAGGAAACATCTTCAAATAAAAACTAGACAGAAGCATTCTCAGAAACTTATTTGTGATGTGTGTCCTCAACTCACAGAGTTCAACCTTTGTTTTGATACAGCAGTTTGGAAACACTCTTTTTGTAGAATCTACAAATGGATATTTGGAGACCTTTGAAAATTTCGTTGGACACGGGAATATCTTCATATAAAATCTAGACAAAAGCATTCTCAGAATCTTCTTTGTGATGTTTGCATTCAACTCATAGAGTTGAACATTCCCTTTCATACAGCACGTTTGAAACACACTTTGTGGAGTATGTGGAAATGGACATTTCGAGCACTCTTAGGCCTAAGGTGAAAAGGGAAATATCTTCAAATAAAAACTAGTCAGCAGCATTCTCAGAAACCTCTTTGTGATGTGTGTACTCAACTAACAGAGTTGAACCTTCCTTTTCACAGAGCAGTTTGGAAACACTCTTTTTGTGGCATTTGCAAGTGGATATTTGGATAGCTTTGAGGATTTCGTTGGAAACGGGAATATTTTCATATAAAATCTAGACAGAAGCATTCTCAGAATCTTCTTTGTGATGTATGCCCTCAATTCACAGAGTTGAACCTTTGTTTGGATACAGCATTTTGGAAACATTCCTTTTGTAGAATCTGCAAGTTGATATTTGGATAGCTTTGAGGATTTCGTTGGAAACGGGAATATCTACATATAAAATCTAGACAGAAGCATTCTCAGAAACCTCTTGTAATGCTTGCATTCAACTCATAGGTTTCAACATTCCCTATCATAGAGCAGGTTTGAAACACTCTTTTTGTAGTATGTGGAAGTGGACATTTGGAGCGCTTTGAGGCCTACGGTGAAAAAGGAAATATCTTCCCATAAAAACTAGACAGAAGCATTCTCAGAAACTTGTTTGTGACGTGTGTATTCAACTAACAGAGTTGAACCCTTCTTTTTACAGAGCAGCTTTGAAACACGCTTTTTGTGGAATCTGCAATTGGAAATTTCGATAGTTCTGAGGATTTCGTTGGAAACGGGATTACAAATAGAAAGTAGACAGCAGCATTCTCAGAAACTGCTTTGTGATGTTTGCATTCAAGTCACCTAGTTGAACATTCCCTTTCATAGAGCAGGTTTGAATCACTGTTTCTGTCGTATCTGGAAGTGGATATTTCGAGCGTTTTCAGGCCTAAGGTGAGAAAGGAAATGTCTTCAAATAAGAACTAGACAGAAGCATTCTCAGAAACTTATTTGTGATGTGTGTCCTCAACTAACAGAGTTGAACCTTTCTTTTGACACAGCAGTTTGGAAACACTCTTTTTGTAGAATCTACAAGTGGATATTTTGAGAGCATTGAAAATTTCATTGGAAACGGGAAAACCTTCATATAAAATCTAGACAGAAGCATTCTCAGAAACTTCTTTGTAATGTTTGCATTCAACTCATAGAGTTGAACATTCCCTTTCATACAGCAGGTTTGAAACACTCTTTTTGTAGTATGTGGACGTGGACATTTGGAGCGCTTTGAGGCCTACGGTGAAAAAGGAAATATCTTCCCATAAAAACTAGACAGAAGCATTCTCAGAAACTTGTTTGTGACGTGTGTATTCAACTAACAGAGTTGAACCTTTCTTTTTACAGAGCAGCTTTGAAACCCTGTTTCTGTGGAATCTGCAATTGGAAATTTCGATAGTTCTGAGGATTTCGTTGCAAACGGGATTACAAATAGAAAGTAGACAGCAGCATTCTCAGAAACTGCTTTGTGATGTTTGCATTCAAGTCACCTAGTTGAACATTCCCTTTCATAGAGCAGGTTTGAATCACTGTTTCTGTAGTATCTGGAAGTGGGTATTTCGAGGGCTTTCAGGCCTAAGGTGAGAAAGGAAATGTCTTCAAATAAGAACTAGACAGAAGCATTCTCAGAAACTTATTTGTGATGTGTGTCCTCAACTAACAGAGATGAACCTTTGTTTTGATACAGCAGTTTGGAAACACTCTTTTTGTAGAATCTACAAGAGGATATTTTGAGAGCATTGAAAATTTCGTTGGAAGCGGGAAAACCTTCATATAAAATCTAGACAGCAGCATTCTCAGAAACTTCTTTGTGATGTTTGCATTCAACTCATAGAGTTGAACATTCCCATTCATACAGCAGGTTTGAGACACTCTTTGTATAGCATGTGGAAATGGATATTTGGAGCGCTTTGAGGCCTATGGTGAAGAAGGAAATATCTTCCCAAAAAAACTAGACGAAAGCATTCTCGGAATCTTGTTTGCCATGTGTGTACTCAACTAACAGAGTTGAACCTATCTTTTGACAGAGCAGTTTTGAAACACTCTTTTTGTGGAATCTGCAAGTGCATATTTGGATAGCTTCGAGGATTTCGTTGGAAACGGGAATATCCTCATTTAAAATCTAGACGGAAGCATTCTCAGAACCTGCTTTGTGATGTTTGCATTCAACTCACAGAGCTGAACATTCCCGTTCATAGAGCAGGTTTGAAACACTCTTTCTGTACTATCTGGAAGTGGACATTTCGAGCGCTTTCAGGCCTATGGTGAAAAAGGAAACATCTTCAAATAAAAACTAGACAGAAGCATTCTCAGAAACTTATTTGTGATGTGTGTCCTCAACTCACAGAGTTCAACCTTTGTTTTGATACAGCAGTTTGGAAACACTCTTTTTGTAGAATCTACAAATGGATATTTGGAGACCTTTGAAAATTTCGTTGGACACGGGAATATCTTCATATAAAATCTAGACAAAAGCATTCTCAGAATCTTCTTTGTGATGTTTGCATTCAACTCATAGAGTTGAACGTTCCCTTTCATACAGCACGTTTGAAACACACTTTGTGGAGTATGTGGAAATGGACATTTCGAGCACTCTTAGGCCTAAGGTGAAAAGGGAAATATCTTCAAATAAAAACTAGTCAGCAGCATTCTCAGAAACCTCTTTGTGATGTGTGTACTCAACTAACAGAGTTGAACCTTCCTTTTCACAGAGCAGTTTGGAAACACTCTTTTTGTGGCATTTGCAAGTGGATATTTGGATAGCTTTGAGGATTTCGTTGGAAACGGGAATATTTTCATATAAAATCTAGACAGAAGCATTCTCAGAATCTTCTTTGTGATGTATGCCCTCAATTCACAGAGTTGAACCTTTGTTTGGATACAGCATTTTGGAAACATTCCTTTTGTAGAATCTGCAAGTTGATATTTGGATAGCTTTGAGGATTTCGTTGGAAACGGGAATATCTACATATAAAATCTAGACAGAAGCATTCTCAGAAACCTCTTTGTAATGTTTGCATTCAACTCATAGGTTTCAACATTCCCTATCATACAGCAGGTTTGAAACACTCTTTTTGTAGTATGTGGAAGTGGACATTTGGAGCGCTTTGAGGCCTACGGTGAAAAAGGAAATATCTTCCCATAAAAACTAGACAGAAGCATTCTCAGAAACTTGTTTGTGACGTGTGTATTCCTCTAACAGAGTTGAACCTTTCTTTTTACAGAGCAGCTTTGAAACACGCTTTTTGTGGAATCTGCAATTGGAAATTTCGATAGTTCTGAGGATTTCGTTGGAAACGGGATTACAAATAGAAAGTAGACAGCAGCATTCTCAGAAACTGCTTTGTGATGTTTGCATTCAAGTCACCTAGTTGAACATTCCCTTTCATAGAGCAGGTTTGAATCACTGTTTCTGTCGTATCTGGAAGTGGATATTTCGAGCGTTTTCAGGCCTAAGGTGAGAAAGGAAATGTCTTCAAATAAGAACTAGACAGAAGCATTCTCAGAAACTTATTTGTGATGTGTGTCCTCAACTAACAGAGTTGAACCTTTCTTTTGACACAGCAGTTTGGAAACACTCTTTTTGTAGAATCTACAAGGGGATATTTTGAGAGCATTGAAAATTTCGTTGGAAACGGGAAAACCTTCATATAAAATCTAGACAGAAGCATTCTCAGAAACTTCTTTGTAATGTTTGCATTCAACTCATAGAGTTGAACATTCCCTTTCATACAGCAGGTTTGAAACACTCTTTTTGTAGTATGTGGAAGTGGACATTTGGAGCGCTTTGAGGCCTACGGTGAAAAAGGAAATATCTTCCCATAAAAACTAGACAGAAGCATTCTCAGAAACTTGTTTGTGACGTGTGTATTCAACTAACAGAGTTGAACCTTTCTTTTTACAGAGCAGCTTTGAAACCCTGTTTCTGTGGAATCTGCAATTGGAAATTTCGATAGTTCTGAGGATTTCGTTGGAAACGGGATTACAAATAGAAAGTAGACAGCAGCATTCTCAGAAACTGCTTTGTGATGTTTGCATTCAAGTCACCTAGTTGAACATTCCCTTTCATAGAGCAGGATTGAATCACTGTTTCTGTCGTATCTGGAAGTGGATATTTCGAGCGTTTTCAGGCCTAAGGTGAGAAAGGAAATGTCTTCAAATAAGACCTAGACAGAAGCATTCTCAGAAACTTATTTGTGATGTGTGTCCTCAACTAACAGAGTTGAACCTTTCTTTTGACACAGCAGTTTGGAAACACTCTTTTTGTAGAATCTACAAGTGGATATTTTGAGAGCATTGAAAATTTCGTTGGAAACGGGAAAACCTTCATATAAAATCTAGACAGAAGCATTCTCAGAAACTTCTTTGTAATGTTTGCATTCAACTCATAGAGTTGAACATTCCCTTTCATACAGCAGGTTTGAAACACTCTTTTTGTAGTATGTGGAAGTGGACATTTGGAGCGCTTTGAGGCCTACGGTGAAAAAGGAAATATCTTCCCATAAAAACTAGACAGAAGCATTCTCAGAAACTTGTTTGTGACGTGTGTATTCAACTAACAGAGTTGAACCTTTCTTTTTACAGAGCAGCTTTGAAACACGCTTTTTGTGGAATCTGCAATTGGAAATTTCGATAGTTCTGAGGATTTCGTTGGAAACGGGATTACAAATAGAAAGTAGACAGCAGCATTCTCAGAAACTGCTTTGTGATGTTTGCATTCAAGTCACCTAGTTGAACATTCCCTTTCATAGAGCAGGTTTGAATCACTGTTTCTGTCGTATCTGGAAGTGGATATTTCGAGCATTTTCAGGCCTAAGGTGAGAAAGGAAATGTCTTCAAATAAGAACTAGACAGAAGCATTCTCAGAAACTTATTTGTGATGTGTGTCCTCAACTAACAGAGATGAACCTTTGTTTTGATACAGCAGTTTGGAAACACTCTTTTTGTAGAATCTACAAGAGGATATTTTGAGAGCATTGAAAATTTCGTTGGAAGCGGGAAAACCTTCATATAAAATCTAGACAGCAGCATTCTCAGAAACTTCTTTGTGATGTTTGCATTCAACTCATAGAGTTGAACATTCCCATTCATACAGCAGGTTTGAGACACTCTTTGTATAGCATGTGGAAATGGATATTTGGAGCGCTTTGAGGCCTATGGTGAAGAAGGAAATATCTTCCCAAAAAAACTAGACGAAAGCATTCTCGCAATCTTGTTTGCCATGTGTGTACTCAACTAACAGAGTTGAACCTATCTTTTGACAGAGCAGTTTTGAAACACTCTTTTTGTGGAATCTGCAAGTGGATATTTGGATAGCTTCGAGGATTTCGTTGGAAACGGGAATATCCTCATTTAAAATCTAGACGGAAGCATTCTCAGAACCTGCTTTGTGATGTTTGCATTCAACTCACAGAGCTGAACATTCCCGTTCATAGAGCAGGTTTGAAACACTCTTTCTGTACTATCTGGAAGTGGACATTTCGAGCGCTTTCAGGCCTATGGTGAAAAAGGAAACATCTTCAAATAAAAACTAGACAGAAGCATTCTCAGAAACTTATTTGTGATGTGTGTCCTCAACTCACAGAGTTCAACCTTTGTTTTGATACAGCAGTTTGGAAACACTCTTTTTGTAGAATCTACAAATGGATATTTGGAGAACTTTGAAAATTTCGTTGGACATGGGAATATCTTCATATAAAATCTAGACAAAAGCATTCTCAGAGTCTTCTTTGTGATGTTTGCATTCAACTGATAGAGTTGAACATTCCCTTTCATACAGCACGTTTGAAACACACTTTGTGGAGTATGTGGAAATGGACATTTCGAGCACTCTTAGGCCTAAGGTGAAAAGGGAAATATCTTCAAATAAAAACTAGTCAGCAGCATTCTCAGAAACCTCTTTGTGATGTGTGTACTCAACTGAGTTGAACCTTCCTTTTCACAGAGCAGTTTGGAAACACTCTTTTTGTGGCATTTGCAAGTGGATATTTGGATAGCTTTGAGGATTTCGTTGGAAACGGGAATATTTTCATATAAAATCTAGACAGAAGCATTCTCAGAATCTTCTTTGTGATGTATGCCCTCAATTCCCAGAGTTGAACCTTTGTTTGGATACAGCATTTTGGAAACATTCCTTTTGTAGAATCTGCAAGTTGATATTTGGATAGCTTTGAGGATTTCGTTGGAAACGGGAATATCTACATATAAAATCTAGACAGAAGCATTCTCAGAAACCTCTTTGTAATGCTTGCATTCAACTCATAGGTTTCAACATTCCCTATCATAGAGCAGGTTTGAAACACTCTTTTTGTAGTATGTGGAAGTGGACATTTGGAGCGCTTTGAGTTCTACGGTGAAAAAGGAAATATCTTCCCATAAAAACTAGACAGAAGCATTCTCAGAAACTTGTTTGTGACGTGTGTATTCAACTAACAGAGTTGAACCTTTCTTTTTACAGAGCAGCTTTGAAACACGCTTTTTGTGGAATCTGCAATTGGAAATTTCGATAGTTCTGAGGATTTCGTTGGAAACGGGATTACAAATAGAAAGTAGACAGCAGCATTCTCAGAAACTGCTTTGTGATGTTTGCATTCAAGTCACCTAGTTGAACATTCCCTTTCATAGAGCAGGTTTGAATCACTGTTTCTGTCGTATCTGGAAGTGGATATTTCGAGCGTTTTCAGGCCTAAGGTGAGAAAGGAAATGTCTTCAAATAAGAACTAGACAGAAGCATTCTCAGAAACTTATTTGTGATGTGTGTCCTCAACTAACAGAGTTGAACCTTTCTTTTGACACAGCAGTTTGGAAACACTCTTTTTGTAGAATCTACAAGTGGATATTTTGAGAGCATTGAAAATTTCGTTGGAAACGGGAAAACCTTCATATAAAATCTAGACAGAAGCATTCTCAGAAACTTCTTTGTAATGTTTGCATTCAACTCATAGAGTTGAACATTCCCTTTCATACAGCAGGTTTGAAACACTCTTTTTGTAGTATGTGGACGTGGACATTTGGAGCGCTTTGAGGCCTACGGTGAAAAAGGAAATATCTTCCCATAAAAACTAGACAGAAGCATTCTCAGAAACTTGTTTGTGACGTGTGTATTCAACTAACAGAGTTGAACCTTTCTTTTTACAGAGCAGCTTTGAAACCCTGTTTCTGTGGAATCTGCAATTGGAAATTTCGATAGTTCTGAGGATTTCGTTGGAAACGGGATTACAAATAGAAAGTAGACAGCAGCATTCTCAGAAACTGCTTTGTGATGTTTGCATTCAAGTCACATAGTTGAACATTCCCTTTCATAGAGCAGGTTTGAATCACTGTTTCTGTAGTATCTGGAAGTGTGTATTTCGAGCGCTTTCAGGCCTAAGGTGAGAAAGGAAATGTCTTCAAATAAGAACTAGACAGAAGCATTCTCAGAAACTTATTTGTGATGTGTGTCCTCAACTAACAGAGATGAACCTTTGTTTTGATACAGCAGTTTGGAAACACTCTTTTTGTAGAATCTACAAGAGGATATTTTGAGAGCATTGAAAATTTCGTTGGAAGCGGGAAAACCTTCATATAAAATCTAGACAGCAGCATTCTCAGAAACTTCTTTGTGATGTTTGCATTCAACTCATAGAGTTGAACATTCCCATTCATACAGCAGGTTTGAGACACTCTTTGTATAGCATGTGGAAATGGATATTTGGAGCGCTTTGAGGCCTATGGTGAAGAAGGAATATCTTCCCAAAAAACTAGACGAAAGCATTCTCGCAATCTTGTTTGCCATGTGTGTACTCAACTAACAGAGTTGAACCTATCTTTTGACAGAGCAGTTTTGAAACACTCTTTTTGTGGAATCTGCAAGTGGATATTTGGATAGCTTCGAGGATTTCGTTGGAAACGGGAATATCCTCATTTAAAATCTAGACAGAAGCATTCTCAGAACCTGCTTTGTGATGTTTGCATTCAACTCACAGAGCTGAACATTCCCGTTCATAGAGCAGGTTTGAAACACTCTTTCTGTACTATCTGGAAGTGGACATTTCGAGCGCTTTCAGGCCTATGGTGAAAAAGGAAACATCTTCAAATAAAAACTAGACAGAAGCATTCTCAGAAACTTATTTGTGATGTGTGTCCTCAACTCACAGAGTTCAACCTTTGTTTTGATACAGCAGTTTGGAAACACTCTTTTTGTAGAATCTACAAATGGATATTTGGAGACCTTTGAAAATTTCGTTGGACACGGGAATATCTTCATATAAAATCTAGACAAAAGCATTCTCAGAATCTTCTTTGTGATGTTTGCATTCAACTCATAGAGTTGAACATTCCCTTTCATACAGCACGTTTGAAACACACTTTGTGGAGTATGTGGAAATGGACATTTCGAGCACTCTTAGGCCTAAGGTGAAAAGGGAAATATCTTCAAATAAAAACTAGTCAGCAGCATTCTCAGAAACCTCTTTGTGATGTGTGTACTCAACTAACAGAGTTGAACCTTCCTTTTCACAGAGCAGTTTGGAAACACTCTTTTTGTGGCATTTGCAAGTGGATATTTGGATAGCTTTGAGGATTTCGTTGGAAACGGGAATATTTTCATATAAAATCTAGACAGAAGCATTCTCAGAATCTTCTTTGTGATGTATGCCCTCAATTCACAGAGTTGAACCTTTGTTTGGATACAGCATTTTGGAAACATTCCTTTTGCAGAATCTGCAAGCTGATATTTGGATAGCTTTGAGGATTTCGTTGGAAACGGGAATATCTACATATAAAATCTAGACAGAAGCATTCTCAGAAACCTCTTTGTAATGCTTGCATTCAACTCATAGGTTTCAACATTCCCTATCATAGAGCAGGTTTGAAACACTCTTTTTGTAGTATGTGGAAGTGGACATTTGGAGCGCTTTGAGGCCTACCGTGAAAAAGGAAATATCTTCCCATAAAAACTAGACAGAAGCATTCTCAGAAACTTGTTTGTGACGTGTGTATTCAACTAACAGAGTTGAACCTTTCTTTTTACAGAGCAGCTTTGAAACCCTGTTTCTGTGGAATCTGCAATTGGAAATTTCGATAGTTCTGAGGATTTCGTTGGAAACGGGATTACAAATAGAAAGTAGACAGCAGCATTCTCAGAAACTGCTTTGTGATGTTTGCATTCAAGTCACCTAGTTGAACATTCCCTTTCATAGAGCAGGTTTGAATCACTGTTTCTGTAGTATCTGGAAGTGGGTATTTCGAGCACTTTCAGGCCTAAGGTGAGAAAGGAAATGTCTTCAAATAAGTACTAGACAGAAGCATTCTCAGAAACTTATTTGTGATGTGTGTCCTCAACTAACAGAGATGAACCTTTGTTTTGATACAGCAGTTTGGAAACACTCTTTTTGTAGAATCTACAAGAGGATATTTTGAGAGCATTGAAAATTTCGTTGGAAGCGGGAAAACCTTCATATAAAATCTAGACAGCAGCATTCTCAGAAACTTCTTTGTGATGTTTGCATTCAACTCATAGAGTTGAACATTCCCATTCATACAGCAGGTTTGAGACACTCTTTGTATAGCATGTGGAAATGGATATTTGGAGCGCTTTGAGGCCTATGGTGAAGAAGGAAATATCTTCCCAAAAAAACTAGATGAAAGCATTCTCGCAATCTTGTTTGCCATGTGTGTACTCAACTAAACAGAGTTGAACCTATCTTTTGACAGAGCAGTTTTGAAACACTCTTTTTGTGGAATCTGCAAATGGATATTTGGATAGCTTCGAGGATTTCCTTGGAAACGGGAATATCCTCATATAAAATCTAGACGGAAGCATTCTCAGAACCTGCTTTGTGATGTTTGCATTCAACTCACAGAGCTGAACATTCCCGTTCATAGAGCAGGTTTGAAACACTCTTTCTGTACTATCTGGAAGTGGACATTTCGAGCGCTTTCAGGCCTATGGTGAAAAAGGAAACATCTTCAAATAAAAACTAGACAGAAGCATTCTCAGAAACTTATTTGTGATGTGTGTCCTCAACTCACAGAGTTCAACCTTTGTTTTGATACAGCAGTTTGGAAACACTCTTTTTGTAGAATCTACAAATGGATATTTGGAGACCTTTGAAAATTTCGTTGGACACGGGAATATCTTCATATAAAATCTAGACAAAAGCATTCTCAGAGTCTTCTTTGTGATGTTTGCATTCAACTCATAGAGTTGAACATTCCCTTTCATACAGCACGTTTGAAACACACTTTGTGGAGTATGTGGAAATGGACATTTCGAGCACTCTTAGGCCTAAGGTGAAAAGGGAAATATCTTCAAATAAAAACTAGTCAGCAGCATTCTCAGAAACCTCTTTGTGATGTGTGTACTCAACTAACAGAGTTGAACCTTCCTTTTCACAGAGCAGTTTGGAAACACTCTTTTTGTGGCATTTGCAAGTGGATATTTGGATAGCTTTGAGGATTTCGTTGGAAACGGGAATATTTTCATATAAAATCTAGACAGAAGCATTCTCAGAATCTTCTTTGTGATGTATGCCCTCAATTCACAGAGTTGAACCTTTGTTTGGATACAGCATTTTGGAAACATTCCTTTTGCAGAATCTGCAAGCTGATATTTGGATAGCTTTGAGGATTTCGTTGGAAACGGGAATATCTACATATAAAATCTAGACAGAAGCATTCTCAGAAACCTCTTTGTAATGCTTGCATTCAACTCATAGGTTTCAACATTCCCTATCATAGAGCAGGTTTGAAACACTCTTTTTGTAGTATGTGGAAGTGGACATTTGGAGCGCTTTGAGGCCTACGGTGAAAAAGGAAATATCTTCCCATAAAAACTAGACAGAAGCATTCTCAGAAACTTGTTTGTGACGTGTGTATTCAACTAACAGAGTTGAACCTTTCTTTTTACAGAGCAGCTTTGAAACACGCTTTTTGTGGAATCTGCAATTGGAAATTTCGATAGTTCTGAGGATTTCGTTGGAAACGGGATTACAAATAGAATGTAGACAGCAGCATTCTCAGAAACTGCTTTGTGATGTTTGCATTCAAGTCACCTAGTTGAACATTCCCTTTCATAGAGCAGGTTTGAATCACTGTTTCTGTCGTATCTGGAAGTGGATATTTCGAGCGATTTCAGGCCTAAGGTGAGAAAGGAAATGTCTTCAAATAAGAACTAGACAGAAGCATTCTCAGAAACTTATTTGTGATGTGTGTCCTCAACTAACAGAGTTGAACCTTTCTTTTGACACAGCAGTTTGGAAACACTCTTTTTGTAGAATCTACAAGTGGATATTTTGAGAGCATTGAAAATTTCGTTGGAAACGGGAAAACCTTCATATAAAATCTAGACAGAAGCATTCTCAGAAACTTCTTTGTAATGTTTGCATTCAACTCATAGAGTTGAACATTCCCTTTCATACAGCAGGTTTGAAACACTCTTTTTGTAGTATGTGGAAGTGGACATTTGGAGCGCTTTGAGGCCTACGGTGAAAAAGGAAATATCTTCCCATAAAAACTAGACAGAAGCATTCTCAGAAACTTGTTTGTGACGTGTGTATTCAACTAACAGAGTTGAACCTTTCTTTTTACAGAGCAGCTTTGAAACCCTGTTTCTGTGGAATCTGCAATTGGAAATTTCGATAGTTCTGAGGATTTCGTTGGAAACGGGATTACAAATAGAAAGTAGACAGCAGCATTCTCAGAAACTGCTTTCTGATGTTTGCATTCAAGTCACCTAGTTGAACATTCCCTTTCATAGAGCAGGTTTGAATCACAGTTTCTGTCGTATCTGGAAGTGGATATTTCGAGCGTTTTCAGGCCTAAGGTGAGAAAGGAAATGTCTTCAAATAAGAACTAGACAGAAGCATTCTCAGAAACTTGTGATGTGTGTCCTCAACTAACAGAGATGAACCTTTGTTTTGATACAGCAGTTTGGAAACACTCTTTTTGTAGAATCTACAAGAGGATATTTTGAGAGCATTGAAAATTTCGTTGGAAGCGGGAAAACCTTCATATAAAATCTAGACAGCAGCATTCTCAGAAACTTCTTTGTGATGTTTGCATTCAACTCATAGAGTTGAACATTCCCATTCATACAGCAGGTTTGAGACACTCTTTGTATAGCATGTGGAAATGGATATTTGGAGCGCTTTGAGGCCTATGGTGAAGAAGGAAATATCTTCCCAAAAAAACTAGACGAAAGCATTCTCGGAATCTTGTTTGCCATGTGTGTACTCAACTAACAGAGTTGAACCTATCTTTTGACAGAGCAGTTTTGAAACACTCTTTTTGTGGAATCTGCAAGTGGATATTTGGATAGCTTCGAGGATTTCGTTGGAAACGGGAATATCCTCATTTAAAATCTAGACGGAAGCATTCTCAGAACCTGCTTTGTGATGTTTGCATTCAACTCACAGAGCTGAACATTCCCGTTCATAGAGCAGGTTTGAAACACTCTTTCTGTACTATCTGGAAGTGGACATTTCGAGCGCTTTCAGGCCTATGGTGAAAAAGGAAACATCTTCAAATAAAAACTAGACAGAAGCATTCTCAGAAACTTATTTGTGATGTGTGTCCTCAACTCACAGAGTTCAACCTTTGTTTTGATACAGCAGTTTGGAAACACTCTTTTTGTAGAATCTACAAATGGATATTTGGAGACCTTTGAAAATTTCGTTGGACACGGGAATATCTTCATATAAAATCTAGACAAAAGCATTCTCAGAATCTTCTTTGTGATGTTTGCATTCAACTCATAGAGTTGAACATTCCCTTTCATACAGCACGTTTGAAACACACTTTGTGGAGTATGTGGAAATGGACATTTCGAGCACTCTTAGGCCTAAGGTGAAAAGGGAAATATCTTCAAATAAAAACTAGTCAGCAGCATTCTCAGAAACCTCTTTGTGATGTGTGTACTCAACTAACAGAGTTGAACCTTCCTTTTCACAGAGCAGTTTGGAAACACTCTTTTTGTGGCATTTGCAAGTGGATATTTGGATAGCTTTGAGGATTTCGTTGGAAACGGGAATATTTTCATATAAAATCTAGACAGAAGCATTCTCAGAATCTTCTTTGTGATGTATGCCCTCAATTCACAGAGTTGAACCTTTGTTTGGATACAGCATTTTGGAAACATTCCTTTTGCAGAATCTGCAAGCTGATATTTGGATAGCTTTGAGGATTTCGTTGGAAACGGGAATATCTACATATAAAATCTAGACAGAAGCATTCTCAGAAACCTCTTTGTAATGCTTGCATTCAACTCATAGGTTTCAACATTCCCTATCATAGAGCAGGTTTGAAACACTCTTTTTGTAGTATGTGGAAGTGGACATTTGGAGCGCTTTGAGGCCTACGGTGAAAAAGGAAATATCTTCCCATAAAAACTAGACAGAAGCATTCTCAGAAACTTGTTTGTGACGTGTGTATTCAACTAACAGAGTTGAACCTTTCTTTTTACAGAGCAGCTTTGAAACACGCTTTTTGTGGAATCTGCAATTGGAAATTTCGATAGTTCTGAGGATTTCGTTGGAAACGGGATTACAAATAGAAAGTAGACAGCAGCATTCTCAGAAACTGCTTTGTGATGTTTGCATTCAAGTCACCTAGTTGAACATTCCCTTTCATAGAGCAGGTTTGAATCACTGTTTCTGTCGTATCTGGAAGTGGATATTTCGAGCGTTTTCAGGCCTAAGGTGAGAAAGGAAATGTCTTCAAATAAGACCTAGACAGAAGCATTCTCAGAAACTTATTTGTGATGTGTGTCCTCAACTAACAGAGTTGAACCTTTCTTTTGACACAGCAGTTTGGAAACACTCTTTTTGTAGAATCTACAAGTGGATATTTTGAGAGCATTGAAAATTTCGTTGGAAACGGGAAAACCTTCATATAAAATCTAGACAGAAGCATTCTCAGAAACTTCTTTGTAATGTTTGCATTCAACTCATAGAGTTGAACATTCCCTTTCATACAGCAGGTTTGAAACACTCTTTTTGTAGTATGTGGAAGTGGACATTTGGAGCGCTTTGAGGCCTACGGTGAAAAAGGAAATATGCTTCCCATAAAAACTAGACAGAAGCATTCTCAGAAACTTGTTTGTGACGTGTGTATTCAACTAACAGAGTTGAACCTTTCTTTTTACAGAGCAGCTTTGAAACACGCTTTTTGTGGAATCTGCAATTGGAAATTTCGATAGTTCTGAGGATTTCGTTGGAAACGGGATTACAAATAGAAAGTAGACAGCAAGCATTCTCAGAAACTTATTTGTGATGTGTGTCCTCAACTAACAGAGCTGAACCTTTCTTTTGACACAGCAGTTTGGAAACACTCTTTTTGTAGAATCTACAAGTGGATATTTTCAGAGCATTGAAAATTTCGTTGGAAACGGGAAAACCTTCATATAAAATCTAGACAGAAGCATTCTCAGAAACTTCTTTGTAATGTTTGCATTCAACTCATAGAGTTGAACATTCCCTTTCATACAGCAGGTTTGAAACACTCTTTTTGTAGTATGTGGAAGTGGACATTTGGAGCGCTTTGAGGCCTACGGTGAAAAAGGAAATATCTTCCCATAAAAACTAGACAGAAGCATTCTCAGAAACTTGTTTGTGACGTGTGTATTCAACTAACAGAGTTGAACCTTTCTTTTTACAGAGCAGCTTTGAAACCCTGTTTCTGTGGAATCTGCAATTGGAAATTTCGATAGTTCTGAGGATTTCGTTGCAAACGGGATTACAAATAGAAAGTAGACAGCAGCATTCTCAGAAACTGCTTTGTGATGTTTGCATTCAAGTCACCTAGTTGAACATTCCCTTTCATAGAGCAGGTTTGAATCACTGTTTCTGTCGTATCTGGAAGTGGATATTTCGAGCGTTTTCAGGCCTAAGGTGAGAAAGGAAATGTCTTCAAATAAGAACTAGACAGAAGCATTCTCAGAAACTTATTTGTGATGTGTGTCCTCAACTAACAGAGTTGAACCTTTCTTTTGACACAGCAGTTTGGAAACACTCTTTTTGTAGAATCTACAAGTGGATATTTTGAGAGCATTGAAAATTTCGTTGGAAACGGGAAAACCTTCATATAAAATCTAGACAGAAGCATTCTCAGAAACTTCTTTGTAATGTTTGCATTCAACTCATAGAGTTGAACATTCCCTTTCATACAGCAGGTTTGAAACACTCTTTTTGTAGTATGTGGAAGTGGACATTTGGAGCGCTTTGAGGCCTACGGTGAAAAAGGAAATATCTTCCCATAAAAACTAGACAGAAGCATTCTCAGAAACTTGTTTGTGACGTGTGTATTCAACTAACAGAGTTGAACCTTTCTTTTTACAGAGCAGCTTTGAAACCCTGTTTCTGTGGAATCTGCAATTGGAAATTTCGATAGTTCTGAGGATTTCGTTGGAAACGGGATTACAAATAGAAAGTAGACAGCAGCATTCTCAGAAACTGCTTTGTGATGTTTGCATTCAAGTCACATAGTTGAACATTCCCTTTCATAGAGCAGGTTTGAATCACTGTTTCTGTAGTATCTGGAAGTGGGTATTTCGAGCGCTTTCAGGCCTAAGGTGAGAAAGGAAATGTCTTCAAATAAGAACTAGACAGAAGCATTCTCAGAAACTTATTTGTGATGTGTGTCCTCAACTAACAGAGATGAACCTTTGTTTTGATACAGCAGTTTGGAAACACTCTTTTTGTAGAATCTACAAGAGGATATTTTGAGAGCATTGAAAATTTCGTTGGAAGCGGGAAAACCTTCATATAAAATCTAGACAGCAGCATTCTCAGAAACTTCTTTGTGATGTTTGCATTCAACTCATAGAGTTGAACATTCCCATTCATACAGCAGGTTTGAGACACTCTTTGTATAGCATGTGGAAATGGATATTTGGAGCGCTTTGAGGCCTATGGTGAAGAAGGAATATCTTCCCAAAAAACTAGACGAAAGCATTCTCGCAATCTTGTTTGCCATGTGTGTACTCAACTAACAGAGTTGAACCTATCTTTTGACAGAGCAGTTTTGAAACACTCTTTTTGTGGAATCTGCAAGTGGATATTTGGATAGCTTCGAGGATTTCGTTGGAAACGGGAATATCCTCATTTAAAATCTAGACAGAAGCATTCTCAGAACCTGCTTTGTGATGTTTACATTCAACTCACAGAGCTGAACATTCCCGTTCATAGAGCAGGTTTGAAACACTCTTTCTGTACTATCTGGAAGTGGACATTTCGAGCGCTTTCAGGCCTATGGTGAAAAAGGAAACATCTTCAAATAAAAACTAGACAGAAGCATTCTCAGAAACTTATTTGTGATGTGTGTCCTCAAATCACAGAGTTCAACCATTGTTTCGATACAGCAGTTTGGAAACCCTCTTTTTGTAGAATCTACAAATGGATATTTGGAGACTTTTGAAAATTTCGTTGGACACGGGAATATCTTCATATAAAATCTAGACAAAAGCATTCTCAGAATCTTCTTTGTGATGTTTGAATTCAACTCATAGAGTTGAACATTCCCTTTCATACAGCACGTTTGAAACACACTTTGTGGAGTATGTGGAAATGGACATTTCGAGCACTCTTAGGCCTAAGGTGAAAAGGGAAATATCTTCAAATAAAAACTAGTCAGCAAGCATTCTCAGAAACCTCTTTGTGATGTGTGTACTCAACTAACAGAGTTGAACCTTCCTTTTCACAGAGCAGTTTGGAAACACTCTTTTTGTGGCATTTGCAAGTGGATATTTGGATAGCTTTGAGGATTTCGTTGGAAACGGGAATATTTTCATATAAAATCTAGACAGAAGCATTCTCAGAATCTTCTTTGTGATGTATGCCCTCAATTCACAGAGTTGAACCTTTGTTTGGATACAGCATTTTGGAAACATTCCTTTTGTAGAATCTGCAAGTTGATATTTGGATAGCTTTGAGGATTTCGTTGGAAACGTGAATATCTACATATAAAATCTAGACAGAAGCATTCTCAGAAACCTCTTTGTAATGCTTGCATTCAACTCATAGGTTTCAACATTCCCTATCATAGAGCAGGTTTGAAACACTCTTTTTGTAGTATGTGGAAGTGGACATTTGGAGCGCTTTGAGGCCTACCGTGAAAAAGGAAATATCTTCCCATAAAAACTAGACAGAAGCATTCTCAGAAACTTGTTTGTGACGTGTGTATTCAACTAACAGAGTTGAACCTTTCTTTTTACAGAGCAGCTTTGAAACCCTGTTTCTGTGGAATCTGCAATTGGAAATTTCGATGGTTCTGAGGATTTCGTTGGAAACGGGATTACAAATAGAAAGTAGACAGCAGCATTCTCAGAAACTGCTTTGTGATGTTTGCATTCAAGTCACCTAGTTGAACATTCCCTTTCATAGAGCAGGTTTGAATCACTGTTTCTGTCGTATCTGGAAGTGGATATTTCGAGCGTTTTCAGGCCTAAGGTGAGAAAGGAAATGTCTTCAAATAAGAACTAGACAGAAGCATTCTCAGAAACTTATTTGTGATGTGTGTCCTCAACTAACAGAGTTGAACCTTTCTTTTGACACAGCAGTTTGGAAACACTCTTTTTGTAGAATCTACAAGTGGATATTTTGAGAGCATTGAAAATTTCGTTGGAAACGGGAAAACCTTCATATAAAATCTAGACAGAAGCATTCTCAGAAACTTCTTTGTAATGTTTGCATTCAACTCATAGAGTTGAACATTCCCTTTCATACAGCAGGTTTGAAACACTCTTTTTGTAGTATGTGGAAGTGGACATTTGGAGCGCTTTGAGGCCTACGGTGAAAAAGGAAATATCTTCCCATAAAAACTAGAGAGAAGCATTCTCAGAAACTTGTTTGTGACGTGTGTATTCAACTAACAGAGTTGAACCTTTCTTTTTACAGAGCAGCTTTGAAACCCTGTTTCTGTGGAATCTGCAATTGGAAATTTCGATAGTTCTGAGGATTTCGTTGGAAACGGGATTACAAATAGAAAGTAGACAGCAGCATTCTCAGAAACTGCTTTGTGATGTTTGCATTCAAGTCACCTAGTTGAACATTCCCTTTCATAGAGCAGGTTTGAATCACTGTTTCTGTAGTATCTGGAAGTGGGTATTTCGAGCTCTTTCAGGCCTAAGGTGAGAAAGGAAATGTCTTCAAATAAGAACTAGACAGAAGCATTCTCAGAAACTTATTTGTGATGTGTGTCCTCAACTAACAGAGATGAACCTTTGTTTTGATACAGCAGTTTGGAAACACTCTTTTTGTAGAATCTACAAGAGGATATTTTGAGAGCATTGAAAATTTCGTTGGAAGCGGGAAAACCTTCATATAAAATCTAGACAGCAGCATTCTCAGAAACTTCTTTGTGATGTTTGCATTCAACTCATAGAGTTGAACATTCCCATTCATACAGCAGGTTTGAGACACTCTTTGTATAGCATGTGGAAATGGATATTTGGAGCGCTTTGAGGCCTATGGTGAAGAAGGAAATATCTTCCCAAAAAAACTAGACGAAAGCATTCTCGGAATCTTGTTTGCCATGTGTGTACTCAACTAACAGAGTTGAACCTATCTTTTGACAGAGCAGTTTTGAAACACTCTTTTTGTGGAATCTGCAAGTGGATATTTGGATAGCTTCGAGGATTTCGTTGGAAACGGGAATATCCTCATTTAAAATCTAGACGGAAGCATTCTCAGAACCTGCTTTGTGATGTTTGCATTCAACTCACAGAGCTGAACATTCCCGTTCATAGAGCAGGTTTGAAACACTCTTTCTGTACTATCTGGAAGTGGACATTTCGAGCGCTTTCAGGCCTATGGTGAAAAAGGAAACATCTTCAAATAAAAACTAGACAGAAGCATTCTCAGAAACTTATTTGTGATGTGTGTCCTCAACTCACAGAGTTCAACCTTTGTTTTGATACAGCAGTTTGGAAACACTCTTTTTGTAGAATCTACAAATGGATATTTGGAGACCTTTGAAAATTTCGTTGGACACGGGAATATCTTCATATAAAATCTAGACAGAAGCATTCTCAGAATCTTCTTTGTGATGTTTGCATTCAACTCATAGAGTTGAACATTCCCTTTCATACAGCACGTTTGAAACACACTTTGTGGAGTATGTGGAAATGGACATTTCGAGCACTCTTAGGCCTAAGGTGAAAAAGGAAATATCTTCAAATAAAAACTAGTCAGCAGCATTCTCAGAAACCTCTTTGTGATGTGTGTACTCAACTAACAGAGTTGAACCTTCCTTTTCACAGAGCAGTTTGGAAACACTCTTTTTGTGGCATTTGCAAGTGGATATTTGGATAGCTTTGAGGATTTCGTTGGAAACGGGAATATTTTCATATAAAATCTAGACAGAAGCATTCTCAGAATCTTCTTTGTGATGTATGCCCTCAATTCACAGAGTTGAACCTTTGTTTGGATACAGCATTTTGGAAACATTCCTTTTGTAGAATCTGCAAGTTGATATTTGGATAGCTTTGAGGATTTCGTTGGAAACGGGAATATCTACATATAAAATCTAGACAGAAGCATTCTCAGAAACCTCTTTGTAATGCTTGCATTCAACTCATAGGTTTCAACATTCCCTATCATAGAGCAGGTTTGAAACACTCTTTTTGTAGTATGTGGA
Source organism: Homo sapiens (assembly GCF_000001405.40). Taxonomy (NCBI): domain Eukaryota; kingdom Metazoa; phylum Chordata; class Mammalia; order Primates; family Hominidae; genus Homo; species Homo sapiens. The sequence goes on from NC_000015.10 coordinate 18,396,791, forward strand.
AGTGGACATTTGGAGCGCTTTGAGGCCTACGGTGAAAAAGGAAATATCTTCCCATAAAAACTAGACAGAAGCATTCTCAGAAACTTGTTTGTGACGTGTGTATTCAACTAACAGAGTTGAACCTTTCTTTTTACAGAGCAGCTTTGAAACACGCTTTTTGTGGAATCTGCAATTGGAAATTTCGATAGTTCTGAGGATTTCGTTGGAAACGGGATTACAAATAGAAAGTAGACAGCAGCATTCTCAGAAACTGCTTTGTGATGTTTGCATTCAAGTCACCTAGTTGAACATTCCCTTTCATAGAGCAGGTTTGAATCACTGTTTCTGTCGTATCTGGAAGTGGATATTTCGAGCGTTTTCAGGCCTAAGGTGAGAAAGGAAATGTCTTCAAATAAGAACTAGACAGAAGCATTCTCAGAAACTTATTTGTGATGTGTGTCCTCAACTAACAGAGTTGAACCTTTCTTTTGACACAGCAGTTTGGAAACACTCTTTTTGTAGAATCTACAAGTGGATATTTTGAGAGCATTGAAAATTTCGTTGGAAACGGGAAAACCTTCATATAAAATCTAGACAGAAGCATTCTCAGAAACTTCTTTGTAATGTTTGCATTCAACTCATAGAGTTGAACATTCCCTTTCATACAGCAGGTTTGAAACACTCTTTTTGTAGTATGTGGACGTGGACATTTGGAGCGCTTTGAGGCCTACGGTGAAAAAGGAAATATCTTCCCATAAAAACTAGACAGAAGCATTCTCAGAAACTTGTTTGTGACGTGTGTATTCAACTAACAGAGTTGAACCTTTCTTTTTACAGAGCAGCTTTGAAACCCTGTTTCTGTGGAATCTGCAATTGGAAATTTCGATAGTTCTGAGGATTTCGTTGCAAACGGGATTACAAATAGAAAGTAGACAGCAGCATTCTCAGAAACTGCTTTGTGATGTTTGCATTCAAGTCACATTGTTGAACATTCCCTTTCATAGAGCAGGTTTGAATCACTGTTTCTGTAGTATCTGGAAGTGGGTATTTCGAGCGCTTTCAGGCCTAAGGTGAGAAAGGAAATGTCTTCAAATAAGAACTAGACAGAAGCATTCTCAGAAACTTATTTGTGATGTGTGTCCTCAACTAACAGAGATGAACCTTTGTTTTGATACAGCAGTTTGGAAACACTCTTTTTGTAGAATCTACAAGAGGATATTTTGAGAGCATTGAAAATTTCGTTGGAAGCGGGAAAACCTTCATATAAAATCTAGACAGCAGCATTCTCAGAAACTTCTTTGTGATGTTTGCATTCAACTCATAGAGTTGAACATTCCCATTCATACAGCAGGTTTGAGACACTCTTTGTATAGCATGTGGAAATGGATATTTGGAGCGCTTTGAGGCCTATGGTGAAGAAGGAAATATCTTCCCAAAAAAACTAGACGAAAGCATTCTCGGAATCTTGTTTGCCATGTGTGTACTCAACTAACAGAGTTGAACCTATCTTTTGAGAGAGCAGTTTTGAAACACTCTTTCTGTGGAATCTGCAAGTGGATATTTGGATAGCTTCGAGGATTTCGTTGGAAACGGGAATATCCTCATTTAAAATCTAGACGGAAGCATTCTCAGAACCTGCTTTGTGATGTTTGCATTCAACTCACAGAGCTGAACATTCCCGTTCATAGAGCAGGTTTGAAACACTCTTTCTGTACTATCTGGAAGTGGACATTTCGAGCGCTTTCAGGCCTATGGTGAAAAAGGAAACATCTTCAAATAAAAACTAGACAGAAGCATTCTCAGAAACTTATTTGTGATGTGTGTCCTCAACTCACAGAGTTCAACCTTTGTTTTGATACAGCAGTTTGGAAACACTCTTTTTGTAGAATCTACAAATGGATATTTGGAGACCTTTGAAAATTTCGTTGGACACGGGAATATCTTCATATAAAATCTAGACAAAAGCATTCTCAGAATCTTCTTTGTGATGTTTGCATTCAACTCATAGAGTTGAACATTCCCTTTCATACAGCACGTTTGAAACACACTTTGTGGAGTATGTGGAAATGGACATTTCGAGCACTCTTAGGCCTAAGGTGAAAAGGGAAATATCTTCAAATAAAAACTAGTCAGCAGCATTCTCAGAAACCTCTTTGTGATGTGTGTACTCAACTAACAGAGTTGAACCTTCCTTTTCACAGAGCAGTTTGGAAACACTCTTTTTGTGGCATTTGCAAGTGGATATTTGGATAGCTTTGAGGATTTCGTTGGAAACGGGAATATTTTCATATAAAATCTAGACAGAAGCATTCTCAGAATCTTCTTTGTGATGTATGCCCTCAATTCACAGAGTTGAACCTTTGTTTGGATACAGCATTTTGGAAACATTCCTTTTGTAGAATCTGCAAGTTGATATTTGGATAGTTTGAGGATTTCTTTGGAAACGGGAATATCTATCTACATATAAAATCTAGACAGAAGCATTCTCAGAAACCTCTTTGTAATGCTTGCATTCAACTCATAGGTTTCAACATTCCCTATCATAGAGCAGGTTTGAAACACTCTTTTTGTAGTATGTGGAAGTGGACATTTGGAGCGCTTTGAGGCCTACGGTGAAAAAGGAAATATCTTCCCATAAAAACTAGACAGAAGCATTCTCAGAAACTTGTTTGTGACGTGTGTATTCAACTAACAGAGTTGAACCTTTCTTTTTACAGAGCAGCTTTGAAACACGCTTTTTGTGGAATCTGCAATTGGAAATTTCGATAGTTCTGAGGATTTCGTTGGAAACGGGATTACAAATAGAAAGTAGACAGCAGCATTCTCAGAAACTGCTTTGTGATGTTTGCATTCAAGTCACCTAGTTGAACATTCCCTTTCATAGAGCAGGTTTGAATCACTGTTTCTGTCGTATCTGGAAGTGGATATTTCGAGCGTTTTCAGGCCTAAGGTGAGAAAGGAAATGTCTTCAAATAAGAACTAGACAGAAGCATTCTCAGAAACTTATTTGTGATGTGTGTCCTCAACTAACAGAGATGAACCTTTGTTTTGATACAGCAGTTTGGAAACACTCTTTTTGTAGAATCTACAAGAGGATATTTTGAGAGCATTGAAAATTTCGTTGGAAGCGGGAAAACCTTCATATAAAATCTAGACAGCAGCATTCTCAGAAACTTCTTTGTGATGTTTGCATTCAACTCATAGAGTTGAACATTCCCATTCATACAGCAGGTTTGAGACACTCTTTGTATAGCATGTGGAAATGGATATTTGGAGCGCTTTGAGGCCTATGGTGAAGAAGGAAATATCTTCCCAAAAAAACTAGACGAAAGCATTCTCGGAATCTTGTTTGCCATGTGTGTACTCAACTAACAGAGTTGAACCTATCTTTTGACAGAGCAGTTTTGAAACACTCTTTTTGTGGAATCTGCAAGTGGATATTTGGATAGCTTCGAGGATTTCGTTGGAAACGGGAATATCCTCATTTAAAATCTAGACGGAAACATTCTCAGAACCTGCTTTGTGATGTTTGCATTCAACTCACAGAGCTGAACATTCCCGTTCATAGAGCAGGTTTGAAACACTCTTTCTGTACTATCTGGAAGTGGACATTTCGAGCGCTTTCAGGCCTATGGTGAAAAAGGAAACATCTTCAAATAAAAACTAGACAGAAGCATTCTCAGAAACTTATTTGTGATGTGTGTCCTCAACTCACAGAGTTCAACCTTTGTTTTGATACAGCAGTTTGGAAACACTCTTTTTGTAGAATCTACAAATGGATATTTGGAGACCTTTGAAAATTTCGTTGGACACGGGAATATCTTCATATAAAATCTAGACAAAAGCATTCTCAGAATCTTCTTTGTGATGTTTGCATTCAACTCATAGCAGTTGAACATTCCCTTTCATACAGCACGTTTGAAACACACTTTGTGGAGTATGTGGAAATGGACATTTCGAGCACTCTTAGGCCTAAGGTGAAAAGGGAAATATCTTCAAATAAAAACTAGTCAGCAGCATTCTCAGAAACCTCTTTGTGATGTGTGTACTCAACTAACAGAGTTGAACCTTCCCTTTTCACAGAGCAGTTTGGAAACACACTTTTTGTGGCATTTGCAAGTGGATATTTGGATAGCTTTGAGGATTTCGTTGGAAACGGGAATATTTTCATATAAAATCTAGACAGAAGCATTCTCAGAATCTTCTTTGTGATGTATGCCCTCAATTCACAGAGTTGAACCTTTGTTTGGATACAGCATTTTGGAAACATTCCTTTTGTAGAATCTGCAAGTTGATATTTGGATAGCTTTGAGGATTTCGTTGGAAACGGGAATATCTACATATAAAATCTAGACAGAAGCATTCTCAGAAACCTCTTTGTAATGTTTGCATTCAACTCATAGGTTTCAACATTCCCTATCATAGAGCAAGTTTGAAACACTCTTTTTGTAGTATGTGGAAGTGGACATTTGGAGCGCTTTGAGGCCTACGGTGAAAAAGGAAATATCTTCCCATAAAAACTAGAGAGAAGCATTCTCAGAAACTTGTTTGTGACGTGTGTATTCAACTAACAGAGTTGAACCTTTCTTTTTACAGAGCAGCTTTGAAACCCTGTTTCTGTGGAATCTGCAATTGGAAATTTCGATAGTTCTGAGGATTTCGTTGGAAACGGGATTACAAATAGAAAGTAGACAGCAGCATTCTCAGTAAACTGCTTTGTGATGTTTGCATTCAAGTCACCTAGTTGAACATTCCCTTTCATAGAGCAGGTTTGAATCACTGTTTCTGTAGTATCTGGAAGTGTGTATTTCGAGCGCTTTCAGGCCTAAGGTGAGAAAGGAAATGTCTTCAAATAAGAACTAGACAGAAGCATTCTCAGAAACTTATTTGTGATGTGTGTCCTCAACTAACAGAGATGAACCTTTGTTTTGATACAGCAGTTTGGAAACACTCTTTTTGTAGAATCTACAAGAGGATATTTTGAGAGCATTGAAAATTTCGTTGGAAGCGGGAAAACCTTCATATAAAATCTAGACAGCAGCATTCTCAGAAACTTCTTTGTGATGTTTGCATTCAACTCATAGAGTTGAACATTCCCATTCATACAGCAGGTTTGAGACACTCTTTGTATAGCATGTGGAAATGGATATTTGGAGCGCTTTGAGGCCTATGGTGAAGAAGGAAATATCTTCCCAAAAAAACTAGACGAAAGCATTCTCGGAATCTTGTTTGCCATGTGTGTACTCAACTAACAGAGTTGAACCTATCTTTTGACAGAGCAGTTTTGAAACACTCTTTTTGTGGAATCTGCAAGTGGATATTTGGATAGCTTCGAGGATTTCGTTGGAAACGGGAATATCCTCATTTAAAATCTAGACGGAAACATTCTCAGAACCTGCTTTGTGATGTTTGCATTCAACTCACAGAGCTGAACATTCCCGTTCATAGAGCAGGTTTGAAACACTCTTTCTGTACTATCTGGAAGTGGACATTTCGAGCGCTTTCAGGCCTATGGTGAAAAAGGAAACATCTTCAAATAAAAACTAGACAGAAGCATTCTCAGAAACTTATTTGTGATGTGTGTCCTCAACTCACAGAGTTCAACCTTTGTTTTGATACAGCAGTTTGGAAACACTCTTTTTGTAGAATCTACAAATGGATATTTGGAGACCTTTGAAAATTTCGTTGGACACGGGAATATCTTCATATAAAATCTAGACAAAAGCATTCTCAGAATCTTCTTTGTGATGTTTGCATTCAACTCATAGAGTTGAACATTCCCTTTCATACAGCACGTTTGAAACACACTTTGTGGAGTATGTGGAAATGGACATTTCGAGCACTCTTAGGCCTAAGGTGAAAAGGGAAATATCTTCAAATAAAAACTAGTCAGCAGCATTCTCAGAAACCTCTTTGTGATGTGTGTACTCAACTAACAGAGTTGAACCTTCCTTTTCACAGAGCAGTTTGGAAACACTCTTTTTGTGGCATTTGCAAGTGGATATTTGGATAGCTTTGAGGATTTCGTTGGAAACGGGAATATTTTCATATAAAATCTAGACAGAAGCATTCTCAGAATCTTCTTTGTGATGTATGCCCTCAATTCACAGAGTTGAACCTTTGTTTGGATACAGCATTTTGGAAACATTCCTTTTGTAGAATCTGCAAGTTGATATTTGGATAGCTTTGAGGATTTCGTTGGAAACGGGAATATCTACATATAAAATCTAGACAGAAGCATTCTCAGAAACCTCTTTGTAATGCTTGCATTCAACTCATAGGTTTCAACATTCCCTATCATAGAGCAGGTTTGAAACACTCTTTTTGTAGTATGTGGAAGTGGACATTTGGAGCGCTTTGAGGCCTACCGTGAAAAAGGAAATATCTTCCCATAAAAACTAGACAGAAGCATTCTCAGAAACTTGTTTGTGACGTGTGTATTCAACTAACAGAGTTGAACCTTTCTTTTTACAGAGCAGCTTTGAAACCCTGTTTCTGTGGAATCTGCAATTGGAAATTTCGATGGTTCTGAGGATTTCGTTGGAAACGGGATTACAAATAGAAAGTAGACAGCAGCATTCTCAGAAACTGCTTTGTGATGTTTGCATTCAAGTCACCTAGTTGAACATTCCCTTTCATAGAGCAGGTTTGAATCACTGTTTCTGTCGTATCTGGAAGTGGATATTTCGAGCGTTTTCAGGCCTAAGGTGAGAAAGGAAATGTCTTCAAATAAGAACTAGACAGAAGCATTCTCAGAAACTTATTTGTGATGTGTGTCCTCAACTAACAGAGTTGAACCTTTCTTTTGACACAGCAGTTTGGAAACACTCTTTTTGTAGAATCTACAAGTGGATATTTTGAGAGCATTGAAAATTTCGTTGGAAACGGGAAAACCTTCATATAAAATCTAGACAGAAGCATTCTCAGAAACTTCTTTGTAATGTTTGCATTCAACTCATAGAGTTGAACATTCCCTTTCATACAGCAGGTTTGAAACACTCTTTTTGTAGTATGTGGACGTGGACATTTGGAACGCTTTGAGGCCTACGGTGAAAAAGGAAATATCTTCCCATAAAAACTAGACAGAAGCATTCTCAGAAACTTGTTTGTGACGTGTGTATTCAACTAACAGAGTTGAACCTTTCTTTTTACAGAGCAGCTTTGAAACCCTGTTTCTGTGGAATCTGCAATTGGAAATTTCGATAGTTCTGAGGATTTCGTTGGAAACGGGATTACAAATAGAAAGTAGACAGCAGCATTCTCAGAAACTGCTTTGTGATGTTTGCATTCAAGTCACATATTTGAACATTCCCTTTCATAGAGCAGGTTTGAATCACTGTTTCTGTAGTATCTGGAAGTGGGTATTTGGAGCGCTTTCAGGCCTAAGGTGAGAAAGGAAATGTCTTCAAATAAGAACTAGACAGAAGCATTCTCAGAAACTTATTTGTGATGTGTGTCCTCAACTAACAGAGATGAACCTTTGTTTTGATACAGCAGTTTGGAAACACTCTTTTTGTAGAATCTACAAGAGGATATTTTGAGAGCATTGAAAATTTCGTTGGAAGCGGGAAAACCTTCATATAAAATCTAGACAGCAGCATTCTCAGAAACTTCTTTGTGATGTTTGCATTCAACTCATAGAGTTGAACATTCCCATTCATACAGCAGGTTTGAGACACTCTTTGTATAGCATGTGGAAATGGATATTTGGAGCGCTTTGAGGCCTATGGTGAAGAAGGAAATATCTTCCCAAAAAAACTAGACGAAAGCATTCTCGCAATCTTGTTTGCCATGTGTGTACTCAACTAACAGAGTTGAACCTATCTTTTGACAGAGCAGTTTTGAAACACTCTTTTTGTGGAATCTGCAAGTGGATATTTGGATAGCTTCGAGGATTTCGTTGGAAACGGGAATATCCTCATTTAAAATCTAGACGGAAGCATTCTCAGAACCTGCTTTGTGATGTTTGCATTCAACTCACAGAGCTGAACATTCCCGTTCATAGAGCAGGTTTGAAACACTCTTTCTGTACTATCTGGAAGTGGACATTTCGAGCGCTTTCAGGCCTATGGTGAAAAAGGAAACATCTTCAAATAAAAACTAGACAGAAGCATTCTCAGAAACTTATTTGTGATGTGTGTCCTCAACTCACAGAGTTCAACCTTTGTTTTGATACAGCAGTTTGGAAACACTCTTTTTGTAGAATCTACAAATGGATATTTGGAGACCTTTGAAAATTTCGTTGGACACGGGAATATCTTCATATAAAATCTAGACAAAAGCATTCTCAGAATCTTCTTTGTGATGTTTGCATTCAACTCATAGAGTTGAACATTCCCTTTCATACAGCACGTTTGAAACACACTTTGTGGAGTATGTGGAAATGGACATTTCGAGCACTCTTAGGCCTAAGGTGAAAAGGGAAATATCTTCAAATAAAAACTAGTCAGCAGCATTCTCAGAAACCTCTTTGTGATGTGGGTACTCAACTAACAGAGTTGAACCTTCCTTTTCACAGAGCAGTTTGGAAACACTCTTTTTGTGGCATTTGCAAGTGGATATTTGGATAGCTTTGAGGATTTCGTTGGAAACAGGAATATTTTCATATAAAATCTAGACAGAAGCATTCTCAGAATCTTCTTTGTGATGTATGCCCTCAATTCACAGAGTTGAACCTTTGTTTGGATACAGCATTTTGGAAACATTCCTTTTGTAGAATCTGCAAGTTGATATTTGGATAGCTTTGAGGATTTCGTTGGAAACGGGAATATCTACATATAAAATCCAGACAGAAGCATTCTCAGAAACCTGTTTTTAATGTTTTCATTCAACTCATACGTTTCAACATTCCCTATCTTAGATCAGGTTTGAAACACTCTTTTTGTAGTATGTGGAAGTGGACATTTGGAGCGCTTTGAGGCCTACGGTGAAAAAGGAAATATCTTCCCATAAAAACTAGACAGAAGCATTCTCAGAAACTTGTTTCTGACGTGTATTCAACTAACAGAGTTGAACCTTTCTTTTTACAGAGCAGCTTTGAAACACTCTTTTTGTGGAATCTGCAATTGGAAATTTCGATAGTTCTGAGGATTTCGTTGGAAACGGGATTACAAATAGAAAGTAGACAGCAGCATTCTCAGAAACTGCTTTGTGATGTTTGCATTCAAGTCACCTAGTTGAACATTCCCTTTCATAGAGCAGGTTTGAATCACTGTTCTCTGTAGTATCTGGAAGTGGATATTTCGAGCGCTTTCAGGCCTAAGGTGAGAAAGGAAATGTCTTCAAATAAGAACTAGACAGAAGCATTCTCAGAAACTTATTTGTGATGTGTGTCCTCAACTAACAGAGATGAACCTTTGTTTTGATACAGCAGTTTGGAAACACTCTTTTTGTAGAATCTACAAGAGGATATTTTGAGAGCATTGAAAATTTCGTTGGAAGCGGGAAAACCTTCATATAAAATCTAGACAGCAGCATTCTCAGAAACTTCTTTGTGATGTTTGCATTCAACTCATAGAGTTGAACATTCCCATTCATACAGCAGGTTTGAGACACTCTTTGTATAGCATGTGGAAATGGATATTTGGAGCGCTTTGAGGCCTATGGTGAAGAAGGAAATATCTTCCCAAAAAAACTAGACGAAAGCATTCTCGGAATCTTGTTTGCCATGTGTGTACTCAACTAACAGAGTTGAACCTATCTTTTGACAGAGCAGTTTTGAAACACTCTTTTTGTGGAATCTGCAAGTGGATATTTGGATAGCTTCGAGGATTTCCTTGGAAACGGGAATATCCTCATATAAAATCTAGACGGAAGCATTCTCAGAACCTGCTTTGTGATGTTTGCATTCAACTCACAGAGCTGAACATTCCCGTTCATAGAGCAGGTTTGAAACACTCTTTCTGTACTATCTGGAAGTGGACATTTCGAGCGCTTTCAGGCCTATGGTGAAAAAGGAAATATCTTCAAATAAAAACTAGACAGAAGCATTCTCAGAAACTTATTTGTGATGTGTGTCCTCAACTCACAGAGTTCAACCTTTGTTTTGATACAGCAGTTTGGAAACACTCTTTTTGTAGAATCTACAAATGGATATTTGGAGACCTTTGAAAATTTCGTTGGACACGGGAATATCTTCATATAAAATCTAGACAAAAGCATTCTCAGAATCTTCTTTGTGATGTTTGCATTCAACTCATAGAGTTGAACATTCCCTTTCATACAGCACGTTTGAAACACACTTTGTGGAGTATGTGGAAATGGACATTTCGAGCACTCTTAGGCCTAAGGTGAAAAGGGAAATATCTTCAAATAAAAACTAGTCAGCAGCATTCTCAGAAACCTCTTTGTGATGTGTGTACTCAACTAACAGAGTTGAACCTTCCTTTTCACAGAGCAGTTTGGAAACACTCTTTTTGTGGCATTTGCAAGTGGATATTTGGATAGCTTTGAGGATTTCGTTGGAAACGGGAATATTTTCATATAAAATCTAGACAGAAGCATTCTCAGAATCTTCTTTGTGATGTATGCCCTCAATTCACAGAGTTGAACCTTTGTTTGGATACAGCATTTTGGAAACATTCCTTTTGTAGAATGTGCAAGTTGATATTTGGATAGCTTTGAGGATTTCGTTGGAAACGGGAATATCTACATATAAAATCTAGACAGAAGCATTCTCAGAAACCTCTTTGTAATGTTTGCATTCAACTCATAGGTTTCAACATTCCCTATCATAGAGCAGGTTTGAAACACTCTTTTTGTAGTATGTGGAAGTGGACATTTGGAGCGCTTTGAGGCCTACGGTGAAAAAGGAAATATCTTCCCATAAAAACTAGACAGAAGCATTCTCAGAAACTTGTTTGTGACGTGTGTATTCCTCTAACAGAGTTGAACCTTTCTTTTTACAGAGCAGCTTTGAAACACGCTTTTTGTGGAATCTGCAATTGGAAATTTCGATAGTTCTGAGGATTTCGTTGGAAACGGGATTACAAATAGAAAGTAGACAGCAGCATTCTCAGAAACTGCTTTGTGATGTTTGCATTCAAGTCACCTAGTTGAACATTCCCTTTCATAGAGCAGGTTTGAATCACTGTTTCTGTAGTATCTGGAAGTGGGTATTTCGAGCGCTTTCAGGCCTAAGGTGAGAAAGGAAATGTCTTCAAATAAGAACTAGACAGAAGCATTCTCAGAAACTTATTTGTGATGTGTGTCCTCAACTAACAGAGATGAACCTTTGTTTTGATACAGCAGTTTGGAAACACTCTTTTTGTAGAATCTACAAGAGGATATTTTGAGAGCATTGAAAATTTCGTTGGAAGCGGGAAAACCTTCATATAAAATCTAGACAGCAGCATTCTCAGAAACTTCTTTGTGATGTTTGCATTCAACTCATAGAGTTGAACATTCCCATTCATACAGCAGGTTTGAGACACTCTTTGTATAGCATGTGGAAATGGATATTTGGAGCGCTTTGAGGCCTATGGTGAAGAAGGAAATATCTTCCCAAAAAAACTAGACGAAAGCATTCTCGCAATCTTGTTTGCCATGTGTGTACTCAACTAACAGAGTTGAACCTATCTTTTGACAGAGCAGTTTTGAAACACTCTTTTTGTGGAATCTGCAAGTGGATATTTGGATAGCTTCGAGGATTTCGTTGGAAACGGGATTACAAATAGAAAGTAGACAGCAGCATTCTCAGAAACTGCTTTGTGATGTTTGCATTCAAGTCACCTAGTTGAACATTCCCTTTCATAGAGCAGGTTTGAATCACTGTTTCTGTCGTATCTGGAAGTGGATATTTCGAGCGTTTTCAGGCCTAAGGTGAGAAAGGAAATGTCTTCAAATAAGAACTAGACAGAAGCATTCTCAGAAACTTATTTGTGATGTGTGTCCTCAACTAACAGAGTTGAACCTTTCTTTTGACACAGCAGTTTGGAAACACTCTTTTTGTAGAATCTACAAGTGGATATTTTGAGAGCATTGAAAATTTCGTTGGAAACGGGAAAACCTTCATATAAAATCTAGACAGAAGCATTCTCAGAAACTTCTTTGTAATGTTTGCATTCAACTCATAGAGTTGAACATTCCCTTTCATACAGCAGGTTTGAAACACTCTTTTTGTAGTATGTGGAAGTGGACATTTGGGAGCGCTTTGAGGCCTACGGTGAAAAAGGAAATATCTTCCCATAAAAACTAGACAGAAGCAATCTCAGAAACTTGTTTGTGACGTGTGTATTCAACTAACAGAGTTGAACCTTTCTTTTTACAGAGCAGCTTTGAAACCCTGTTTCTGTGGAATCTGCAATTGGAAATTTCGATAGTTCTGAGGATTTCGTTGGAAACGGGATTACAAATACAAAGTAGACAGCAGCATTCTCAGAAACTGCTTTGTGATGTTTGCATTCAAGTCACCTAGTTGAACATTCCCTTTCATAGAGCAGGTTTGAATCACTGTTTCTGTAGTATCTGGAAGTGGGTATTTCGAGCGCTTTCAGGCCTAAGGTGAGAAAGGAAATGTCTTCAAATAAGAACTAGACAGAAGCATTCTCAGAAACTTATTTGTGATGTGTGTCCTCAACTAACAGAGATGAACCTTTGTTTTGATACAGCAGTTTGGAAACACTCTTTTTGTAGAATCTACAAGAGGATATTTTGAGAGCATTGAAAATTTCGTTGGAAGCGGGAAAACCTTCATATAAAATCTAGACAGCAGCATTCTCAGAAACTTCTTTGTGATGTTTGCATTCAACTCATAGAGTTGAACATTCCCATTCATACAGCAGGTTTGAGACACTCTTTGTATAGCATGTGGAAATGGATATTTGGAGCGCTTTGAGGCCTATGGTGAAGAAGGAAATATCTTCCCAAAAAAACTAGACGAAAGCATTCTCGGAATCTTGTTTGCCATGTGTGTACTCAACTAACAGAGTTGAACCTATCTTTTGACAGAGCAGTTTTGAAACACTCTTTTTGTGGAATCTGCAAGTGGATATTTGGATAGCTCGAGGATTTCGTTGGAAACGGGAATATCCTCATTTAAAATCTAGACGGAAGCATTCTCAGAACCTGCTTTGTGATGTTTGCATTCAACTCACAGAGCTGAACATTCCCGATCATAGAGCAGGTTTGAAACACTCTTTCTGTACTATCTGGAAGTGGACATTTCGAGCGCTTTCAGGCCTATGGTGAAAAAGGAAACATCTTCAAATAAAAACTAGACAGAAGCATTCTCAGAAACTTATTTGTGATGTGTGTCCTCAACTCACAGAGTTCAACCTTTGTTTTGATACAGCAGTTTGGAAACACTCTTTTTGTAGAATCTACAAATGGATATTTGGAGACCTTTGAAAATTTCGTTGGACACGGGAATATCTTCATATAAAATCTAGACAAAAGCATTCTCAGAATCTTCTTTGTGATGTTTGCATTCAACTCATAGAGTTGAACATTCCCTTTCATACAGCACGTTTGGAACACACTTTGTGGAGTATGTGGAAATGGACATTTCGAGCACTCTTAGGCCTAAGGTGAAAAGGGAAATATCTTCAAATAAAAACTAGTCAGCAGCATTCTCAGAAACCTCTTTGTGATGTGTGTCCTCAACTAACAGAGTTGAACCTTTGTTTTGACACAGCAGATTGGAAACACTCTTTTTGTAGAATCTACAAGTGTATATTTTGAGAGCATTGAAAATTTCCTTGGAAACGGGAAAACCTTCATATAAAATCTAGACAGAAACATTCTCAGAAACTTCTTTGTAATGTTTGCATTCAACTCATAGAGTTGAACATTCCCTTTCATACAGCAGGTTTGAAACACTCTTTTTGTAGTATGTGGAAGTGGACATTTGGAGCGCTTTGAGGCCTACGGTGAAAAAGGAAATATCTTCCCATAAAAACTAGACAGAAGCATTCTCAGAAACTTGTTTGTGACGTGTGTATTCAACTAACAGAGTTGAACCTTTCTTTTTACAGAGCAGCTTTGAAACCCTGTTTCTGTGGAATCTGCAATTGGAAATTTCGATAGTTCTGAGGATTTCGTTGCAAACGGGATTACAAATAGAAAGTAGACAGCAGCATTCTCAGAAACTGCTTTGTGATGTTTGCATTCAAGTCACATAGTTGAAAATTCCCTTTCATAGAGCAGGTTTGAATCACTGTTTCTGTAGTATCTGGAAGTGGGTATTTCGAGCGCTTTCAGGCCTAAGGTGAGAAAGGAAATGTCTTCAAATAAGAACTAGACAGAAGCATTCTCAGAAACTTATTTGTGATGTGTGTCCTCAACTAACAGAGATGAACCTTTGTTTTGATACAGCAGTTTGGAAACACTCTTTTTGTAGAATCTACAAGAGGATATTTTGAGAGCATTGAAAATTTCGTTGGAAGCGGGAAAACCTTCATATAAAATCTAGACAGCAGCATTCTCAGAAACTTCTTTGTGATGTTTGCATTCAACTCATAGAGTTGAACATTCCCATTCATACAGCAGGTTTGAGACACTCTTTGTATAGCATGTGGAAATGGATATTTGGAGCGCTTTGAGGCCTATGGTGAAGAAGGAAATATCTTCCCAAAAAAACTAGACGAAAGCATTCTCGCAATCTTGTTTGCCATGTGTGTACTCAACTAACAGAGTTGAACCTATCTTTTGACAGAGCAGTTTTGAAACACTCTTTTTGTGGAATCTGCAAGTGGATATTTGGATAGCTTCGAGGATTTCGTTGGAAACGGGAATATCCTCATTTAAAATCTAGACGGAAGCATTCTCAGAACCTGCTTTGTGATGTTTGCATTCAACTCACAGAGCTGAACATTCCCGTTCATAGAGCAGGTTTGAAACACTCTTTCTGTACTATCTGGAAGTGGACATTTCGAGCGCTTTCAGGCCTATGGTGAAAAAGGAAACATCTTCAAATAAAAACTAGACAGAAGCATTCTCAGAAACTTATTTGTGATGTGTGTCCTCAACTCACAGAGTTCAACCTTTGTTTTGATACAGCAGTTTGGAAACACTCTTTTTGTAGAATCTACAAATGGATATTTTGAGACCTTGGAAAATTTCGTTGGACACGGGAATATCTTCATATAAAATCTAGACAAAAGCATTCTCAGAATCTTCTTTGTGATGTTTGCATTCAACTCATAGAGTTGAACATTCCCTCTCATACAGCACGTTTGAAACACACTTTGTGGAGTATGTGGAAATGGACATTTCGAGCACTCTTAGGCCTAAGGTGAAAAGGGAAATATCTTCAAATAAAAACTAGTCAGCAGCATTCTCAGAAACCTCTTTGTGATGTGTGTACTCAACTAACAGAGTTGAACCTTCCTTTTCACAGAGCAGTTTGGAAACACTCTTTTTGTGGCATTTGCAAGTGGATATTTGGATAGCTTTGAGGATTTCGTTGGAAACGGGAATATTTTCATATAAAATCTAGACAGAAGCATTCTCAGAATCTTCTTTGTGATGTATGCCCTCAATTCACAGAGTTGAACCTTTGTTTGGATACAGCATTTTGGAAACATTCCTTTTGTAGAATCTGCAAGTTGATATTTGGATAGCTTTGAGGATTTCGTTGGAAACGGGAATATCTACATATAAAATCTAGACAGAAGCATTCTCAGAAACCTCTTTGTAATGCTTGCATTCAACTCATAGGTTTCAACATTCCCTATCATAGAGCAGGTTTGAAACACTCTTTTTGTAGTATGTGGAAGTGGACATTTGGAGCGCTTTGAGGCCTACGGTGAAAAAGGAAATATCTTCCCATAAAAACTAGACAGAAGCATTCTCAGAAACTTGTTTGTGACGTGTGTATTCAACTAACAGAGTTGAACCTTTCTTTTTACAGAGCAGCTTTGAAACACGCTTTTTGTGGAATCTGCAATTGGAAATTTCGATAGTTCTGAGGATTTCGTTGGAAACGGGATTACAAATAGAAAGTAGACAGCAGCATTCTCAGAAACTGCTTTGTGATGTTTGCATTCAAGTCACCTAGTTGAACATTCCCTTTCATAGAGCAGGTTTGAATCACTGTTTCTGTCGTATCTGGAAGTGGATATTTCGAGCGTTTTCAGGCCTAAGGTGAGAAAGGAAATGTCTTCAAATAAGAACTAGACAGAAGCATTCTCAGAAACTTGTTTGTGATGTGTGTCCTCAACTAACAGAGTTGAACCTTTCTTTTGACACAGCAGTTTGGAAACACTCTTTTTGTAGAATCTACAAGTGGATATTTTGAGAGCATTGAAAATTTCGTTGGAAACGGGAAAACCTTCATATAAATTCTAGACAGAAGCATTCTCAGAAACTTCTTTGTAATGTTTGCATTCAACTCATAGAGTTGAACATTCCCTTTCATACAGCAGGTTTGAAACACTCTTTTTGTAGTATGTGGAAGTGGACATTTGGAGCGCTTTGAGGCCTACGGTGAAAAAGGAAATATCTTCCCATAAAAACTAGACAGAAGCATTCTCAGAAACTTGTTTGTGACGTGTGTATTCAACTAACAGAGTTGAACCTTTCTTTTTACAGAGCAGCTTTGAAACACGCTTTTTGTGGAATCTGCAATTGGAAATTTCGATAGTTCTGAGGATTTCGTTGGAAACGGGATTACAAATAGAAAGTAGACAGCAGCATTCTCAGAAACTGCTTTGTGATGTTTGCATTCAAGTCACCTAGTTGAACATTCCCTTTCATAGAGCAGGTTTGAATCACTGTTTCTGTCGTATCTGGAAGTGGATATTTCGAGCGTTTTCAGGCCTAAGGTGAGAAAGGAAATGTCTTCAAATAAGAACTAGACAGAAGCATTCTCAGAAACTTATTTGTGATGTGTGTCCTC
Organism: Homo sapiens; assembly: GCF_000001405.40. Lineage (NCBI taxonomy): Eukaryota > Metazoa > Chordata > Mammalia > Primates > Hominidae > Homo > Homo sapiens. Next base: position 18,413,607 of record NC_000015.10, read on the forward strand.
AACTAACAGAGTTGAACCTTTCTTTTGACACAGCAGTTTGGAAACACTCTTTTTGTAGAATCTACAAGTGGATATTTTGAGAGCATTGAAAATTTCGTTGGAAACGGGAAAACCTTCATATAAAATCTAGACAGAAGCATTCTCAGAAACTTCTTTGTAATGTTTGCATTCAACTCATAGAGTTGAACATTCCCTTTCATACAGCAGGTTTGAAACACTCTTTTTGTAGTATGTGGACGTGGACATTTGGAGCGCTTTGAGGCCTACGGTGAAAAAGGAAATATCTTCCCATAAAAACTAGACAGAAGCATTCTCAGAAACTTGTTTGTGACGTGTGTATTCAACTAACAGAGTTGAACCTTTCTTTTTACAGAGCAGCTTTGAAACCCTGTTTCTGTGGAATCTGCAATTGGAAATTTCGATAGTTCTGAGGATTTCGTTGGAAACGGGATTACAAATAGAAAGTAGACAGCAGCATTCTCAGAAACTGCTTTGTGATGTTTGCATTCAAGTCACCTAGTTGAACATTCCCTTTCATAGAGCAGGTTTGAATCACTGTTTCTGTAGTATCTGGAAGTGGGTATTTCGAGCGCTTTCAGGCCTAAGGTGAGAAAGGAAATGTCTTCAAATAAGAACTAGACAGAAGCATTCTCAGAAACTTATTTGTGATGTGTGTCCTCAACTAACAGAGATGAACCTTTGTTTTGATACAGCAGTTTGGAAACACTCTTTTTGTAGAATCTACAAGAGGATATTTTGAGAGCATTGAAAATTTCGTTGGAAGCGGGAAAACCTTCATATAAAATCTAGACAGCAGCATTCTCAGAAACTTCTTTGTGATGTTTGCATTCAACTCATAGAGTTGAACATTCCCATTCATACAGCAGGTTTGAGACACTCTTTGTATAGCATGTGGAAATGGATATTTGGAGCGCTTTGAGGCCTATGGTGAAGAAGGAAATATCTTCCCAAAAAAACTAGACGAAAGCATTCTCGGAATCTTGTTTGCCATGTGTGTACTCAACTAACAGAGTTGAAACTATCTTTTGACAGAGCAGTTTTGAAACACTCTTTTTGTGGAATCTGCAAGTGGATATTTGGATAGCTTCGAGGATTTCGTTGGAAACGGGAATATCCTCATTTAAAATCTAGACGGAAGCATTCTCAGAACCTGCTTTGTGATGTTTGCATTCAACTCACAGAGCTGAACATTCCCGTTCATAGAGCAGGTTTGAAACACTCTTTCTGTACTATCTGGAAGTGGACATTTCGAGCGCTTTCAGGCCTATGGTGAAAAAGGAAACATCTTCAAATAAAAACTAGACAGAAGCATTCTCAGAAACTTATTTGTGATGTGTGTCCTCAACTCACAGAGTTCAACCTTTGTTTTGATACAGCAGTTTGGAAACACTCTTTTTGTAGAATCTACAAATGGATATTTGGAGACCTTTGAAAATTTCGTTGGACACGGGAATATCTTCATATAAAATCTAGACAGAAGCATTCTCAGAATCTTCTTTGTGATGTTTGCATTCAACTCATAGAGTTGAACATTCCCTTTCATACAGCACGTTTGAAACACACTTTGTGGAGTATGTGGAAATGGACATTTCGAGCACTCTTAGGCCTAAGGTGAAAAGGGAAATATCTTCAAATAAAAACTAGTCAGCAGCATTCTCAGAAACCTCTTTGTGATGTGTGTACTCAACTAACAGAGTTGAACCTTCCTTTTCACAGAGCAGTTTGGAAACACTCTTTTTGTGGCATTTGCAAGTGGATATTTGGATAGCTTTGAGGATTTCGTTGGAAACGGGAATATTTTCATATAAAATCTAGACAGAAGCATTCTCAGAATCTTCTTTGTGATGTATGCCCTCAATTCCCAGAGTTGAACCTTTGTTTGGATACAGCATTTTGGAAACATTCCTTTTGTAGAATCTGCAAGTTGATATTTGGATAGCTTTGAGGATTTCGTTGGAAACGGGAATATCTACATATAAAATCTAGACAGAAGCATTCTCAGAAACCTCTTTGTAATGCTTGCATTCAACTCATAGGTTTCAACATTCCCTATCATAGAGCAGGTTTGAAACACTCTTTTTGTAGTATGTGGAAGTGGACATTTGGAGCGCTTTGAGGCCTACGGTGAAAAAGCAAATATCTTCCCATAAAAACTAGACAGAAGCATTCTCAGAAACTTGTTTGTGACGTGTGTATTCAACTAACAGAGTTGAACCTTTCTTTTTACAGAGCAGCTTTGAAACACGCTTTTTGTGGAATCTGCAATTGGAAATTTTGATAGTTCTGAGGATTTCGTTGGAAACGGGATTACAAATAGAAAGTAGACAGCAGCATTCTCAGAAACTGCTTTGTGATGTTTGCATTCAAGTCACCTAGTTGAACATTCCCTTTCATAGAGCAGGTTTGAATCCCTGTTTCTGTCGTATCTGGAAGTGGATATTTCGAGCGTTTTCAGGCCTAAGGTGAGAAAGGAAATGTCTTCAAATAAGAACTAGACAGAAGCATTCTCAGAAACTTATTTGTGATGTGTGTCCTCAACTAACAGAGATGAAACTTTGTTTTGACACAGCAGTTTAGAAACACTCTTTTTGTAGAATCTACAAGAGGATATTTTGAGAGCATTGAAAATTTCATTGGAAGCGGGAAAACCTTCATATAAAATCTAGACAGCAGCATTCTCAGAAACTTCTTTGTGATGTTTGCATTCAACTCATAGAGTTGAACATTCCCATTCATACAGCAGGTTTGAGACACTCTTTGTATAGCATTTGGAAATGGATATTTGGAGCGCTTTGAGGCCTATGGTGAAGAAGGAAATATCTTCCCAAAAAAACTAGACGAAAAGCATTCTCGGAATCTTGTTTGCCATGTGTGTACTCAACTAACAGAGTTGAACCTATCTTTTGACAGAGCAGTTTTAAAACACTCTTTTTGTGGAATCTGCAAGTGGATATTTGGATAGCTTCGAGGATTTCGTTGGAAACGGGAATATCCTCATTTAAAATCTAGACGGAAGCATTCTCAGAACCTGCCTTTGTGATGTTTGCATTCAACTCACAGAGCTGACCATTCCCGTTCATAGAGCAGGTTTGAAACACTCTTTCTGTACTATCTGGAAGTGGACATTTCGAGCGCTTTCAGGCCTATGGTGAAAAAGGAAACATCTTCAAATAAAAACTAGACAGAAGCATTCTCAGAAACTTATTTGTGATGTGTGTCCTCAACTCACAGAGTTCAACCTTTGTTTTGATACAGCAGTTTGGAAACACTCTTTTTGTAGAATCTACAAATGGATATTTGGAGACCTTTGAAAATTTCGTTGGACACGGGAATATCTTCATATAAAATCTAGACAAAAGCATTCTCAGAATCTTCTTTGTGATGTTTGCATTCAACTCATAGAGTTGAACATTCCCTTTCATACAGCACGTTTGAAACACACTTTGTGGAGTATGTGGAAATGGACATTTCGAGCACTCTTAGGCCTAAGGTGAAAAGGGAAATATCTTCAAATAAAAACTAGTCAGCAGCATTCTCAGAAACCTCTTTGTGATGTGTGTACTCAACTAACAGAGTTGAACCTTCCTTTTCACAGAGCAGTTTGGAAACACTCTTTTTGTGGCATTTGCAAGTGGATATTTGGATAGCTTTGAGGATTTCTTTGAAACGGGAATATTTTCATATAAAATCTAGACAGAAGCATTCTCAGAATCTTCTTTGTGATGTATGCCCTCAATTCACAGAGTTGAACCTTTGTTTGGATACAGCATTTTGGAAACATTCCTTTTGTAGAATCTGCAAGTTGATATTTGGATAGTTTGAGGATTTCGTTGGAAACGGGAATATCTACATATAAAATCTAGACAGAAGCATTCTCAGAAACCTCTTTGTAATGCTTGCATTCAACTCATAGGTTTCAACATTCCCTATCATAGAGCAGGTTTGAAACACTCTTTTTGTAGTATGTGGAAGTGCACATTTGGAGCGCTTTGAGGCCTACGGTGAAAAAGGAAATATCTTCCCATAAAAACTAGACAGAAGCATTCTCAGCAAACTTGTTTGTGACGTGTGTATTCAACTAACAGAGTTGAACCTTTCTTTTTACAGAGCAGCTTTGAAACACGCTTTTTGTGGAATCTGCAATTGGAAATTTCGATAGTTCTGAGGATTTCGTTGGAAACGGGATTACAAATAGAAAGTAGACAGCAGCATTCTCAGAAACTGCTTTGTGATGTTTGCATTCAAGTCACCTAGTTGAACATTCCCTTTCATAGAGCAGGTTTGAATCACTGTTTCTGTCGTATCTGGAAGTGGATATTTCGAGCGTTTTCAGGCCTAAGGTGAGAAAGGAAATGTCTTCAAATAAGAACTAGACAGAAGCATTCTCAGAAACTTATTTGTGATGTGTGTCCTCAACTAACAGAGTTGAACCTTTCTTTTGACACAGCAGTTTGGAAACACTCTTTTTGTAGAATCTACAAGTGGATATTTTGAGAGCATTGAAAATTTCGTTGGAAACGGGAAAATCTTCATATAAAATCTAGACAGAAGCATTCTCAGAAACCTCTTTGTAATGTTTGCATTCAACTCATAGGTTTCAACATTCCCTATCATACAGCAGGTTTGAAACACTCTTTTTGTAGTATGTGGAAGGGGACATTTGGAGCGCTTTGAGGCCTACGGTGAAAAAGGAAATATCTTCCCATAAAAACTAGACAGAAGCATTCTCAGAAACTGGTTTGTGACGTGTGTATTCAACTAACAGAGTTGAACCTTTCTTTTTACAGAGCAGCTTTGAAACCCTGTTTCTGTGGAATCTGCAATTGGAAATTTCGATAGTTCTGAGGATTTCGTTGGAAACAGGATTACAAATAGAAAGTAGACAGCAGCATTCTCAGAAACTGCTTTGTGATGTTTGCATTCAAGTCACATAGTTGAACATTCCCTTTCATAGAGCAGGTTTGAATCACTGTTTCTGTAGTATCTGGAAGTGGGTATTTCGAGCGCTTTCAGGCCTAAGGTGAGAAAGGAAATGTCTTCAAATAAGAACTAGACAGAAGCATTCTCAGAAACTTATTTGTGATGTGTGTCCTCAACTAACAGAGATGAACCTTTGTTTTGATACAGCAGTTTGGAAACACTCTTTTTGTAGAATCTACAAGAGGATATTTTGAGAGCATTGAAAATTTCGTTGGAAGCGGGAAAACCTTCATATAAAATCTAGACAGCAGCATTCTCAGAAACTTCTTTGTGATGTTTGCATTCAACTCATAGAGTTGAACATTCCCATTCATACAGCAGGTTTGAGACACTCTTTGTATAGCATGTGGAAATGGATATTTGGAGCGCTTTGAGGCCTATGGTGAAGAAGGAAATATCTTCCCAAAAAAACTAGACGAAAGCATTCTCGCAATCTTGTTTGCCATGTGTGTACTCAACTAACAGAGTTGAACCTATCTTTTGACAGAGCAGTTTTGAAACACTCTTTTTGTGGAATCTGCAAGTGGATATTTGGATAGCTTCGAGGATTTCGTTGGAAACGGGAATATCCTCATTTAAAATCTAGACGGAAGCATTCTCAGAACCTGCTTTGTGATGTTTGCATTCAACTCACGGAGCTGAACATTCCCGTTCATAGAGCAGGTTTGAAACACTCTTTCTGTACTATCTGGAAGTGGACATTTCGAGCGCTTTCAGGCCTATGGTGAAAAAGGAAACATCTTCAAATAAAAACTAGACAGAAGCATTCTCAGAAACTTATTTGTGATGTGTGTCCTCAACTCACAGAGTTCAACCTTTGTTTTGATACAGCAGTTTGGAAACACTCTTTTTGTAGAATCTACAAATGGATATTTGGAGACCTTTGAAAATTTCGTTGGACACGGGAATATCTTCATATAAAATCTAGACAAAAGCATTCTCAGAATCTTCTTTGTGATGTTTGCATTCAACTCATAGAGTTGAACATTCCCTTTCATACAGCACGTTTGAAACACACTTTGTGGAGTATGTGGAAATGGACATTTCGAGCACTCTTAGGCCTAAGGTGAAAAGGGAAATATCTTCAAATAAAAACTAGTCAGCAGCATTCTCAGAAACCTCTTTGTGATGTGTGTACTCAACTAACAGAGTTGAACCTTCCTTTTCACAGAGCAGTTTGGAAACACTCTTTTTGTGGCATTTGCAAGTGGATATTTGGATAGCTTTGAGGATTTCGTTGGAAACGGGAATATTTTCATATAAAATGTAGACAGAAGCATTCTCAGAATCTTCTTTGTGATGTATGCCCTCAATTCACAGAGTTGAACCTTTGTTTGGATACAGCATTTTGGAAACATTCCTTTTGTAGAATCTGCAAGTTGATATTTGGATAGCTTTGAGGATTTCGTTGGAAACGGGAATATCTATCTACATATAAAATCTAGACAGAAGCATTCTCAGAAACTTCTTTGTAATGCTTGCATTCAACTCATAGGTTTCAACATTCCCTATCATAGAGCAGGTTTGAAACACTCTTTTTGTAGTATGTGGAAGTGGACATTTGGAGCGCTTTGAGGCCTACGGTGAAAAAGGAAATATCTTCCCATAAAAACTAGACAGAAGCATTCTCAGAAACTTGTTTGTGACGTGTGTATTCAACTAACAGAGTTGAACCTTTCTTTTTACAGAGCAGCTTTGAAACACGCTTTTTGTGGAATCTGTAATTGGAAATTTCGATAGTTCTGAGGATTTCGTTGGAAACGGGATTACAAATAGAAAGTAGACAGCAGCATTCTCAGAAACTGCTTTGTGATGTTTGCATTCAAGTCACCTAGTTGAACATTCCCTTTCATAGAGCAGGTTTGAATCACTGTTTCTGTCGTATCTGGAAGTGGATATTTCGAGCGTTTTCAGGCCTAAGGTGAGAAAGGAAATGTCTTCAAATAAGAACTAGACAGAAGCATTCTCAGAAACTTATTTGTGATGTGTGTCCTCAACTAACAGAGTTGAACCTTTCTTTTGACACAGCAGTTTGGAAACACTCTTTTTGTAGAATCTACAAGTGGATATTTTCAGAGCATTGAAAATTTCGTTGGAAACGGGAAAATCTTCATATAAAATCTAGACAGAAGCATTCTCAGAAACTTCTTTGTAAAGTTTGCATTCAACTCATAGGAGTTGAACATTCCCTTTCATACAGCAGGTTTGAAACACTCTTTTTGTAGTATGTGGAAGCGGACATTTGGAGCGCTTTGAGGCCTACGGTGAAAAAGGAAATATCTTCCCATAAAAACTAGACAGAAGCATTCTCAGAAACTTGTTTGTGACGTGTGTATTCAACTAACAGAGTTGAACCTTTCTTTCTACAGAGCAGCTTTGAAACACGCTTTTTGTGGAATCTGCAATTGGAAATTTCGATAGTTCTGAGGATTTCGTTGGAAACGGGATTACAAATACAAAGTAGACAGCAGCATTGCTCAGAAACTGCTTTGTGATGTTTGCATTCAAGTCACCTAGTTGAACATTCCCTTTCATAGAGCAGGTTTGAATCACTGTTTCTGTCGTATCTGGAAGTGGATATTTCGAGCGTTTTCAAGCCTAAGGTGAGAAAGGAAATGTCTTCAAATAAGAACTAGACAGAAGCATTCTCAGAAACTTATTTGTGATGTGTGTCCTCAACTAACAGAGTTGAACCTTTCTTTTGACACAGCAGTTTGGAAACACACTTTTTGTAGAATCTACAAGTGGATATTTTGAGAGCATTGAAAATTTCGTTGGAAACGGGAAAACCTTCATATAAAATCTAGACAGAAGCATTCTCAGAAACTTCTTTGTAATGTTTGCATTCAACGCATAGAGTTGAACATTCCCTTTCATACAGCAGGTTTGAAACACTCTTTTTGTAGTATGTGGAAGTGGACATTTGGAGCGCTTTGAGGCCTACGGTGAAAAAGGAAATATCTTCCCATAAAAACTAGACAGAAGCATTCTCAGAAACTTGTTTGTGACGTGTGTATTCAACTAACAGAGTTGAACCTTTCTTTTTACAGAGCAGTTTTGAAACCCTGTTTCTGTGGAATCTGCAATTGGAAATTTCGATAGTTCTGAGGATTTCGTTGGAAACGGGATTACAAATAGAAAGTAGACAGCAGCATTCTCAGAAACTGCTTTGTGATGTTTGCATTCAAGTCACATAGTTGAACATTCCCTTTCATAGAGCAGGTTTGAATCACTGTTTCTGTAGTATCTGGAAGTGGGTATTTCGAGCGCTTTCAGGCCTAAGGTGAGAAAGGAAATGTCTTCAAATAAGAACTAGACAGAAGCATTCTCAGAAACTTATTTGTGATGTGTGTCCTCAACTAACAGAGATGAACCTTTGTTTTGATACAGCAGTTTGGAAACACTCTTTTTGTCGAATCAACAAGAGGATATTTTGAGAGCATTGAAAATTTCGTTGGAAGCGGGAAAACCTTCATATAAAATCTAGACAGCAGCATTCTCAGAAACTTCTTTGTGATGTTTGCATTCAACTCATAGAGTTGAACATTCCCATTCATACAGCAGGTTTGAGACACTCTTTGTATAGCATGTGGAAATGGATATTTGGAGCGCTTTGAGGCCTATGGTGAAGAAGGAAATATCTTCCCAAAAAAACTAGACGAAAGCATTCTCGCAATCTTGTTTGCCATGTGTGTACTCAACTAACAGAGTTGAACCTATCTTTTGACAGAGCAGTTTTGAAACACTCTTTTTGTGGAATCTGCAAGTGGATATTTGGATAGCTTCGAGGATTTCGTTGGAAACGGGAATATCCTCATTTAAAATCTAGACGGAAGCATTCTCGGAACCTGCTTTGTGATGTTTGCATTCAACTCACAGAGCTGAACATTCCCGTTCATAGAGCAGGTTTGAAACACTCTTTCTGTACTATCTGGAAGTGGACATTTCGAGCGCTTTCAGGCCTATGGTGAAAAAGGAAACATCTTCAAATAAAAACTAGACAGAAGCATTCTCAGAAACTTATTTGTGATGTGTGTCCTCAACTCACAGAGTTCAACCTTTGTTTTGATACAGCAGTTTGGAAACACTCTTTTTGTAGAATCTACAAATGGATATTTGGAGACCTTTGAAAATTTCGTTGGACACGGGAATATCTTCATATAAAATCTAGACAAAAGCATTCTCAGAGTCTTCTTTGTGATGTTTGCATTCAACTCATAGAGTTGAACATTCCCTTTCATACAGCACGTTTGAAACACACTTTGTGGAGTATGTGGAAATGGACATTTCGAGCACTCTTAGGCCTAAGGTGAAAAGGGAAATATCTTCAAATAAAAACTAGTCAGCAGCATTCTCAGAAACCTCTTTGTGATGTGTGTACTCAACTAACAGAGTTGAACCTTCCTTTTCACAGAGCAGTTTGGAAACACTCTTTTTGTGGCATTTGCAAGTGGATATTTGGATAGCTTTGAGGATTTCGTTGGAAACGGGAATATTTTCATATAAAATCTAGACAGAAGCATTCTCAGAATCTTCTTTGTGATGTATGCCCTCAATTCACAGAGTTGAACCTTTGTTTGGATACAGCACTTTGGAAACATTCCTTTTGTAGAATCTGCAAGTTGATATTTGGATAGCTTTGAGGATTTCGTTGGAAACGGGAATATCTACATATAAAATCTAGACAGAAGCATTCTCAGAAACCTCTTTGTAATGCTTGCATTCAACTCATAGGTTTCAACATTCCCTATCATAGAGCAGGTTTGAAACACTCTTTTTGTAGTATGTGGAAGTGGACATTTGGAGCGCTTTGAGGCCTACCGTGAAAAAGGAAATATCTTCCCATAAAAACTAGACAGAAGCATTCTCAGAAACTTGTTTGTGACGTGTGTATTCAACTAACAGAGTTGAACCTTTCTTTTTACAGAGCAGCTTTTAAACCCTGTTTCTGTGGAATCTGCAATTGGAAATTTCGATGGTTCTGAGGATTTCGTTGGAAACGGGATTACAAATAGAAAGTAGACAGCAGCATTCTCAGAAACTGCTTTGTGATGTTTGCATTCAAGTCACCTAGTTGAACATTCCCTTTCATAGAGCAGGTTTGAATCACTGTTTCTGTCGTATCTGGAAGTGGATATTTCGAGCGTTTTCAGGCCTAAGGTGAGAAAGGAAATGTCTTCAAATAAGAACTAGACAGAAGCATTCTCAGAAACTTATTTGTGATGTGTGTCCTCAACTAACAGAGTTGAACCTTTCTTTTGACACAGCAGTTTGGAAACACTCTTTTTGTAGAATCTACAAGTGGATATTTTGAGAGCATTGAAAATTTCGTTGGAAACGGGAAAACCTTCATATAAAATCTAGACAGAAGCATTCTCAGAAACTTCTTTGTAATGTTTGCATTCAACTCATAGAGTTGAACATTCCCTTTCATACAGCAGGTTTGAAACACTCTTTTTGTAGTATGTGGAAGTGGACATTTGGAGCGCTTTGAGGCCTACGGTGAAAAAGGAAATATCTTCCCATAAAAACTAGACAGAAGCATTCTCAGAAACTTGTTTGTGACGTGTGTATTCAACTAACAGAGTTGAACCTTTCTTTTTACAGAGCAGCTTTGAAACCCTGTTTCTGTGGAATCTGCAATTGGAAATTTCGATAGTTCCTGAGGATTTCGTTGGAAACGGGATTACAAATAGAAAGTAGACAGCAGCATTCTCAGTAAACTGCTTTGTGATGTTTGCATTCAAGTCACCTAGTAGAACATTCCCTTTCATAGAGCAGGTTTGAATCACTGATTCTGTCGTATCTGGAAGTGGATATTTCGAGCGTTTTCAGGCCTAAGGTGAGAAAGGAAATGTCTTCAAATAAGAACTAGACAGAAGCATTCTCAGAAACTTATTTGTGATGTGTGTCCTCAACTAACAGAGTTGAACCTTTCTTTTGACACAGCAGTTTGGAAACACTCTTTTTGTAGAATCTACAAGTGGATATTTTGAGAGCATTGAAAATTTCGTTGGAAACGGGAAAACCTTCATATAAAATCTAGACAGAAGCATTCTCAGAAACTTCTTTGTAATGTTTGCATTCAACTCATAGAGTTGAACATTCCCTTTCATACAGCAGGTTTGAAACACTCTTTTTGTAGTATGCGGAAGTGGACATTTGGAGCGCTTTGAGGCCTACGGTGAAAAAGGAAATATCTTCCCATAAAAACTAGACAGAAGCATTCTCAGAAACTTGTTTGTGACGTGTGTATTCAACTAACAGAGTTGAACCTTTCTTTTTACAGAGCAGCTTTGAAACCCTGTTTCTGTGGAATCTGCAATTGGAAATTTCGATAGTTCTGAGGATTTCGTTGGAAACGGGATTACAAATAGAAAGTAGACAGCAGCATTCTCAGAAACTGCTTTGTGATGTTTGCATTCAAGTCACCTAGTTGAACATTCCCTTTCATAGAGCAGGTTTGAATCACTGTTTCTGTCGTATCTGGAAGTGGATATTTCGAGCGTTTTCAGGCCTAAGGTGAGAAAGGAAATGTCTTCAAATAAGAACTAGACAGAAGCATTCTCAGAAACTTATTTGTGATGTGTGTCCTCAACTAACAGAGTTGAACCTTTCTTTTGACACAGCAGTTTGGAAACACTCTTTTTGTAGAATCTACAAGTGGATATTTTGAGAGCATTGAAAATTTCGTTGGAAACGGGAAAACCTTCATATAAAATCTAGACAGAAGCATTCTCAGAAACTTCTTTGTAATGTTTGCATTCAACTCATAGAGTTGAACATTCCCTTTCATACAGCAGGTTTGAAACACTCTTTTTGTAGTATGTGGAAGTGGACATTTGGAGCGCTTTGAGGCCTACGGTGAAAAAGGAAGTATCTTCCCATAAAAACAAGACAGAAGCATTCTCAGAAACTTGTTTGTGACGTGTGTATTCAACTAACCGAGTTGAACCTTTCTTTTTACAGAGCAGCTTTGAAACCCTGTTTCTGTGGAATCTGCAATTGGAAATTTCGATAGTTCTGAGGATTTCGTTGGAAACGGGATTACAAATAGAAAGTAGACAGCAGCATTCTCAGAAACTGCTTTGTGATGTTTGCATTCAAGTCACCTAGTTGAACATTCCCTTTCATAGAGCAGGTTTGAATCACTGTTTCTGTAGTATCTGGAAGTGGGTATTTCGAGCGCTTTCAGGCCTAAGGTGAGAAAGGAAATGTCTTCAAATAAGAACTAGACAGAAGCATTCTCAGAAACTTATTTGTGATGTGTGTCCTCAACTAACAGAGATGAACCTTTGTTTTCATACAGCAGTTTGGAAACACTCTTTTTGTAGAATCTACAAGAGGATATTTTGAGAGCATTGAAAATTTCGTTGGAAGCGGGAAAACCTTCATATAAAATCTAGACAGCAGCATTCTCAGAAACTTCTTTGTGATGTTTGCATTCAACTCATAGAGTTGAACTTTCCCATTCATACAGCAGGTTTGAGACACTCTTTGTATAGCATGCGGAAATGGATATTTGGAGCGCTTTGAGGACTATGGTGAAGAAGGAAATATCTTCCCAAAAAAACTAGACGAAAGCATTCTCGGAATCTTGTTTGCCATGTGTGTACTCAACTAACAGAGTTGAACCTATCTTTTGAGAGAGCAGTTTTGAAACACTCTTTCTGTGGAATCTGCAAGTGGATATTTGGATAGCTTCGAGGATTTCGTTGGAAACGGGAATATCCTCATTTAAAATCTAGACGGAAGCATTCTCAGAACCTGCTTTGTGATGTTTGCAATCAACTCACAGAGCTGAACATTCCCGTTCATAGAGCAGGTTTGAAACACTCTTTCTGTACTATCTGGAAGTGGACATTTCGAGCGCTTTCAGGCCTATGGTGAAAAAGGAAACATCTTCAAATAAAAACTAGACAGAAGCATTCTCAGAAACTTATTTGTGATGTGTGTCCTCAACTCACAGAGTTCAACCTTTGTTTTGATACAGCAGTTTGGAAACACTCTTTTTGTAGAATCTACAAATGGATATTTGGAGACCTTTGAAAATTTCGTTGGACACGGGAATATCTTCATATAAAATCTAGACAAAAGCATTCTCAGAATCTTCTTTGTGATGTTTGCATTCAACTCATAGAGTTGAACATTCCCTTTCATACAGCACGTTTGAAACACACTTTGTGGAGTATGTGGAAATGGACATTTCGAGCACTCTTAGGCCTAAGGTGAAAAGGGAAATATCTTCAAATAAAAACTAGTCAGCAGCATTCTCAGAAACCTCTTTGTGATGTGTGTACTCAACTAACAGAGTTGAACCTTCCTTTTCACAGAGCAGTTTGGAAACACTCTTTTTGTGGCATTTGCAAGTGGATATTTGGATAGCTTTGAGGATTTCGTTGGAAACGGGAATATTTTCATATAAAATCTAGACAGAAGCATTCTCAGAATCTTCTTTGTGATGTATGCCCTCAATTCACAGAGTTAAACCTTTGTTTGGATACAGCATTTTGGAAACATTCCTTTTGTAGAATCTGCAAGTTGATATTTGGATAGTTTGAGGATTTCGTTGGAAACGGGAATATCTATCTACATATAAAATCTAGACAGAAGCATTCTCAGAAACCTCTTTGTAATGCTTGCATTCAACTCATAGGTTTCAACATTCCCTATCATAGAGCAGGTTTGAAACACTCTTTTTGTAGTATGTGGAAGTGGACATTTGGAGCGCTTTGAGGCCTACGGTGAAAAAGGAAATATCTTCCCATAAAAACTAGACAGAAGCATTCTCAGAAACTTGTTTGTGACGTGTGTATTCAACTAACAGAGTTGAACCTTTCTTTTTACAGAGCAGCTTTGAAACACGCTTTTTGTGGAATCTGCAATTGGAAATTTCGATAGTTCTGAGGATTTCGTTGGAAACGGGATTACAAATAGAAAGTAGACAGCAGCATTCTCAGAAACTGCTTTGTGATGTTTGCATTCAAGTCACCTAGTTGAACATTCCCTTTCATAGAGCAGGTTTGAATCACTGTTTCTGTCGTATCTGGAAGTGGGTATTTCGAGCGCTTTCAGGCCTAAGGTGAGAAAGGAAATGTCTTCAAATAAGAACTAGACAGAAGCATTCTCAGAAACTTATTTGTGATGTGTGTCCTCAACTAACAGAGATGAACCTTTGTTTTGATACGGCAGTTTGGAAACACTCTTTTTGTAGAATCTACAAGAGGATATTTTGAGAGCATTGAAAATTTCGTTGGAAGCGGGAAAACCTTCATATAAAATCTAGACAGCAGCATTCTCAGAAACTTCTTTGTGATGTTTGCATTCAACTCATAGAGTTGAACATTCCCATTCATACAGCAGGTTTGAGACACTCTTTGTATAGCATGTGGAAATGGATATTTGGAGCGCTTTGAGGCCTATGGTGAAGAAGGAAATATCTTCCCAAAAAAACTAGACGAAAGCATTCTCGGAATCTTGTTTGCCATGTTTGTACTCAACTAACAGAGTTGAATCTATCTTTTGACAGAGCAGTTTTGAAACACTCTTTTTGTGGAATCTGCAAGTGGATATTTGGATAGCTTCGAGGATTTCGTTGGAAACGGGAATATCCTCATTTAAAATCTAGACGGAAGCATTCTCAGAACCTGCTTTGTGATGTTTGCATTCAACTCACAGAGCTGAACATTCCCGTTCATAGAGCAGGTTTGAAACACTCTTTCTGTACTATCTGGAAGTGGACATTTCGAGCGCTTTCAGGCCTATGGTGAAAAAGGAAACATCTTCAAATAAAAACTAGACAGAAGCATTCTCAGAAACTTATTTGTGATGTGTGTCCTCAACTCACAGAGTTCAACCTTTGTTTTGATACAGCAGTTTGGAAACACTCTTTTTGTAGAATCTACAAATGGATATTTGGAGACCTTTGAAAATTTCGTTGGACACGGGAATATCTTCATATAAAATCTAGACAAAAGCATTCTCAGAATCTTCTTTGTGATGTTTGCATTCAACTCGTAGAGTTGAACATTCCCTTTCATACAGCACGTTTGAAACACACTTTGTGGAGTATGTGGAAATGGACATTTCGAGCACTCTTAGGCCTAAGGTGAAAAGGGAAATATCTTCAAATAAAAACTAGTCAGCAGCATTCTCAGAAACCTCTTTGTGATGTGTGTACTCAACTAACAGAGTTGAACCTTCCTTTTCACAGAGCAGTTTGGAAACACTCTTTTTGTGGCATTTGCAAGTGGATATTTGGATAGCTTTGAGGATTTCGTTGGAAACGGGAATATTTTCATATAAAATCTAGACAGAAGCATTCTCAGAATCTTCTTTGTGATGTATGCCCTCAATTCACAGAGTTGAACCTTTGTTTGGATACAGCATTTTGGAAACATTCCTTTTGTAGAATCTGCAAGTTGATATTTGGATAGTTTGAGGATTTCGTTGGAAACGGGAATATCTACATATAAAATCTAGACAGAAGCATTCTCAGAAACCTCTTTGTAATGCTTGCATTCAACTCATAGGTTTCAACATTCCCTATCATAGAGCAGGTTTGAAACACTCTTTTTGTAGTATGTGGAAGTGGACATTTGGAGCGCTTTGAGGCCTACGGTGAAAAAGGAAATATCTTCCCATAAAAACTAGACAGAAGCATTCTCAGAAACTTGTTTGTGACGTGTGTATTCAACTAACAGAGTTGAACCTTTCTTTTTACAGAGCAGCTTTGAAACACGCTTTTTGTGGAATCTGCAATTGGAAATTTCGATAGTTCTGAGGATTTCGTTGGAAACGGGATTACAAATAGAAAGTAGACAGCAGCATTCTCAGAAACTGCTTTGTGATGTTTGCATTCAAGTCACCTAGTTGAACATTCCCTTTCATAGAGCAGGTTTGAATCACTGTTTCTGTCGTATCTGGAAGTGGATATTTCGAGCGTTTTCAGGCCTAAGGTGAGAAAGGAAATGTCTTCAAATAAGAACTAGACAGAAGCATTCTCAGAAACTTATTTGTGATGTGTGTCCTCAACTAACAGAGTTGAACCTTTCTTTTGACACAGCAGTTTGGAAACACTCTTTTTGTAGAATCTACAAGTGGATATTTTGAGAGCATTGAAAATTTCGTTGGACACGGGAATATCTTCATATAAAATCTAGACAAAAGCATTCTCAGAATCTTCTTTGTGATGTTTGCATTCAACTCATAGAGTTGAACATTCCCTTTCATACAGCACGTTTGAAACACACTTTGTGGAGTATGTGGAAATTGACATTTCGAGCACTCTTAGGCCTAAGGTGAAAAGGGAAATATCTTCAAATAAAAACTAGTCAGCAGCATTCTCAGTAAACCTCTTTGTGATGTGTGTACTCAACTAACAGAGTTGAACCTTCCTTTTCACAGAGCAGTTTGGAAACACTCTTTTTGTGGCATTTACAAGTGGATATTTGGATAGCTTTGAGGATTTCGTTAGAAACGGGAATATTTTCATATAAAATCTAGACAGAAGCATTCTCAGAATCTTCTTTGTGATGTATGCCCTCAATTCACAGAGTTGAACCTTTGTTTGGATACAGCATTTTGGAAACATTCCTTTTGTAGAATCTGCAAGTTGATATTTGGATAGCTTTGAGGATTTCGTTGGAAACGGGAATATCTACATATAAAATCTAGACAGAAGCATTCTCAGAAACCTCTTTGTAATGCTTGCATTCAACTCATAGGTTTCAACATTCCCTATCATAGAGCAGGTTTGAAACACTCTTTTTGTAGTATGTGGAAGTGGACATTTGGAGCGCTTTGAGGCCTACCGTGAAAAAGGAAATATCTTCCCATAAAAACTAGACAGAAGCATTCTCAGAAACTTGTTTGTGACGTGTGTATTCAACTAACAGAGTTGAACCTTTCTTTTTACAGAGCAGCTTTGAAACACGCTTTTTGTGGAATCTGCAATTGGAAATTTCGATAGTTCTGAGGATTTCGTTGGAAACGGGATTACAAATAGAAAGTAGACAGCAGCATTCTCAGAAACTGCTTTGTGATGTTTGCATTCAAGTCACCTAGTTGAACATTCCCTTTCATAGAGCAGGTTTGAATCACTGTTTCTGTCGTATCTGGAAGTGGATATTTCGAGCGTTTTCAGGCCTAAGGTGAGAAAGGAAATGTCTTCAAATAAGAACTAGACAGAAGCATTCTCAGAAACTTATTTGTGATGTGTGTCCTCAACTAACAGAGTTGAACCTTTCTTTTGACACAGCAGTTTGGAAACACTCTTTTTGTAGAATCTACAAGTGGATATTTTGAGAGCATTGAAAATTTCGTTGGAAACGGGAAAACCTTCATATAAAATCTAGACAGAAGCATTCTCAGAAACTTCTTTGTAATGTTTGCATTCAACTCATAGAGTTGAACATTCCCTTTCATACAGCAGGTTTGAAACACTCTTTTTGTAGTATGTGGAAGTGGACATTTGGAGCGCTTTGAGGCCTACGGTGAAAAAGGAAATATCTTCCCATAAAAACTAGACAGAAGCATTCTCAGAAACTTGTTTGTGACGTGTGTATTCAACTAACAGAGTTGAACCTTTCTTTTTACAGAGCAGCTTTGAAACCCTGTTTCTGTGGAATCTGCAATTGGAAATTTCGATAGTTCTGAGGATTTCGTTGGAAACGGGATTACAAATAGGAAAGTAGACAGCAGCATTCTCAGAAACTGCTTTGTGATGTTTGCGTTCAAGTCACATAGTTGAACATTCCCTTTCATAGAGCAGGTTTGAATCACTTTTTCTGTAGTATCTGGAAGTGGGTATTTCGAGCGCTTTCAGGCCTAAGGTGAGAAAAGAAATGTCTTCAAATAAGAACTAGACAGAAGCATTCTGAGAAACTTATTTGTGATGTGTGTCCTCAACTAACAGAGATGAACCTTTGTTTTGATACAGCAGTTTGGAAACACTCTTTTTGTAGAATCTACAAGAGGATATCTTGAGAGCATTGAAAATTTCGTTGGAAGCGGGAAAACCTTCATATAAAATCTAGACAGCAGCATTCTCAGAAACTTCTTTGTAAGGTTTGCATTCAACTCATAGAGTTGAACATTCACTTTCATACAGCAGGTTTGAAACACTCTTTTTGTAGTATGTGGAAGTGGACATTTGGAGCGCTTTGAGGCCTACGGTGAAAAAGGAAATATCTTCCCATAAAAACTAGACAGAAGCATTCTCAGAAACTTGTTTGTGACGTGTGTATTCAACTAACAGAGTTGAACCTTTCTTTTTACAGAGCAGCTTTGAAACCCTGTTTCTGTGGAATCTGCAATTGGAAATTTCGATAGTTCTGAGGATTTCGTTGGAAACGGGATTACAAATAGAAAGTAGACAGCAGCATTCTCAGAAACTGCTTTGTGATGTTTGCATTCAAGTCACATAGTTGAACATTCCCTTTCATAGAGCAGGTTTGAATCCCTGTTTCTGTCGTATCTGGAAGTGGGTATTTCGAGCGTTTTCAGGCCTAAGGTGAGAAAGGAAATGTCTTCAAATAAGAACTAGACAGAAGCATTCTCAGAAACTTATTTGTGATGTGTGTCCTCAACTAACAGAGATGAACCTTTGTTTTGATACAGCAGTTTGGAAACACTCTTTTTGTAGAATCTACAAGAGGATATTTTGAGAGCATTGAAAATTTCGTTGGAAGCGGGAAAACCTTCATATAAAATCTAGACAGCAGCATTCTCAGAAACTTCTTTGTGATGTTTGCATTCAACTCATAGAGTTGAACATTCCCATTCATACAGCAGGTTTGAGACACTCTTTGTATAGCATGTGGAAATGGATATTTGGAGCGCTTTGAGGCCTATGGTGAAGAAGGAAATATCTTCCCAAAAAAACTAGACGAAAGCATTCTCGGAATCTTGTTTGCCATGTGTGTACTCAACTAACAGAGTTGAACCTATCTTTTGACAGAGCAGTTTTGAAACACTCTTTTTGTGGAATCTGCAAGTGGATATTTGGATAGCTTCGAGGATTTCGTTGGAAACGGGAATATCCTCATTTAAAATCTAGACGGAAGCATTCTCAGAACCTGCTTTTTGATGTTTGCATTCAACTCACAGAGCTGAACATTCCCGTTCATAGAGCAGGTTTGAAACACTCTTTCTGTACTATCTGGAAGTGGACATTTCGAGCGCTTTCAGGCCTATGGTGAAAAAGGAAACATCTTCAAATAAAAACTAGACAGAAGCATTCTCAGAAACTTATTTGTGATGTGTGTCCTCAACTCACAGAGTTCAACCTTTGTTTTGATACAGCAGTTTGGAAACACTCTTTTTGTAGAATCTACAAATGGATATTTGGAGACCTTTGAAAATTTCGTTGGACACGGGAATATCTTCATATAAAATCTAGACAAAAGCATTCTCAGAATCTTCTTTGTGATGTTTGCATTCAACTCATAGAGTTGAACATTCCCTTTCATACAGCACGTTTGAAACACACTTTGTGGAGTATGTGGAAATGGACATTTCGAGCACTCTTAGGCCTAAGGTGAAAAGGGAAATATCTTCAAATAAAAACTAGTCAGCAGCATTCTCAGAAACCTCTTTGTGATGTGTGTACTCAACTAACAGAGTTGAACCTTCCTTTTCACAGAGCAGTTTGGAAACACTCTTTTTGTGGCATTTGCAAGTGGATATTTGGATAGCTTTGAGGATTTCGTTGGAAACGGGAATATTTTCATATAAAATCTAGACAGAAGCATTCTCAGAATCTTCTTTGTGATGTATGCCCTCAATTCACAGAGTTGAACCTTTGTTTGGATACAGCATTTTGGAAACATTCCTTTTGTAGAATCTGCAAGTTGATATTTGGATAGCTTTGAGGATTTCGTTGGAAACGGGAATATCTACATATAAAATCTAGACAGAAGCATTCTCAGAAACCTCTTTGTAATGCTTGCATTCAACTCATAGGTTTCAACATTCCCTATCATAGAGCAGGTTTGAAACACTCTTTTTGTAGTATGTGGAAGTGGACATTTGGAGCGCTTTGAGGCCTACCGTGAAAAAGGAAATATCTTCCCATAAAAACTAGACAGAAGCATTCTCAGAAACTTGTTTGTGACGTGTGTATTCAACTAACAGAGTTGAACCTTTCTTTTTACAGAGCAGCTTTGAAACCCTGTTTCTGTGGAATCTGCAATTGGAAATTTCGATAGTTCTGAGGATTTCGTTGGAAACGGGATTACAAATAGAAAGTAGACAGCAGCATTCTCAGAAACTGCTTTGTGATGTTTGCATTCAAGTCACCTAGTTGAACATTCCCTTTCATAGAGCAGGTTTGAATCACTGTTTCTGTCGTATCTGGAAGTGGATATTTCGAGCGTTTTCAGGCCTAAGGTGAGAAAGGAAATGTCTTCAAATAAGAACTAGACAGAAGCATTCTCAGAAACTTATTTGTGATGTGTGTCCTCAACTAACAGAGATGAACCTTTGTTTTGATACAGCAGTTTGGAAACACTCTTTTTGTAGAATCTACAAGAGGATATTTTGAGAGCATTGAAAATTTCGTTGGAAGCGGGAAAACCTTCATATAAAATCTAGACAGCAGCATTCTCAGAAACTTCTTTGTGATGTTTGCATTCAACTCATAGAGTTGAACATTCCCATTCATACAGCAGGTTTGAGACACTCTTTGTATAGCATGTGGAAATGGATATTTGGAGCGCTTTGAGGCCTATGGTGAAGAAGGAAATATCTTCCCAAAAAAACTAGACGAAAGCATTCTCGCAATCTTGTTTGCCATGTGTGTACTCAACTAACAGAGTTGAACCTATCTTTTGACAGAGCAGTTTTGAAACACTCTTTTTGTGGAATCTGCAAGTGGATATTTGGATAGCTTCGAGGATTTCGTTGGAAACGGGAATATCCTCATTTAAAATCTAGACGGAAGCATTCTCAGAACCTGCTTTGTGATGTTTGCATTCAACTCACAGAGCTGAACATTCCCGTTCATAGAGCAGGTTTGAAACACTCTTTCTGTACTATCTGGAAGTGGACATTTCGAGCGCTTTCAGGCCTATGGTGAAAAAGGAAACATCTTCAAATAAAAACTAGACAGAAGCATTCTCAGAAACTTATTTGTGATGTGTGTCCTCAACTCACAGAGTTCAACCTTTGTTTTGATACAGCAGTTTGGAAACACTCTTTTTGTAGAATCTACAAATGGATATCTGGAGACCTTTGAAAATTTCGTTGGACACGGGAATATCTTCATATAAAATCTAGACAAAAGCATTCTCAGAATCTTCTTTGTGATGTTTGCATTCAACTCATAGAGTTGAACATTCCCTTTCATACAGCACGTTTGAAACACACTTTGTGGAGTATGTGGAAATGGACATTTCGAGCACTCTTAGGCCTAAGGTGAAAAGGGAAATATCTTCAAATAAAAACTAGTCAGCAGCATTCTCAGAAACCTCTTTGTGATGTGTGTACTCAACTAACAGAGTTGAACCTTCCTTTTCACAGAGCAGTTTGGAAACACTCTTTTTGTGGCATTTGCAAGTGGATATTTGGATAGCTTTGAGGATTTCGTTGGAAACGGGAATATTTTCATATAAAATCTAGACAGAAGCATTCTCAGAATCTTCTTTGTGATGTATGCCCTCAATTCACAGAGTTGAACCTTTGTTTGGATACAGCATTTTGGAAACATTCCTTTTGTAGAATCTGCAAGTTGATATTTGGATAGCTTTGAGGATTTCGTTGGAAACGGGAATATCTATCTACATATAAAATCTAGACAGAAGCATTCTCAGAAACTTCTTTGTAATGCTTGCATTCAACTCATAGGTTTCAACATTCCCTATCATAGAGCAGGTTTGAAACACTCTTTTTGTAGTATGTGGAAGTGGACATTTGGAGCGCTTTGAGGCCTACGGTGAAAAAGGAAATATCTTCCCATAAAAACTAGATAGAAAGCATTCTCAGAAACTTGTTTGTGACGTGTGTATTCAACTAACAGAGTTGAACCTTTCTTTTTACAGAGCAGCTTTGAAACACGCTTTTTGTGGAATCTGCAATTGGAAATTTCGATAGTTCTGAGGATTTCGTTGGAAACGGGATTACAAATAGAAAGTAGACAGCAGCATTCTCAGAAACTGCTTTGTGATGTTTGCATTCAAGTCACCTAGTTGAACATTCCCTTTCATAGAGCAGGTTTGAATCACTGTTTCTGTCGTATCTGGAAGTGGATATTTCGAGCGTTTTCAGGCCTAAGGTGAGAAAGGAAATGTCTTCAAATAAGAACTAGACAGAAGCATTCTCAGAAACTTATTTGTGATGTGTGTCCTCAACTAACAGAGTTGAACCTTTCTTTTGACACAGCAGTTTGGAAACACTCTTTTTGTAGAATCTACAAGTGGATATTTTGAGAGCATTGAAAATTTCGTTGGAAACGGGAAAACCTTCATATAAAATCTAGACAGAAGCCTTCTCAGAAACTTCTTTGTAATGTTTGCATTCAACTCATAGAGTTGAACATTCCCTTTCATACAGCAGGTTTGAAACACTCTTTTTGTAGTATGTGGAAGTGGACATTTGGAGCGCTTTGAGGCCTACGGTGAAAAAGGAAATATCTTCCCATAAAAACTAGACAGAAGCATTCTCAGAAACTTGTTTGTGACGTGTGTATTCAACTAACAGAGTTGAACCTTTCTTTTTACAGAGCAGCTTTGAAACACGCTTTTTGTGGAATCTGCAATTGGAAATTTCGATAGTTCTGAGGATTTCGTTGGAAACGGGATTACAAATAGAAAGTAGACAGCAGCATTCTCAGAAACTGCTTTGTGATGTTTGCATTCAAGTCACCTAGTTGAACATTCCCTTTCATAGAGCAGGTTTGAATCACTGTTTCTGTCGTATCTGGAAGTGGATATTTCGAGCGTTTTCAGGCCTAAGGTGAGAAAGGAAATGTCTTCAAATAAGAACTAGACAGAAGCATTCTCAGAAACTTATTTGTGATGTGTGTCCTCAACTAACAGAGTTGAACCTTTCTTTTGACACAGCAGTTTGGAAACACTCTTTTTGTAGAATCTACAAGTGGATATTTTGAGAGCATTGAAAATTTCGTTGGAAACAGGAAAACCTTCATATAAAATCTAGACAGAAGCATTCTCAGAAACTTCTGTGTAATGTTTGCATTCAACTCATAGAGTTGAACATTCCCTTTCATACAGCAGGTTTGAAACACTCTTTTTGTAGTATGTGGACGTGGACATTTGGAGCGCTTTGAGGCCTACGGTGAAAAAGGAAATATCTTCCCATAAAAACTAGACAGAAGCATTCTCAGAAACTTGTTTGTGACGTGTGTATTCAACTAACAGAGTTGAACCTTTCTTTTTACAGAGCAGCTTTGAAACCCTGTTTCTGTGGAATCTGCAATTGGAAATTTCGATAGTTCTGAGGATTTCGTTGGAAACGGGATTACAAATAGAAAGTAGACAGCAGCATTCTCAGAAACTGCTTTGTGATGTTTGCATTCAAGTCACCTAGTTGAACATTCCCTTTCATAGAGCAGGTTTGAATCACTGTTTCTGTAGTATCTGGAAGTGGGTATTTCGAGCGCTTTCAGGCCTAAGGTGAGAAAGGAAATGTCTTCAAATAAGAACTAGACAGAAGCATTCTCAGAAACTTATTTGTGATGTGTGTCCTCAACTAACAGAGATGAACCTTTGTTTTGATACAGCAGTTTGGAAACACTCTTTTTGTAGAATCTACAAGAGGATATTTTGAGAGCATTGAAAATTTCGTTGGAAGCGGGAAAACCTTCATATAAATCTAGACAGCAGCATTCTCAGAAACTTCTTTGTGATGTTTGCATTCAACTCATAGAGTTGAACATTCCCATTCATACAGCAGGTTTGAGACACTCTTTGTATAGCATGTGGAAATGGATATCTGGAGCGCTTTGAGGCCTATGGTGAAGAAGGAAATATCTTCCCAAAAAAACTAGACGAAAGCATTCTCGGAATCTTGTTTGCCATGTGTGTACTCAACTAACAGAGTTGAACCTATCTTTTGACAGAGCAGTTTTGAAACACTCTTTTTGTGGAATCTGCAAGTGGATATTTGGATAGCTTCGAGGATTTCGTTGGAAACGGGAATATCCTCATTTAAAATCTAGACGGAAGCATTCTCAGAACCTGCTTTGTGATGTTTGCATTCAACTCACAGAGCTGAACATTCCCGTTCATAGAGCAGGTTTGAAACACTCTTTCTGTACTATCTGGAAGTGGACATTTCGAGCGCTTTCAGGCCTATGGTGAAAAAGGAAACATCTTCAAATAAAAACTAGACAGAAGCATTCTCAGAAACTTATTTGTGATGTGTGTCCTCAACTCACAGAGTTCAACCTTTGTTTTGATACAGCAGTTTGGAAACACTCTTTTTGTAGAATCTACAAATGGATATTTGGAGACCTTTGAAAATTTCGTTGGACACGGGAATATCTTCATATAAAATCTAGACAAAAGCATTCTCAGAATCTTCTTTGTGATGTTTGCATTCAACTCATAGAGTTGAACATTCCCTTTCATACAGCACGTTTGAAACACACTTTGTGGAGTATGTGGAAATGGACATTTCGAGCACTCTTAGGCCTAAGGTGAAAAGGGAAATATCTTCAAATAAAAACTAGTCAGCAGCATTCTCAGAAACCTCTTTGTGATGTGTGTACTCAACTAACAGAGTTGAACCTTCCTTTTCACAGAGCAGTTTGGAAACACTCTTTTTGTGGCATTTGCAAGTGGATATTTGGATAGCTTTGAGGATTTCGTTGGAAACGGGAATATTTTCATATAAAATCTAGACAGAAGCATTCTCAGAATCTTCTTTGTGATGTATGCCCTCAATTCACAGTAGTTGAACCTTTGTTTGGATACAGCATTTTGGAAACATTCCTTTTGCAGAATCTGCAAGCTGATATTTGGATAGCTTTGAGGATTTCGTTGGAAACGGGAATATCTACATATAAAATCTAGACAGAAGCATTCTCAGAAACCTCTTTGTAATGCTTGCATTCAACTCATAGGTTTCAACATTCCCTATCATAGAGCAGGTTTGAAACACTCTTTTTGTAGTATGTGGAAGTGGACATTTGGAGCGCTTTGAGGCCTACGGTGAAAAAGGAAATATCTTCCCATAAAAACTAGACAGAAGCATTCTCAGAAACTTGTTTGTGACGTGTGTATTCAACTAACAGAGTTGAACCTTTCTTTTTACAGAGCAGCTTTGAAACACGCTTTTTGTGGAATCTGCAATTGGAAATTTCGATAGTTCTGAGGATTTCGTTGGAAACGGGATTACAAATAGAAAGTAGACAGCAGCATTCTCAGAAACTGCTTTGTGATGTTTGCATTCAAGTCACCTAGTTGAACATTCCCTTTCATAGAGCAGGTTTGAATCACTGTTTCTGTCGTATCTGGAAGTGGATATTTCGAGCGTTTTCAGGCCTAAGGTGAGAAAGGAAATGTCTTCAAATAAGAACTAGACAGCAGCATTCTCAGAAACTTATTTGTGATGTGTGTCCTCAACTAACAGAGTTGAACCTTTCTTTTGACACAGCAGTTTGGAAACACTCTTTTTGTAGAATCTACAAGTGGATATTTTGAGAGCATTGAAAATTTCGTTGGAAACGGGAAAACCTTCATATAAAATCTAGACAGAAGCATTCTCAGAAACTTCTTTGTAATGTTTGCATTCAACTCATAGAGTTGAACATTCCCTTTCATACAGCAGGTTTGAAACACTCTTTTTGTAGTATGTGGAAGTGGACATTTGGAGCGCTTTGAGGCCTACGGTGAAAAAGGAAATATCTTCCCATAAAAACTAGACAGAAGCATTCTCAGAAACTTGTTTGTGACGTGTGTATTCAACTAACAGAGTTGAACCTTTCTTTTTACAGAGCAGCTTTGAAACACGCTTTTTGTGGAATCTGCAATTGGAAATTTCGATAGTTCTGAGGATTTCGTTGGAAACGGGATTACAAATAGAAAGTAGACAGCAGCATTCTCAGAAACTGCTTTGTGATGTTTGCATTCAAGTCACCTAGTTGAACATTCCCTTTCATAGAGCAGGTTTGAATCACTGTTTCTGTCGTATCTGGAAGTGGATATTTCGAGCGTTTTCAGGCCTAAGGTGAGAAAGGAAATGTCTTCAAATAAGAACTAGACAGAAGCATTCTCAGAAACTTATTTGTGATGTGTGTCCTCAACTAACAGAGTTGAACCTTTCTTTTGACACAGCAGTTTGGAAACACTCTTTTTGTAGAATCTACAAGTGGATATTTTGAGAGCATTGAAAATTTCGTTGGAAACGGGAAAACCTTCATATAAAATCTAGACAGAAGCATTCTCAGAAACTTCTTTGTAATGTTTGCATTCAACTCATAGAGTTGAACATTCCCTTTCATACAGCAGGTTTGAAACACTCTTTTTGTAGTATGTGGACGTGGACATTTGGAGCGCTTTGAGGCCTACAGTGAAAAAGGAAATATCTTCCCATAAAAACTAGACAGAAGCATTCTCAGAAACTTGTTTGTGACGTGTGTATTCAACTAACAGAGTTGAACCTTTCTTTTTACAGAGCAGCTTTGAAACCCTGTTTCTGTGGAATCTGCAATTGGAAATTTCGATAGTTCTGAGGATTTCGTTGCAAACGGGATTACAAATAGAAAGTAGACAGCAGCATTCTCAGAAACTGCTTTGTGATGTTTGCATTCAAGTCACATAGTTGAACATTCCCTTTCATAGAGCAGGTTTGAATCACTGTTTCTGTAGTATCTGGAAGTGGGTATTTCGAGCGCTTTCAGGCCTAAGGTGAGAAAGGAAATGTCTTCAAATAAGAACTAGACAGAAGCATTCTCAGAAACTTATTTGTGATGTGTGTCCTCAACTAACAGAGATGAACCTTTGTTTTGATACAGCAGTTTGGAAACACTCTTTTTGTAGAATCTACAAGAGGATATTTTGAGAGCATTGAAAATTTCGTTGGAAGCGGGAAAACCTTCATATAAAATCTAGACAGCAGCATTCTCAGAAACTTCTTTGTGATGTTTGCATTCAACTCATAGAGTTGAACATTCCCATTCATACAGCAGGTTTGAGACACTCTTTGTATAGCATGTGGAAATGGATATTTGGAGCGCTTTGAGGCCTATGGTGAAGAAGGAAATATCTTCCCAAAAAAACTAGACGAAGGCATTCTCGCAATCTTGTTTGCCATGTGTGTACTCAACTAACAGAGTTGAACCTATCTTTTGACAGAGCAGTTTTGAAACACTCTTTTTGTGGAATCTGCAAGTGGATATTTGGATAGCTTCGAGGATTTCGTTGGAAACGGGAATATCCTCATTTAAAATCTAGACGGAAGCATTCTCAGAACCTGCTTTGTGATGTTTGCATTCAACTCACAGAGCTGAACATTCCCGTTCATAGAGCAGGTTTGAAACACTCTTTCTGTACTATCTGGAAGTGGACATTTCGAGCGCTTTCAGGCCTATGGTGAAAAAGGAAACATCTTCAAATAAAAACTAGACAGAAGCATTCTCAGAAACTTATTTGTGATGTGTGTCCTCAACTCACAGAGTTCAACCTTTGTTTTGATACAGCAGTTTGGAAACACTCTTTTTGTAGAATCTACAAATGGATATTTGGAGACCTTTGAAAATTTCGTTGGACACGGGAATATCTTCATATAAAATCTAGACAAAAGCATTCTCAGAATCTTCTTTGTGATGTTTGCATTCAACTCATAGAGTTGAACATTCCCTTTCATACAGCACGTTTGAAACACACTTTGTGGAGTATGTGGAAATGGACATTTCGAGCACTCTTAGGCCTAAGGTGAAAAGGGAAATATCTTCAAATAAAAACTAGTCAGCAGCATTCTCAGAAACCTCTTTGTGATGTGTGTACTCAACTAACAGAGTTGAACCTTCCTTTTCACAGAGCAGTTTGGAAACACTCTTTTTGTGGCATTTGCAAGTGGATATTTGGATAGCTTTGAGGATTTCGTTGGAAACGGGAATATTTTCATATAAAATCTAGACAGAAGCATTCTCAGAATCTTCTTTGTGATGTATGCCCTCAATTCACAGAGTTGAACCTTTGTTTGGATACAGCATTTTGGAAACATTCCTTTTGTAGAATCTGCAAGTTGATATTTGGATAGCTTTGAGGATTTCGTTGGAAACGGGAATATCTACATATAAAATCTAGACAGAAGCATTCTCAGAAACCTCTTTGTAATGCTTGCATTCAACTCATAGGTTTCAACATTCCCTATCATAGAGCAGGTTTGAAACACTCTTTTTGTAGTATGTGGAAGTGGACATTTGGAGCGCTTTGAGGCCTACGGTGAAAAAGGAAATATCTTCCCATAAAAACTAGACAGAAGCATTCTCAGAAACTTGTTTGTGACGTGTGTATTCAACTAACAGAGTTGAACCTTTCTTTTTACAGAGCAGCTTTGAAACCCTGTTTCTGTGGAATCTGCAATTGGAAATTTCGATAGTTCTGAGGATTTCGTTGGAAACGGGATTACAAATAGAAAGTAGACAGCAGCATTCTCAGAAACTGCTTTGTGATGTTTGCATTCAAGTCACCTAGTTGAACATTCCCTTTCATAGAGCATGTTTGAATCACTGTTTCTGTCGTATCTGGAAGTGGATATTTCGAGCGTTTTCAGGCCTAAGGTGAGAAAGGAAATGTCTTCAAATAAGAACTAGACAGAAGCATTCTCAGAAACTTATTTGTGATGTGTGTCCTCAACTAACAGAGTTGAACCTTTCTTTTGACACAGCAGTTTGGAAACACTCTTTTTGTAGAATCTACAAGTGGATATTTTGAGAGCATTGAAAATTTCGTTGGAAACGGGAAAACCTTCATATAAAATCTAGACAGAAGCATTCTCAGAAACTTCTTTGTAATGTTTGCATTCAACTCATAGAGTTGAACATTCCCTTTCATACAGCAGGTTTGAAACACTCTTTTTGTAGTATGTGGAAGTGGACATTTGGAGCGCTTTGAGGCCTACGGTGAAAAAGGAAATATCTTCCCATAAAAACTAGACAGAAGCATTCTCAGAAACTTGTTTGTGACGTGTGTATTCAACTAACAGAGTTGAATCTTTCTTTTTACAGAGCAGCTTTGAAACCCTGTTTCTGTGGAATCTGCAATTGGAAATTTCGATAGTTCTGAGGATTTCGTTGGAAACGGGATTACAAATAGAAAGTAGACAGCAGCATTCTCAGAAACTGCTTTGTGATGTTTGCATTCAAGTCACATAGTTGAACATTCCCTTTCATAGAGCAGGTTTGAATCACTGTTTCTGTAGTATCTGGAAGTGGGTATTTCGAGCGCTTTCAGGCCTAAGGTGAGAAAGGAAATGTCTTCAAATAAGAACTAGACAGAAGCATTCTCAGAAACTTATTTGTGATGTGTGTCCTCAACTAACAGAGATGAACCTTTGTTTTGATACAGCAGTTTGGAAACACTCTTTTTGTAGAATCTACAAGAGGATATTTTGAGAGCATTGAAAATTTCGTTGGAAGCGGGAAAACCTTCATATAAAATCTAGACAGCAGCATTCTCAGAAACTTCTTTGTGATGTTTGCATTCAACTCATAGAGTTGAACATTCCCATTCATACAGCAGGTTTGAGACACTCTTTGTATAGCATGTGGAAATGGATATTTGGAGCGTTTTGAGGCCTATGGTGAAGAAGGAAATATCTTCCCAAAAAAACTAGACGAAAGCATTCTCGGAATCTTGTTTGCCATGTGTGTACTCAACTAACAGAGTTGAACCTATCTTTTGACAGAGCAGTTTTGAAACACTCTTTTTGTGGAATCTGCAAGTGGATATTTGGATAGCTTCGAGGATTTCGTTGGAAACGGGAATATCCTCATTTAAAATCTAGACGGAAGCATTCTCAGAACCTGCTTTGTGATGTTTGCATTCAACTCACAGAGCTGAACATTCCCGTTCATAGAGCAGGTTTGAAACACTCTTTCTGTACTATCTGGAAGTGGACATTTCGAGCGCTTTCAGGCCTATGGTGAAAAAGGAAACATCTTCAAATAAAAACTAGACAGAAGCATTCTCAGAAACTTATTTGTGATGTGTGTCCTCAACTCACAGAGTTCAACCTTTGTTTTGATACAGCAGTTTGGAAACACTCTTTTTGTAGAATCTACAAATGGATATTTGGAGACCTTTGAAAATTTCGTTGGACACGGGAATATCTTCATATAAAATCTAGACAAAAGCATTCTCAGAATCTTCTTTGTGATGTTTGCATTCAACTCATAGAGTTGAACATTCCCTTTCATACAGCACGTTTGAAACACACTTTGTGGAGTATGTGGAAATGGACATTTCGAGCACTCTTAGGCCTAAGGTGAAAAGGGAAATATCTTCAAATAAAAACTAGTCAGCAGCATTCTCAGAAACCTCTTTGTGATGTGTGTACTCAACTAACAGAGTTGAACCTTCCTTTTCACAGAGCAGTTTGGAAACACTCTTTTTGTGGCATTTGCAAGTGGATATTTGGATAGCTTTGAGGATTTCGTTGGAAACGGGAATATTTTCATATAAAATGCTAGACAGAAGCATTCTCAGGAATCTTCTTTGTGATGTATGCCCTCAATTCACAGAGTTGAACCTTTGTTTGGATACAGCATTTTGGAAACATTCCTTTTGTAGAATCTGCAAGTTGATATTTGGATAGCTTTGAGGATTTCGTTGGAAACGGGAATATCTACATATAAAATCTAGACAGAAGCATTCTCAGAAACCTCTTTGTAATGCTTGCATTCAACTCATAGGTTTCAACATTCCCTATCATAGAGCAGGTTTGAAACACTCTTTTTGTAGTATGTGGAAGTGGACATTTGGAGCGCTTTGAGGCCTACGGTGAAAAAGGAAATATCTTCCCATAAAAACTAGACAGAAGCATTCTCAGAAACTTGTTTGTGACGTGTGTATTCAACTAACAGAGTTGAACCTTTCTTTTTACAGAGCAGCTTTGAAACACGCTTTTTGTGGAATCTGCAATTGGAAATTTCGATAGTTCTGAGGATTTCGTTGGAAACGGGATTACAAATAGAAAGTAGACAGCAGCATTCTCAGAAACTGCTTTGTGATGTTTGCATTCAAGTCACCTAGTTGAACATTCTCTTTCATAGAGCAGGTTTGAATCACTGTTTCTGTCGTATCTGGAAGTGGATATTTCGAGCGTTTTCAGGCCTAAGGTGAGAAAGGAAATGTCTTCAAATAAGAACTAGACAGAAGCATTCTCAGAAACTTATTTGTGATGTGTGTCCTCAACTAACAGAGTTGAACCTTTCTTTTGACACAGCAGTTTGGAAACACTCTTTTTGTAGAATCTACAAGTGGATATTTTGAGAGCATTGAAAATTTCGTTGGAAACGGGAAAACCTTCATATAAAATCTAGACAGAAGCATTCTCAGAAACTTCTTTGTAATGTTTGCATTCAACTCATAGAGTTGAACATTCCCTTTCATACAGCAGGCTTGAAACACTCTTTTTGTAGTATGTGGAAGTGTACATTTGGAGCGCTTTGAGGCCTACGGTGAAAAAGGAAATATCTTCCCATAAAAACTAGACAGAAGCATTCTCAGAAACTTGTTTGTGACGTGTGTATTCAACTAACAGAGTTGAACCTTTCTTTTTACAGAGCAGCTTTGAAACCCTGTTTCTGTGGAATCTGCAATTGGAAATTTCGATAGTTCTGAGGATTTCGTTGGAAACGGGATTACAAATAGAAAGTAGACAGCAGCATTCTCAGAAACTGCTTTGTGATGTTTGCATTCAACTCACCTAGTTGAACATTCCCTTTCATAGAGCAGGTTTGAATCACTGTTTCTGTAGTATCTGGAAGTGGGTATTTCGAGCGCTTTCAGGCCTAAGGTGAGAAAGGAAATGTCTTCAAATAAGAACTAGACAGAAGCATTCTCAGAAACTTATTTGTGATGTGTGTCCTCAACTAACAGAGATGAACCTTTGTTTTGATACAGCAGTTTGGAAACACTCTTTTTGTAGAATCTACAAGAGGATATTTTGAGAGCATTGAAAATTTCGTTGGAAGCGGGAAAACCTTCATATAAAATCTAGACAGCAGCATTCTCAGAAACTTCTTTGTGATGTTTGCATTCAACTCAAAGAGTTGAACATTCCCATTCATACAGCAGGTTTGAGACACTCTTTGTATAGCATGTGGAAATGGATATTTGGAGCGCTTTGAGGCCTATGGTGAAGAAGGAAATATCTTCCCAAAAAAACTAGACGAAAGCATTCTCGGAATCTTGTTTGCCATGTGTGTACTCAACTAACAGAGTTGAACCTATCTTTTGACAGAGCAGTTTTGAAACACTCTTTTTGTGGAATCTGCAAGTGGATATTTGGATAGCTTCGAGGATTTCGTTGGAAACGGGAATATCCTCATTTAAAATCTAGACGGAAGCATTCTCAGAACCTGCTTTGTGATGTTTGCATTCAACTCACAGAGCTGAACATTCCCGTTCATAGAGCAGGTTTGAAACACTCTTTCTGTACTATCTGGAAGTGGACATTTCGAGCGCTTTCAGGCCTATGGTGAAAAAGGAAACATCTTCAAATAAAAACTAGACAGAAGCATTCTCAGAAACTTATTTGTGATGTGTGTCCTCAACTCACAGATTTCAACCTTTGTTTTGATACAGCAGTTTGGAAACACTCTTTTTGTAGAATCTACAAATGGATATTTGGAGACCTTTGAAAATTTCGTTGGACACGGGAATATCTTCATATAAAATCTAGACAAAAGCATTCTCAGAATCTTCTTTGTGATGTTTGCATTCAACTCATAGAGTTGAACATTCCCTTTCATACAGCACGTTTGAAACACACTTTGTGGAGTATGTGGAAATGGACATTTCGAGCACTCTTAGGCCTAAGGTGAAAAGGGAAATATCTTCAAATAAAAACTAGTCAGCAGCATTCTCAGAAACCTCTTTGTGATGTGTGTACTCAACTAACAGAGTTGAACCTTCCTTTTCACAGAGCAGTTTGGAAACACTCTTTTTGTGGCATTTGCAAGTGGATATTTGGATAGCTTTGAGGATTTCGTTGGAAACGGGAATATTTTCATATAAAATCTAGACAGAAGCATTCTCAGAATCTTCTTTGTGATGTATGCCCTCAATTCACAGAGTTGAACCTTTGTTTGGATACAGCATTTTGGAAACATTCCTTTTGCAGAATCTGCAAGCTGATATTTGGATAGCTTTGAGGATTTCGTTGGAAACGGGAATATCTACATATAAAATCTAGACAGAAGCATTCTCAGAAACCTCTTTGTAATGCTTGCATTCAACTCATAGGTTTCAACATTCCCTATCATAGAGCAGGTTTGAAACACTCTTTTTGTAGTATGTGGAAGTGGACATTTGGAGCGCTTTGAGGCCTACGGTGAATAAAGGAAATATCTTCCCATAAAAACTAGACAGAAGCATTCTCAGAAACTTGTTTGTGACGTGTGTATTCAACAAACAGAGTTGAACCTTTCTTTTTACAGAGCAGCTTTGAAACACGCTTTTTGTGGAATCTGCAATTGGAAATTTCGATAGTTCTGAGGATTTCGTTGGAAACGGGATTACAAATAGAAAGTAGACAGCAGCATTCTCAGAAACTGCTTTGTGATGTTTGCATTCAAGTCACCTAGTAGAACATTCCCTTTCATAGAGCAGGTTTGAATCACTGATTCTGTCGTATCTGGAAGTGGATATTTCGAGCGTTTTCAGGCCTAAGGTGAGAAAGGAAATGTCTTCAAATAAGAACTAGACAGAAGCATTCTCAGAAACTTATTTGTGATGTGTGTCCTCAACTAACAGAGTTGAACCTTTCTTTTGACACAGCAGTTTGGAAACACTCTTTTTGTAGAATCTACAAGTGGATATTTTGAGAGCATTGAAAATTTCGTTGGAAACGGGAAAACCTTCATATAAAATCTAGACAGAAGCATTCTCAGAAACTTCTTTGTAATGTTTGCATTCAACTCATAGAGTTGAACATTCCCTTTCATACAGCAGGTTTGAAACACTCTTTTTGTAGTATGTGGAAGTGGACATTTGGAGCGCTTTGAGGCCTACGGTGAAAAAGGAAATATCTTCCCATAAAAACTAGACAGAAGCATTCTCAGAAACTTGTTTGTGACGTGTGTATTCAACTAACAGAGTTGAACCTTTCTTTTTACAGAGCAGCTTTGAAACACGCTTTTTGTGGAATCTGCAATTGGAAATTTCGATAGTTCTGAGGATTTCGTTGGAAACGGGATTACAAATAGAAAGTAGACAGCAGCATTCTCAGAAACTGCTTTGTGATGTTTGCATTCAAGTCACCTAGTTGAACATTCCCTTTCATAGAGCAGGTTTGAATCACAGTTTCTGTCGTATCTGGAAGTGGATATTTCGAGCGCTTTCAGGCCTAAGGTGAGAAAGGAAATGTCTTCAAATAAGAACTAGACAGAAGCATTCTCAGAAACTTATTTGTGATGTGTGTCCTCAACTAACAGAGATGAACCTTTGTTTTGATACAGCAGTTTGGAAACACTCTTTTTGTAGAATCTACAAGAGGATATTTTGAGAGCATTGAAAATTTCGTTGGAAGCGGGAATACCTTCATATAAAATCTAGACAGCAGCATTCTCAGAAACTTCTTTGTGATGTTTGCATTCAACTCATAGAGTTGAACATTCCCATTCATACAGCAGGTTTGAGACACTCTTTGTATAGCATGTGGAAATGGATATTTGGAGCGCTTTGAGGCCTATGGTGAAGAAGGAAATATCTTCCCAAAAAAACTAGACGAAAGCATTCTCGCAATCTTGTTTGCCATGTGTGTACTCAACTAACAGAGTTGAACCTATCTTTTGACAGAGCAGTTTTGAAACACTCTTTTTGTGGAATCTGCAAGTGGATATTTGGATAGCTTCGAGGATTTCGTTGGAAACGGGAATATCCTCATTTAAAATCTAGACGGAAGCATTCTCGGAACCTGCTTTGTGATGTTTGCATTCAACTCACAGAGCTGAACATTCCCGTTCATAGAGCAGGTTTGAAACACTCTTTCTGTACTATCTGGAAGTGGACATTTCGAGCGCTTTCAGGCCTATGGTGAAAAAGGAAACATCTTCAAATAAAAACTAGACAGAAGCATTCTCAGAAACTTATTTGTGATGTGTGTCCTCAACTCACAGAGTTCAACCTTTGTTTTGATACAGCAGTTTGGAAACACTCTTCTTGTAGAATCTACAAATGGATATTTGGAGACCTTTGAAAATTTCGTTGGACACGGGAATATCTTCATATAAAATCTAGACAAAAGCATTCTCAGAATCTTCTTTGTGATGTTTGCATTCAACTCATAGAGTTGAACATTCCCTTTCATACAGCACGTTTGAAACACACTTTGTGGAGTATGTGGAAATGGACATTTCGAGCACTCTTAGGCCTAAGGTGAAAAGGGAAATATCTTCAAATAAAAACTAGTCAGCAGCATTCTCAGAAACCTCTTTGTGATGTGTGTACTCAACTAACAGAGTTGAACCTTCCTTTTCACAGAGCAGTTTGGAAACACTCTTTTTGTGGCATTTGCAAGTGGATATTTAGATAGCTTTGAGGATTTCGTTGGAAACGGGAATATTTTCATATAAAATCTAGACAGAAGCATTCTCAGAATCTTCTTTGTGATGTATGCCCTCAATTCACAGAGTTGAACCTTTGTTTGGATACAGCATTTTGGAAACATTCCTTTTGCAGAATCTGCAAGTTGATATTTGGATAGCTTTGAGGATTTCGTTGGAAACGGGAATATCTACATATAAAATCTAGACAGAAGCATTCTCAGAAACCTCTTTGTAATGCTTGCATTCAACTCATAGGTTTCAACATTCCCTATCATAGAGCAGGTTTGAAACACTCTTTTTGTAGTATGTGGAAGTGGACATTTGGAGCGCTTTGAGGCCTACGGTGAAAAAGGAAATATCTTCCCATAAAAACTAGACAGAAGCATTCTCAGAAACTTGTTTGTGACGTGTGTATTCAACTAACAGAGTTGAACCTTTCTTTTTACAGAGCAGCTTTGAAACCCTGTTTCTGTGGAATCTGCAATTGGAAATTTCGATGGTTCTGAGGATTTCGTTGGAAACGGGATTACAAATAGAAAGTAGACAGCAGCATTCTCAGAAACTGCTTTGTGATGTTTGCATTCAAGTCACCTAGTTGAACATTCCCTTTCATAGAGCAGGTTTGAATCACTGTTTCTGTCGTATCTGGAAGTGGATATTTCGAGCGTTTTCAGGCCTAAGGTGAGAAAGGAAATGTCTTCAAATAAGAACTAGACAGAAGCATTCTCAGAAACTTATTTGTGATGTGTGTCCTCAACTAACAGAGTTGAACCTTTCTTTTGACACAGCAGTTTGGAAACACTCTTTTTGTAGAATCTACAAGTGGATATTTTGAGAGCATTGAAAATTTCGTTGGAAACGGGAAAACCTTCATATAAAATCTAGACAGAAGCATTCTCAGAAACTTCTTTGTAATGTTTGCATTCAACTCATAGAGTTGAACATTCCCTTTCATACAGCAGGTTTGAAACACTCTTTTTGTAGTATGTGGAAGTGGACATTTGGAGCGCTTTGAGGCCTACGGTGAAAAAGGAAATATCTTCCCATAAAAACTAGACAGAAGCATTCTCAGAAACTTGTTTGTGACGTGTGTATTCAACTAACAGAGTTGAACCTTTCTTTTTACAGAGCAGCTTTGAAACCCTGTTTCTGTGCAATCTGCAATTGGAAATTTCGATAGTTCTGAGGATTTCGTTGGAAACGGGATTACAAATAGAAAGTAGACAGCAGCATTCTCAGGAAACTGCTTTGTGATGTTTGCATTCAAGTCACCTAGTTGAACATTCCCTTTCATAGAGCAGGTTTGAATCACTGTTTCTGTAGTATCTGGAAGTGGGTATTTCGAGCGCTTTCAGGCCTAAGGTGAGAAAGGAAATGTCTTCAAATAAGAACTAGACAGAAGCATTCTCAGAAACTTATTTGTGATGTGTGTCCTCAACTAACAGAGTTGAACCTTTCTTTTGACACAGCAGTTTGGAAACACTCTTTTTGTAGAATCTACAAGTGGATATTTTGAGAGCATTGAAAATTTCGTTGGAAACGGGAAAATCTTCATATAAAATCTAGACAGAAGCATTCTCAGAAACTTCTTTGTAATGTTTGCATTCAACTCATACAGTTGAACATTCCCTTTCATACAGCAGGTTTGAAACACTCTTTTTGTAGTATGTGGAAGTGGACATTTGGAGCGCTTTGAGGCCTACGGTGAAAAAGGAAATATCTTCCCATAAAAACTAGACAGAAGCATTCTCAGAAACTTGTTTGTGACGTGTGTATTCAACTAACAGAGTTGAACCTTTCTTTTTACAGAGCAGCTTTGAAACACGCTTTTTGTGGAATCTGCAATTGGAAATTTCGATAGTTCTGAGGATTTCGTTGGAAACGGGATTACAAATAGAAAGTAGACAGCAGCATTCTCAGAAACTGCTTTGTGATGTTTGCATTCAAGTCACCTAGTTGAACATTCCCTTTCATAGAGCAGGTTTGAATCACAGTTTCTGTCGTATCTGGAAGTGGATATTTCGAGCGCTTTCAGGCCTAAGGTGAGAAAGGAAATGTCTTCAAATAAGAACTAGACAGAAGCATTCTCAGAAACTTATTTGTGATGTGTGTCCTCAACTAACAGAGATGAACCTTTGTTTTGATACAGCAGTTTGGAAACACTCTTTTTGTAGAATCTACAAGAGGATATTTTGAGAGCATTGAAAATTTCGTTGGAAGCGGGAAAACCTTCATATAAAATCTAGACAGCAGCATTCTCAGAAACTTCTTTGTGATGTTTGCATTCAACTCATAGAGTTGAACATTCCCATTCATACAGCAGGTTTGAGACACTCTTTGTATAGCATGTGGAAATGGATATTTGGAGCGCTTTGAGGCCTATGGTGAAGAAGGAAATATCTTCCCAAAAAAACTAGACGAAAGCATTCTCGCAATCTTGTTTGCCATGTGTGTACTCAACTAACAGAGTTGAACCTATCTTTTGACAGAGCAGTTTTGAAACACTCTTTTTGTGGAATCTGCAAGTGGATATTTGGATAGCTTCGAGGATTTCGTTGGAAACGGGAATATCCTCATTTAAAATCTAGACGGAAGCATTCTCGGAACCTGCTTTGTGATGTTTGCATTCAACTCACAGAGCTGAACATTCCCGTTCATAGAGCAGGTTTGAAACACTCTTTCTGTACTATCTGGAAGTGGACATTTCGAGCGCTTTCAGGCCTATGGTGAAAAAGGAAACATCTTCAAATACAAACTAGACAGAAGCATTCTCAGAAACTTATTTGTGATGTGTGTCCTCAACTCACAGAGTTCAACCTTTGTTTTGATACAGCAGTTTGGAAACACTCTTTTTGTAGAATCTACAAATGGATATTTGGAGACCTTTGAAAATTTCGTTGGACACGGGAATATCTTCATATAAAATCTAGACAAAAGCATTCTCAGAATCTTCTTTGTGATGTTTGCATTCAACTCATAGAGTTGAACATTCCCTTTCATACAGCACGTTTGAAACACACTTTGTGGAGTATGTGGAAATGGACATTTCGAGCACTCTTAGGCCTAAGGTGAAAAGGGAAATATCTTCAAATAAAAACTAGTCAGCAGCATTCTCAGAAACCTCTTTGTGATGTGTGTACTCAACTAACAGAGTTGAACCTTTCCTTTTCACAGAGCAGTTTGGAAACACTCTTTTTGTGGCATTTGCAAGTGGATATTTGGATAGCTTTGAGGATTTCGTTGGAAACGGGAATATTTTCATATAAAATCTAGACAGAAGCATTCTCAGAATCTTCTTTGTGATGTATGCCCTCAATTCACAGAGTTGAACCTTTGTTTGGATACAGCATTTTGGAAACATTCCTTTTGCAGAATCTGCAAGCTGATATTTGGATAGCTTTGAGGATTTCGTTGGAAACGGGAATATCTACATATAAAATCTAGACAGAAGCATTCTCAGAAACCTCTTTGTAATGCTTGCATTCAACTCATAGGTTTCAACATTCCCTATCATAGAGCAGGTTTGAAACACTCTTTTTGTAGTATGTGGAAGTGGACATTTGGAGCGCTTTGAGGCCTACGGTGAAAAAGGAAATATCTTCCCATAAAAACTAGACAGAAGCATTCTCAGAAACTTGTTTGTGACGTGTGTATTCAACTAACAGAGTTGAACCTTTCTTTTTACAGAGCAGCTTTGAAACACGCTTTTTGTGGAATCTGCAATTGGAAATTTCGATAGTTCTGAGGATTTCGTTGGAAACGGGATTACAAATAGAAAGTAGACAGCAGCATTCTCAGAAACTGCTTTGTGATGTTTGCATTCAAGTCACCTAGTTGAACATTCCCTTTCATAGAGCAGGTTTGAATCACTGTTTCTGTCGTATCTGGAAGTGGATATTTCGAGCGTTTTCAGGCCTAAGGTGAGAAAGGAAATGTCTTCAAATAAGAACTAGACAGAAGCATTCTCAGAAACTTATTTGTGATGTGTGTCCTCAACTAACAGAGTTGAACCTTTCTTTTGACACAGCAGTTTGGAAACACTCTTTTTGTAGAATCTACAAGTGGATATTTTGAGAGCATTGAAAATTTCGTTGGAAACGGGAAAACCTTCATATAAAATCTAGACAGAAGCATTCTCAGAAACTTCTTTGTAATGTTTGCATTCAACTCATAGAGTTGAACATTCCCTTTCATACAGCAGGTTTGAAACACTCTTTTTGTAGTATGTGGAAGTGGACATTTGGAGCGCTTTGAGGCCTACGGTGAAAAAGGAAATATCTTCCCATAAAAACTAGACAGAAGCATTCTCAGAAACTTGTTTGTGACGTGTGTATTCAACTAACAGAGTTGAACCTTTCTTTTTACAGAGCAGCTTTGAAACCCTGTTTCTGTGGAATCTGCAATTGGAAATTTCGATAGTTCTGAGGATTTCGTTGGAAACGGGATTACAAATAGAAAGTAGACAGCAGCATTCTCAGAAACTGCTTTGTGATGTTTGCATTCAAGTCACCTAGTTGAACATTCCCTTTCATAGAGCAGGTTTGAATCACTGTTTCTGTAGTATCTGGAAGTGGGTATTTCGAGCGCTTTCAGGCCTAAGGTGAGAAAGGAAATGTCTTCAAATAAGAACTAGACAGAAGCATTCTCAGAAACTTATTTGTGATGTGTGTCCTCAACTAACAGAGATGAACCTTTGTTTTGATACAGCAGTTTGGAAACACTCTTTTTGTAGAATCTACAAGAGGATATTTTGAGAGCATTGAAAATTTCGTTGGAAGCGGGAAAACCTTCATATAAAATCTAGACAGCAGCATTCTCAGAAACTTCTTTGTGATGTTTGCATTCAACTCATAGAGTTGAACATTCCCATTCATACAGCAGGTTTGAGACACTCTTTGTATAGCATGTGGAAATGGATATTTGGAGCGCTTTGAGGCCTATGGTGAAGAAGGAAATATCTTCCCAAAAAAACTAGACGAAAGCATTCTCGGAATCTTGTTTGCCATGTGTGTACTCAACTAACAGAGTTGAACCTATCTTTTGACAGAGCAGTTTTGAAACACTCTTTTTGTGGAATCTGCAAGTGGATATTTGGATAGCTTCGAGGATTTCGTTGGAAACGGGAATATCCTCATTTAAAATCTAGACGGAAGCATTCTCAGAACCTGCTTTGTGATGTTTGCATTCAACTCACAGAGCTGAACATTCCCGTTCATAGAGCAGGTTTGAAACACTCTTTCTGTACTATCTGGAAGTGGACATTTCGAGCGCTTTCAGGCCTATGGTGAAAAAGGAAATATCTTCAAATAAAAACTAGACAGAAGCATTCTCAGAAACTTATTTGTGATGTGTGTCCTCAACTCACAGAGTTCAACCTTTGTTTTGATACAGCAGTTTGGAAACACTCTTTTTGTAGAATCTACAAATGGATATTTGGAGACCTTTGAAAATTTCGTTGGACACGGGAATATCTTCATATAAAATCTAGACAAAAGCATTCTCAGAATCTTCTTTGTGATGTTTGCATTCAACTCATAGAGTTGAACATTCCCTTTCATACAGCACGTTTGAAACACACTTTGTGGAGTATGTGGAAATGGACATTTCGAGCACTCTTAGGCCTAAGGTGAAAAGGGAAATATCTTCAAATAAAAACTAGTCAGCAGCATTCTCAGAAACCTCTTTGTGATGTGTGTACTCAACTAACAGAGTTGAACCTTCCTTTTCACAGAGCAGTTTGGAAACACTCTTTTTGTGGCATTTGCAAGTGGATATTTGGATAGCTTTGAGGATTTCGTTGGAAACGGGAATATTTTCATATAAAATCTAGACAGAAGCATTCTCAGAATCTTCTTTGTGATGTATGCCCTCAATTCACAGAGTTGAACCTTTGTTTGGATACAGCATTTTGGAAACATTCCTTTTGTAGAATCTGCAAGTTGATATTTGGATAGCTTTGAAGATTTCGTTGGAAACGGGAATATCTACATATAAAATCTAGACAGAAGCATT
The DNA here is from genome assembly GCF_000001405.40 of Homo sapiens. NCBI lineage: Eukaryota > Metazoa > Chordata > Mammalia > Primates > Hominidae > Homo > Homo sapiens. Next base: position 18,455,359 of record NC_000015.10, read on the forward strand.
CTCAGAAACCTCTTTGTAATGCTTGCATTCAACTCATAGGTTTCAACATTCCCTATCATAGAGCAGGTTTGAAACACTCTTTTTGTAGTATGTGGAAGTGGACATTTGGAGCGCTTTGAGGCCTACCGTGAAAAAGGAAATATCTTCCCATAAAAACTAGACAGAAGCATTCTCAGAAACTTGTTTGTGACGTGTGTATTCAACTAACAGAGTTGAACCTTTCTTTTTACAGAGCAGCTTTGAAACACGCTTTTTGTGGAATCTGCAATTGGAAATTTCGATAGTTCTGAGGATTTCGTTGGAAACGGGATTACAAATAGAAAGTAGACAGCAGCATTCTCAGAAACTGCTTTGTGATGTTTGCATTCAAGTCACCTAGTTGAACATTCCCTTTCATAGAGCAGGTTTGAATCACTGTTTCTGTCGTATCTGGAAGTGGATATTTCGAGCGTTTTCAGGCCTAAGGTGAGAAAGGAAATGTCTTCAAATAAGAACTAGACAGAAGCATTCTCAGAAACTTATTTGTGATGTGTGTCCTCAACTAACAGAGTTGAACCTTTCTTTTGACACAGCAGTTTGGAAACACTCTTTTTGTAGAATCTACAAGTGGATATTTTGAGAGCATTGAAAATTTCGTTGGAAACGGGAAAACCTTCATATAAAATCTAGACAGAAGCATTCTCAGAAACTTCTTTGTAATGTTTGCATTCAACTCATAGAGTTGAACATTCCCTTTCATACAGCAGGTTTGAAACACTCTTTTTGTAGTATGTGGAAGTGGACATTTGGAGCGCTTTGAGGCCTACGGTGAAAAAGGAAATATGCTTCCCATAAAAACTAGACAGAAGCATTCTCAGAAACTTGTTTGTGACGTGTGTATTCAACTAACAGAGTTGAACCTTTCTTTTTACAGAGCAGCTTTGAAACACGCTTTTTGTGGAATCTGCAATTGGAAATTTCGATAGTTCTGAGGATTTCGTTGGAAACGGGATTACAAATAGAAAGTAGACAGCAAGCATTCTCAGAAACTTATTTGTGATGTGTGTCCTCAACTAACAGAGTTGAACCTTTCTTTTGACACAGCAGTTTGGAAACACTCTTTTTGTAGAATCTACAAGTGGATATTTTGAGAGCATTGAAAATTTCGTTGGAAACGGGAAAACCTTCATATAAAATCTAGACAGAAGCATTCTCAGAAACTTCTTTGTAATGTTTGCATTCAACTCATAGAGTTGAACATTCCCTTTCATACAGCAGGTTTGAAACACTCTTTTTGTAGTATGTGGAAGTGGACATTTGGAGCGCTTTGAGGCCTACGGTGAAAAAGGAAATATCTTCCCATAAAAACTAGACAGAAGCATTCTCAGAAACTTGTTTGTGACGTGTGTATTCAACTAACAGAGTTGAACCTTTCTTTTTACAGAGCAGCTTTGAAACCCTGTTTCTGTGGAATCTGCAATTGGAAATTTCGATAGTTCTGAGGATTTCGTTGGAAACGGGATTACAAATAGAAAGTAGACAGCAGCATTCTCAGAAACTGCTTTGTGATGTTTGCATTCAAGTCACATAGTTGAACATTCCCTTTCATAGAGCAGGTTTGAATCACTGTTTCTGTAGTATCTGGAAGTGGGTATTTCGAGCGCTTTCAGGCCTAAGGTGAGAAAGGAAATGTCTTCAAATAAGAACTAGACAGAAGCATTCTCAGAAACTTATTTGTGATGTGTGTCCTCAACTAACAGAGATGAACCTTTGTTTTGATACAGCAGTTTGGAAACACTCTTTTTGTAGAATCTACAAGAGGATATTTTGAGAGCATTGAAAATTTCGTTGGAAGCGGGAAAACCTTCATATAAAATCTAGACAGCAGCATTCTCAGAAACTTCTTTGTGATGTTTGCATTCAACTCATAGAGTTGAACATTCCCATTCATACAGCAGGTTTGAGACACTCTTTGTATAGCATGTGGAAATGGATATTTGGAGCGCTTTGAGGCCTATGGTGAAGAAGGAAATATCTTCCCAAAAAAACTAGACGAAAGCATTCTCGGAATCTTGTTTGCCATGTGTGTACTCAACTAACAGAGTTGAACCTATCTTTTGACAGAGCAGTTTTGAAACACTCTTTTTGTGGAATCTGCAAGTGGATATTTGGATAGCTTCGAGGATTTCTTTGGAAACGGGAATATCCTCATTTAAAATCTAGACGGAAGCATTCTCAGAACCTGCTTTGTGATGTTTGCATTCAACTCACAGAGCTGAACATTCCCGTTCATAGAGCAGGTTTGAAACACTCTTTCTGTACTATCTGGAAGTGGACATTTTGAGCGCTTTCAGGCCTATGGTGAAAAAGGAAACATCTTCAAATAAAAACTAGACAGAAGCATTCTCAGAAACTTATTTGTGATGTGTGTCCTCAACTCACAGAGTTCAACCTTTGTTTTGATACAGCAGTTTGGAAACACTCTTTTTGTAGAATCTACAAATGGATATTTGGAGACCTTTGAAAATTTCGTTGGACACGGGAATATCTTCATATAAAATCTAGACAAAAGCATTCTCAGAATCTTCTTTGTGATGTTTGCATTCAACTCATAGAGTTGAACATTCCCTTTCATACAGCACGTTTGAAACACACTTTGTGGAGTATGTGGAAATGGACATTTCGAGCACTCTTAGGCCTAAGGTGAAAAGGGAAATATCTTCAAATAAAAACTAGTCAGCAGCATTCTCAGAAACCTCTTTGTGATGTGTGTACTCAACTAACAGAGTTGAACCTTCCTTTTCACAGAGCAGTTTGGAAACACTCTTTTTGTGGCATTTGTAAGTGGATATTTGGATAGCTTTGAGGATTTCGTTGGAAACGGGAATATTTTCATATAAAATCTAGACAGAAGCATTCTCAGAATCTTCTTTGTGATGTATGCCCTCAATTCACAGAGTTGAACCTTTGTTTGGATACAGCATTTTGGAAACATTCCTTTTGTAGAATCTGCAAGTTGATATTTGGATAGCTTTGAGGATTTCGTTGGAAACGGGAATATCTACATATAAAATCTAGACAGAAGCATTCTCAGAAACCTCTTTGTAATGCTTGCATTCAACTCATAGGTTTCAACATTCCCTATCATAGAGCAGGTTTGAAACACTCTTTTTGTAGTATGTGGAAGTGGACATTTGGAGCGCTTTGAGGCCTACGGTGAAAAAGGAAATATCTTCCCATAAAAACTAGACAGAAGCATTCTCAGAAACTTGTTTGTGACGTGTGTATTCAACTAACAGAGTTGAACCTTTCTTTTTACAGAGCAGCTTTGAAACACGCTTTTTGTGGAATCTGCAATTGGAAATTTCGATAGTTCTGAGGATTTCGTTGGAAACGGGATTACAAATAGAAAGTAGACAGCAGCATTCTCAGAAACTGCTTTGTGATGTTTGCATTCAAGTCACCTAGTTGAACATTCCCTTTCATAGAGCAGGTTTGAATCACTGTTTCTGTCGTATCTGGAAGTGGATATTTCGAGCGTTTTCAGGCCTAAGGTGAGAAAGGAAATGTCTTCAAATAAGAACTAGACAGAAGCATTCTCAGAAACTTATTTGTGATGTGTGTCCTCAACTAACAGAGTTGAACCTTTCTTTTGACACAGCAGTTTGGAAACACTCTTTTTGTAGAATCTACAAGTGGATATTTTGAGAGCATTGAAAATTTCGTTGGAAACGGGAAAACCTTCATATAAAATCTAGACAGAAGCATTCTCAGAAACTTCTTTGTAATGTTTGCATTCAACTCATAGAGTTGAACATTCCCTTTCATACAGCAGGTTTGAAACACTCTTTTTGTAGTATGTGGAAGTGGACATTTGGAGCGCTTTGAGGCCTACGGTGAAAAAGGAAATATCTTCCCATAAAAACTAGACAGAAGCATTCTCAGAAACTTGTTTGTGACGTGTGTATTCAACTAACAGAGTTGAACCTTTCTTTTTACAGAGCAGCTTTGAAACCCTGTTTCTGTGGAATCTGCAATTGGAAATTTCGATAGTTCTGAGGATTTCGTTGGAAACGGGATTACAAATAGAAAGTAGACAGCAGCATTCTCAGAAACTGCTTTGTGATGTTTGCATTCAAGTCACCTAGTTGAACATTCCCTTTCATAGAGCAGGTTTGAATCACTGTTTCTGTAGTATCTGGAAGTGGGTATTTCGAGCGCTTTCAGGCCTAAGGTGAGAAAGGAAATGTCTTCAAATAAGAACTAGACAGAAGCATTCTCAGAAACTTATTTGTGATGTGTGTCCTCAACTAACAGAGATGAACCTTTGTTTTGATACAGCAGTTTGGAAACACTCTTTTTGTAGAATCTACAAGAGGATATTTTGAGAGCATTGAAAATTTCGTTGGAAGCGGGAAAACCTTCATATAAAATCTAGACAGCAGCATTCTCAGAAACTTCTTTGTGATGTTTGCATTCAACTCATAGAGTTGAACATTCCCATTCATACAGCAGGTTTGAGACACTCTTTGTATAGCATGTGGAAATGGATATTTGGAGCGCTTTGAGGCCTATGGTGAAGAAGGAAATATCTTCCCAAAAAAACTAGACGAAAGCATTCTCGGAATCTTGTTTGCCATGTGTGTACTCAACTAACAGAGTTGAACCTATCTTTTGACAGAGCAGTTTTGAAACACTCTTTTTGTGGAATCTGCAAGTGGATATTTGGATAGCTTCGAGGATTTCGTTGGAAACGGGAATATCCTCATTTAAAATCTAGACGAAAGCATTCTCAGAACCTGCTTTGTGATGTTTGCATTCAACTCACAGAGCTGAACATTCCCGTTCATAGAGCAGGTTTGAAACACTCTTTCTGTACTATCTGGAAGTGGACATTTCGAGCGCTTTCAGGCCTATGGTGAAAAAGGAAATATCTTCAAATAAAAACTAGACAGAAGCATTCTCAGAACCTTATTTGTGATGTGTGTCCTCAACTCACAGAGTTCAACCTTTGTTTTGATACAGCAGTTTGGAAACACTCTTTTTGTAGAAACTACAAATGGATATTTGGAGACCTTTGAAAATTTCGTTGGACACGGGAATATCTTCATATAAAATCTAGACAAAAGCATTCTCAGAATCTTCTTTGTGATGTTTGCATTCAACTCATAGAGTTGAACATTCCCTTTCATACAGCACGTTTGAAACACACTTTGTGGAGTATGTGGAAATGGACATTTCGAGCACTCTTAGGCCTAAGGTGAAAAGGGAAATATCTTCAAATAAAAACTAGTCAGCAGCATTCTCAGAAACCTCTTTGTGATGTGTGTACTCAACTAACAGAGTTGAACCTTCCTTTTCACAGAGCAGTTTGGAAACACTCTTTTTGTGGCATTTGCAAGTGGATATTTGGATAGCTTTGAGGATTTCGTTGGAAACGGGAATATTTTCATATAAAATCTAGACAGAAGCATTCTCAGAATCTTCTTTGTGATGTATGCCCTCAATTCACAGAGTTGAACCTTTGTTTGGATACAGCATTTTGGAAACATTCCTTTTGTAGAATCTGCAAGTTGATATTTGGATAGTTTGAGGATTTCGTTGGAAACGGGAATATCTACATATAAAATCTAGACAGAAGCATTCTCAGAAACCTCTTTGTAATGCTTGCATTCAACTCATAGGTTTCAACATTCCCTATCATAGAGCAGGTTTGAAACACTCTTTTTGTAGTATGTGGAAGTGGACATTTGGAGCGCTTTGAGGCCTACGGTGAAAAAGGAAATATCTTCCCATAAAAACTAGACAGAAGCATTCTCAGAAACTTGTTTGTGACGTGTGTATTCAACTAACAGAGTTGAATCTTTCTTTTTACAGAGCAGCTTTGAAACACGCTTTTTGTGGAATCTGCAATTGGAAATTTCGATAGTTCTGAGGATTTCGTTGGAAACGGGATTACAAATAGAAAGTAGACAGCAGCATTCTCAGAAACTTATTTGTGATGTGTGTCCTCAACTAACAGAGTTGAACCTTTCTTTTGACACAGCAGGTTGGAAACACTCTTTTTGTAGAATCTACAAGTGGATATTTTGAGAGCATTGAAAATTTCGTTGGAAACGGGAAAACCTTCATATAAAATCTAGACAGAAGCATTCTCAGAAACTTCTTTGTAATGTTTGCATTCAACTCATAGAGTTGAACATTCCCTTTCATACAGCAGGTTTGAAACACTCTTTTTGTAGTATGTGGAAGTGGACATTTGGAGCGCTTTGAGGCCTACGGTGAAAAAGGAAATATCTTCCCATAAAAACTAGACAGAAGCATTCTCAGAAACTTGTTTGTGACGTGTGTATTCAACTAACAGAGTTGAACCTTTCTTTTTACAGAGCAGCTTTGAAACCCTGTTTCTGTGGAATCTGCAATTGGAAATTTCGATAGTTCTGAGGATTTCGTTGGAAACGGGATTACAAATAGAAAGTAGACAGCAGCATTCTCAGAAACTGCTTTGTGATGTTTGCATTCAAGTCACCTAGTTGAACATTCCCTTTCATAGAGCAGGTTTGAATCACTGTTTCTGTAGTATCTGGAAGTGGGTATTTCGAGCGCTTTCAGGCCTAAGGTGAGAAAGGAAATGTCTTCAAATAAGAACTAGACAGAAGCATTCTCAGAAACTTATTTGTGATGTGTGTCCTCAACTAACAGAGATGAACCTTTGTTTTGATACAGCAGTTTGGAAACACTCTTTTTGTAGAATCTACAAGAGGATATTTTGAGAGCGTTGAAAATTTCGTTGGAAGCGGGAAAACCTTCATATAAAATCTAGACAGCAGCATTCTCAGAAACTTCTTTGTGATGTTTGCATTCAACTCATAGAGTTGAACATTCCCATTCATACAGCAGGTTTGAGACACTCTTTGTATAGCATGTGGAAATGGATATTTGGAGCGCTTTGAGGCCTATGGTGAAGAAGGAAATATCTTCCCAAAAAAACTAGACGAAAGCATTCTCGGAATCTTGTTTGCCATGTGTGTACTCAACTAACAGAGTTGAACCTATCTTTTGACAGAGCAGTTTTGAAACACTCTTTTTGTGGAATCTGCAAGTGGATATTTGGATAGCTTCGAGGATTTCGTTGGAAACGGGAATATCCTCATTTAAAATCTAGACGGAAGCATTCTCGGAACCTGCTTTGTGATGTTTGCATTCAACTCACAGAGCTGAACATTCCCGTTCATAGAGCAGGTTTGAAACACTCTTTCTGTACTATCTGGAAGGGGACATTTCGAGCGCTTTCAGGCCTATGGTGAAAAAGGAAACATCTTCAAATAAAAACTAGACAGAAGCATTCTCAGAAACTTATTTGTGATGTGTGTCCTCAACTCACAGAGTTCAACCTTTGTTTTGATACAGCAGTTTGGAAACACTCTTTTTGTAGAATCTACAAATGGATATTTGGAGACCTTTGAAAATTTCGTTGGACACGGGAATATCTTCATATAAAATCTAGACAAAAGCATTCTCAGAGTCTTCTTTGTGATGTTTGCATTCAACTCATAGAGTTGAACATTCCCTTTCATACAGCACGTTTGAAACACACTTTGTGGAGTATGTGGAAATGGACATTTCGAGCACTCTTAGGCCTAAGGTGAAAAGGGAAATATCTTCAAATAAAAACTAGTCAGCAGCATTCTCAGAAACCTCTTTGTGATGTGTGTACTCAACTAACAGAGTTGAACCTTCCTTTTCACAGAGCAGTTTGGAAACACTCTTTTTGTGGCATTTGCAAGTGGATATTTGGATAGCTTTGAGGATTTCGTTGGAAACGGGAATATTTTCATATAAAATCTAGACAGAAGCATTCTCAGAATCTTCTTTGTGATGTATGCCCTCAATTCACAGAGTTGAACCTTTGTTTGGATACAGCATTTTGGAAACATTCCTTTTGTAGAATCTGCAAGTTGATATTTGGATAGCTTTGAGGATTTCGTTGGAAACGGGAATATCTACATATAAAATCTAGACAGAAGCATTCTCAGAAACCTCTTTGTAATGCTTGCATTCAACTCATAGGTTTCAACATTCCCTATCATAGAGCAGGTTTGAAACACTCTTTTTGTAGTATGTGGAAGTGGACATTTGGAGCGCTTTGAGGCCTACGGTGAAAAAGGAAATATCTTCCCATAAAAACTAGACAGAAGCATTCTCAGAAACTTGTTTGTGACGTGTGTATTCAACTAACAGAGTTGAACCTTTCTTTTTACAGAGCAGCTTTGAAACACGCTTTTTGTGGAATCTGCAATTGGAAATTTCGATAGTTCTGAGGATTTCGTTGGAAACGGGATTACAAATAGAAAGTAGACAGCAGCATTCTCAGAAACTGCTTTGTGATGTTTGCATTCAAGTCACCTAGTTGAACATTCCCTTTCATAGAGCAGGTTTGAATCACTGTTTCTGTCGTATCTGGAAGTGGATATTTCGAGCGTTTTCAGGCCTAAGGTGAGAAAGGAAATGTCTTCAAATAAGAACTAGGCAGAAGCATTCTCAGAAACTTATTTGTGATGTGTGTCCTCAACTAACAGAGTTGAACCTTTCTTTTGACACAGCAGTTTGGAAACACTCTTTTTGTAGAATCTACAAGTGGATATTTTGAGAGCATTGAAAATTTCGTTGGAAACGGGAAAACCTTCATATAAAATCTAGACAGAAGCATTCTCAGAAACTTCTTTGTAATGTTTGCATTCAACTCATAGAGTTGAACATTCCCTTTCATACAGCAGGTTTGAAACACTCTTTTTGTAGTATGTGGAAGTGGACATTTGGAGCGCTTTGAGGCCTATGGTGAAAAAGGAAATATCTTCCCATAAAAACTAGACAGAAGCATTCTCAGAAACTTGTTTGTGACGTGTGTATTCAACTAACAGAGTTGAACCTTTCTTTTTACAGAGCAGCTTTGAAACCCTGTTTCTGTGGAATCTGCAATTGGAAATTTCGATAGTTCTGAGGATTTCGTTGGAAACGGGATTACAAATAGAAAGTAGACAGCAGCATTCTCAGAAACTGCTTTGTGATGTTTGCATTCAAGTCACATAGTTGAACATTCCCTTTCATAGAGCAGGTTTGAATCACTGTTTCTGTAGTATCTGGAAGTGGGTATTTCGAGCGCTTTCAGGCCTAAGGTGAGAAAGGAAATGTCTTCAAATAAGAACTAGACAGAAGCATTCTCAGAAACTTATTTGTGATGTGTGTCCTCAACTAACAGAGATGAACCTTTGTTTTGATACAGCAGTTTGGAAACACTCTTTTTGTAGAATCTACAAGAGGACATTTTGAGAGCATTCAAAATTTCGTTGGAAGCGGGAAAACCTTCATATAAAATCTAGACAGCAGCATTCTCAGAAACTTCTTTGTGATGTTTGCATTCAACTCATAGAGTTGAACATTCCCATTCATACAGCAGGTTTGAGTCACTCTTTGTATAGCATGTGGAAATGGATATTTGGAGCGCTTTGAGGCCTATGGTGAAGAAGGAAATATCTTCCCAAAAAAACTAGACGAAAGCATTCTCGGAATCTTGTTTGCCATGTGTGTACTCAACTAACAGAGTTGAACCTATCTTTTGAGAGAGCAGTTTTGAAACACTCTTTCTGTGGAATCTGCAAGTGGATATTTGGATAGCTTCGAGGATTTCGTTGGAAACGGGAATATCCTCATTTAAAATCTAGACGGAAGCATTCTCAGAACCTGCTTTGTGATGTTTGCATTCAACTCACGGAGCTGAACATTCCCGTTCATAGAGCAGGTTTGAAACACTCTTTCTGTACTATCTGGAAGTGGACATTTCGAGCGCTTTCAGGCCTATGGTGAAAAAGGAAACATCTTCAAATAAAAACTAGACAGAAGCATTCTCAGAAACTTATTTGTGATGTGTGTCCTCAACTCACAGAGTTCAACCTTTGTTTTGATACAGCAGTTTGGAAACACTCTTTTTGTAGAATCTACAAATGGATATTTAGAGACCTTTGAAAATTTCGTTGGACACGGGAATATCTTCATATAAAAATCTAGACAAAAAGCATTCTCAGGAATCTTCTTTGTGATGTTTGCATTCAACTCATAGAGTTGAACACTCCCTTTCATACAGCACGTTTGAAACACACTTTGTGGAGTATGTGGAAATGGACATTTCGAGCACTCTTAGGCCTAAGGTGAAAAGGGAAATATCTTCAAATAAAAACTAGTCAGCAGCATTCTCAGAAACCTCTTTGTGATGTGTGTACTCAACTAACAGAGTTGAACCTTCCTTTTCACAGAGCAGTTTGGAAACACTCTTTTTGTGGCATTTGCAAGTGGATATTTGGATAGCTTTGAGGATTTCGTTGGAAACGGGAATATTTTCATATAAAATCTAGACAGAAGCATTCTCAGAATCTTCTTTGTGATGTATGCCCTCAATTCACAGAGTTGAACCTTTGTTTGGATACAGCATTTTGGAAACATTCCTTTTGTAGAATCTGCAAGTTGATATTTGGATAGCTTTGAGGATTTCGTTGGAAACGGGAATATCTACATATAAAATCTAGACAGAAGCATTCTCAGAAACCTCTTTGTAATGCTTGCATTCAACTCATAGGTTTCAACATTCCCTATCATAGAGCAGGTTTGAAACACTCTTTTTGTAGTATGTGGAAGTGGACATTTGGAGCGCTTTGAGGCCTACCGTGAAAAAGGAAATATCTTCCCATAAAAACTAGACAGAAGCATTCTCAGAAACTTGTTTGTGACGTGTGTATTCAACTAACAGAGTTGAACCTTTCTTTTTACAGAGCAGCTTTGAAACCCTGTTTCTGTGGAATCTGCAATTGGAAATTTCGATGGTTCTGAGGATTTCGTTGGAAACGGGATTACAAATAGAAAGTAGACAGCAGCATTCTCAGAAACTGCTTTGTGATGTTTGCATTCAAGTCACCTAGTTGAACATTCCCTTTCATAGAGCAGGTTTGAATCACTGTTTCTGTCGTATCTGGAAGTGGATATTTCGAGCGTTTTCAGGCCTAAGGTGAGAAAGGAAATGTCTTCAAATAAGAACTAGACAGAAGCATTCTCAGAAACTTATTTGTGATGTGTGTCCTCAACTAACAGAGATGAACCTTTGTTTTGATACAGCAGTTTGGAAACACTCTTTTTGTAGAATCTACAAGAGGATATTTTGAGAGCATTGAAAATTTCGTTGGAAGCGGGAAAACCTTCATATAAAATCTAGACAGCAGCATTCTCAGAAACTTCTTTGTGATGTTTGCATTCAACTCATAGAGTTGAACATTCCCATTCATACAGCAGGTTTGAGACACTCTTTGTATAGCATGTGGAAATGGATATTTGGAGCACTTTGAGGCCTATGGTGAAGAAGGAAATATCTTCCCAAAAAAACTAGACGAAAGCATTCTCGCAATCTTGTTTGCCATGTGTGTACTCAACTAACAGAGTTGAACCTATCTTTTGACAGAGCAGTTTTGAAACACTCTTTTTGTGGAATCTGCAAGTGGATATTTGGATAGCTTCGAGGATTTCGTTGGAAACGGGAATATCCTCATTTAAAATCTAGACGGAAGCATTCTCAGAACCTGCTTTGTGATGTTTGCATTCAACTCACAGAGCTGAACATTCCCGTTCATAGAGCAGGTTTGAAACACTCTTTCTGTACTATCTGGAAGTGGACATTTCGAGCGCTTTCAGGCCTATGGTGAAAAAGGAAACATCTTCAAATAAAAACTAGACAGAAGCATTCTCAGAAACTTATTTGTGATGTGTGTCCTCAACTCACAGAGTTCAACCTTTGTTTTGATACAGCAGTTTGGAAACACTCTTTTTGTAGAATCTACAAATGGATATTTGGAGACCTTTGAAAATTTCGTTGGACACGGGAATATCTTCATATAAAATCTAGACAAAAGCATTCTCAGAATCTTCTTTGTGATGTTTGCATTCAACTCATAGAGTTGAACATTCCCTTTCATACAGCACGTTTGAAACACACTTTGTGGAGTATGTGGAAATGGACATTTCGAGCACTCTTAGGCCTAAGGTGAAAAGGGAAATATCTTCAAATAAAAACTAGTCAGCAGCATTCTCAGAAACCTCTTTGTGATGTGTGTACTCAACTAACAGAGTTGAACCTTCCTTTTCACAGAGCAGTTTGGAAACACTCTTTTTGTGGCATTTGCAAGTGGATATTTGGATAGCTTTGAGGATTTCGTTGGAAACGGGAATATTTTCATATAAAATCTAGACAGAAGCATTCTCAGAATCTTCTTTGTGATGTATGCCCTCAATTCACAGAGTTGAACCTTTGTTTGGATACAGCATTTTGGAAACATTCCTTTTGTAGAATCTGCAAGTTGATATTTGGATAGCTTTGAGGATTTCGTTGGAAACGGAAATATCTACATATAAAATCTAGACAGAAGCATTCTCAGAAACCTCTTTGTAATGCTTGCATTCAACTCATAGGTTTCAACATTCCCTATCATAGAGCAGGTTTGAAACACTCTTTTTGTAGTATGTGGAAGTGGACATTTGGAGCGCTTTGAGGCCTACGGTGAAAAAGGAAATATCTTCCCATAAAAACTAGACAGAAGCATTCTCAGAAACTTGTTTGTGACGTGTGTATTCAACTAACAGAGTTGAACCTTTCTTTTTACAGAGCAGCTTTGAAACACGCTTTTTGTGGAATCTGCAATTGGAAATTTCGATAGTTCTGAGGATTTCGTTGGAAACGGGATTACAAATAGAAAGTAGACAGCAACATTCTCAGAAACTGCTTTGTGATGTTTGCATTCAAGTCACCTAGTTGAACATTCCCTTTCATAGAGCAGGTTTGAATCACTGTTTCTGTCGTATCTGGAAGTGGATATTTCGAGCGTTTTCAGGCCTAAGGTGAGAAAGGAAATGTCTTCAAATAAGAACTAGACAGAAGCATTCTCAGAAACTTATTTGTGATGTGTGTCCTCAACTAACAGAGTTGAACCTTTCTTTTGACACAGCAGTTTGGAAACACTCTTTTTGTAGAATCTACAAGTGGATATTTTGAGAGCATTGAAAATTTCCTTGGAAACGGGAAAACCTTCATATAAAATCTAGACAGAAGCATTCTCAGAAACTTCTTTGTGATGTTTGCATTCAACCCATAGAGTTGAACATTCCCATTCATACAGCAGGTTTGAGACACTCTTTGTATAGCATGTGGAAATGGATATTTGGAGCGCTTTGAGGCCTATGGTGAAGAAGGAAATATCTTCCCAAAAAAACTAGACGAAAGCATTCTCGGAATCTTGTTTGCCATGTGTGTACTCAACTAACAGAGTTGAACCTATCTTTTGACAGAGCAGTTTTGAAACACTCTTTTTGTGGAATCTGCAAGTGGATATTTGGATAGCTTCGAGGATTTCGTTGGAAACGGGAATATCCTCATTTAAAATCTAGACGGAAGCATTCTCAGAACCTGCTTTGTGATGTTTGCATTCAACTCACAGAGCTGAACATTCCCGTTCATAGAGCAGGTTTGAAACACTCTTTCTGTACTATCTGGAAGTGGACATTTCGAGCGCTTTCAGGCCTATGGTGAAAAAGGAAATATCTTCAAATAAAAACTAGACAGAAGCATTCTCAGAAACTTATTTGTGATGTGTGTCCTCAACTCACAGAGTTCAACCTTTGTTTTGATACAGCAGTTTGGAAACACTCTTTTTGTAGAATCTACAAATGGATATTTGGAGACCTTTGAAAATTTCGTTGGACACGGGAATATCTTCATATAAAATCTAGACAAAAGCATTCTCAGAATCTTCTTTGTGATGTTTGCATTCAACTCATAGAGTTGAACATTCCCTTTCATACAGCACGTTTGAAACACACTTTGTGGAGTATGTGGAAATGGACATTTCGAGCACTCTTAGGCCTAAGGTGAAAAGGGAAATATCTTCAAATAAAAACTAGTCAGCAGCATTCTCAGAAACCTCTTTGTGATGTGTGTACTCAACTAACAGAGTTGAACCTTCCTTTTCACAGAGCAGTTTGGAAACACTCTTTTTGTGGCATTTGCAAGTGGATATTTGGATAGCTTTGAGGATTTCGTTGGAAACGGGAATATTTTCATATAAAATCTAGACAGAAGCATTCTCAGAATCTTCTTTGTGATGTATGCCCTCAATTCACAGAGTTGAACCTTTGTTTGGATACAGCATTTTGGAAACATTCCTTTTGTAGAATCTGCAAGTTGATATTTGGATAGCTTTGAGGATTTCGTTGGAAACGGGAATATCTACATATAAAATCTAGACAGAAGCATTCTCAGAAACCTCTTTGTAATGCTTGCATTCAACTCATAGGTTTCAACATTCCCTATCATAGAGCAGGTTTGAAACACTCTTTTTGTAGTATGTGGAAGTGGACATTTGGAGCGCTTTGAGGCCTACGGTGAAAAAGGAAATATCTTCCCATAAAAACTAGACAGAAGCATTCTCAGAAACTTGTTTGTGACGTGTGTATTCAACTAACAGAGTTGAACCTTTCTTTTTACAGAGCAGCTTTGAAACACGCTTTTTGTGGAATCTGCAATTGGAAATTTCGATAGTTCTGAGGATTTCGTTGGAAACGGGATTACAAATAGAAAGTAGACAGCAGCATTCTCAGAAACTGCTTTGTGATGTTTGCATTCAAGTCACCTAGTTGAACATTCCCTTTCATAGAGCAGGTTTGAATCACTGTTTCTGTCGTATCTGGAAGTGGATATTTCGAGCGTTTTCAGGCCTAAGGTGAGAAAGGAAATGTCTTCAAATAAGAACTAGACAGAAGCATTCTCAGAAACTTATTTGTGATGTGTGTCCTCAACTAACAGAGTTGAACCTTTCTTTTGACACAGCAGTTTGGAAACACTCTTTTTGTAGAATCTACAAGTGGATATTTTGAGAGCATTGAAAATTTCGTTGGAAACGGGAAAACCTTCATATAAAATCTAGACAGAAGCATTCTCAGAAACTTCTTTGTAATGTTTGCATTCAACTCATAGAGTTGAACATTCCCTTTCATACAGCAGGTTTGAAACACTCTTTTTGTAGTATGTGGAAGTGGACATTTGGAGCGCTTTGAGGCCTACGGTGAAAAAGGAAATATCTTCCCATAAAAACTAGACAGAAGCATTCTCAGAAACTTGTTTGTGACGTGTGTATTCAACTAACAGAGTTGAACCTTTCTTTTTACAGAGCAGCTTTGAAAACCTGTTTCTGTGGAATCTGCAATTGGAAATTTCGATAGTTCTGAGGATTTCGTTGGAAACGGGATTACAAATAGAAAGTAGACAGCAGCATTCTCAGAAACTGCTTTGTGATGTTTGCATTCAAGTCACCTAGTTGAACATTCCCTTTCATAGAGCAGGTTTGAATCACTGTTTCTGTAGTATCTGGAAGTGGGTATTTCGAGCGCTTTCAGGCCTAAGGTGAGAAAGGAAATGTCTTCAAATAAGAACTAGACAGAAGCATTCTCAGAAACTTATTTGTGATGTGTGTCCTCAACTAACAGAGATGAACCTTTGTTTTGATACAGCAGTTTGGAAACACTCTTTTTGTAGAATCTACAAGAGGATATTTTGAGAGCATTGAAAATTTCGTTGGAAGCGGGAAAACCTTCATATAAAATCTAGACAGCAGCATTCTCAGAAACTTCTTTGTGATGTTTGCATTCAACTCATAGAGTTGAACATTCCCATTCATACAGCAGGTTTGAGACACTCTTTGTATAGCATGTGGAAATGGATATTTGGAGCGCTTTGAGGCCTATGGTGAAGAAGGAAATATCTTCCCAAAAAAACTAGACGAAAGCATTCTCGGAATCTTGTTTGCCATGTGTGTACTCAACTAACAGAGTTGAACCTATCTTTTGACAGAGCAGTTTTGAAACACTCTTTTTGTGGAATCTGCAAGTGGATATTTGGATAGCTTCGAGGATTTCGTTGGAAACGGGAATATCCTCATTTAAAATCTAGACGGAAGCATTCTCAGAACCTGCTTTGTGATGTTTGCATTCAACTCACAGAGCTGAACATTCCCGTTCATAGAGCAGGTTTGAAACACTCTTTCTGTACTATCTGGAAGTGGACATTTCGAGCGCTTTCAGGCCTATGGTGAAAAAGGAAACATCTTCAAATAAAAACTAGACAGAAGCATTCTCAGAAACTTATTTGTGATGTGTGTCCTCAACTCACAGAGTTCAACCTTTGTTTTGATACAGCAGTTTGGAAACACTCTTTTTGTAGAATCTACAAATGGATATTTGGAGACCTTTGAAAATTTCGTTGGACACGGGAATATCTTCATATAAAATCTAGACAAAAGCATTCTCAGAATCTTCTTTGTGATGTTTGCATTCAACTCATAGAGTTGAACATTCCCTTTCATACAGCACGTTTGAAACACACTTTGTGGAGTATGTGGAAATGGACATTTCGAGCACTCTTAGGCCTAAGGTGAAAAGGGAAATATCTTCAAATAAAAACTAGTCAGCAGCATTCTCAGAAACCTCTTTGTGATGTGTGTACTCAACTAACAGAGTTGAACCTTCCTTTTCACAGAGCAGTTTGGAAACACTCTTTTTGTGGCATTTGCAAGTGGATATTTGGATAGCTTTGAGGATTTCGTTGGAAACGGGAATATTTTCATATAAAATCTAGACAGAAGCATTCTCAGAATCTTCTTTGTGATGTATGCCCTCAATTCACAGAGTTGAACCTTTGTTTGGATACAGCATTTTGGAAACATTCCTTTTGTAGAATCTGCAAGTTGATATTTGGATAGCTTTGAGGATTTCGTTGGAAACGGGAATATCTACATATAAAATCTAGACAGAAGCATTCTCAGAAACCTCTTTGTAATGCTTGCATTCAACTCATAGGTTTCAACATTCCCTATCATAGAGCAGGTTTGAAACACTCTTTTTGTAGTATGTGGAAGTGGACATTTGGAGCGCTTTGAGGCCTACGGTGAAAAAGGAAATATCTTCCCATAAAAACTAGACAGAAGCATTCTCAGAAACTTGTTTGTGACGTGTGTATTCAACTAACAGAGTTGAACCTTTCTTTTTACAGAGCAGCTTTGAAACACGCTTTTTGTGGAATCTGCAATTGGAAATTTCGATAGTTCTGAGGATTTCGTTGGAAACGGGATTACAAATAGAAAGTAGACAGCAGCATTCTCAGAAACTGCTTTGTGATGTTTGCATTCAAGTCACCTAGTTGAACATTCCCTTTCATAGAGCAGGTTTGAATCACTGTTTCTGTCGTATCTGGAAGTGGATATTTCGAGCGTTTTCAGGCCTAAGGTGAGAAAGGAAATGTCTTCAAATAAGAACTAGACAGAAGCATTCTCAGAAACTTATTTGTGATGTGTGTCCTCAACTAACAGAGTTGAACCTTTCTTTTGACACAGCAGTTTGGAAACACTCTTTTTGTAGAATCTACAAGTGGATATTTTGAGAGCATTGAAAATTTCGTTGGAAACGGGAAAACCTTCATATAAAATCTAGACAGAAGCATTCTCAGAAACTTCTTTGTAATGTTTGCATTCAACTCATAGAGTTGAACATTCCCTTTCATACAGCAGGTTTGAAACACTCTTTTTGTAGTATGTGGAAGTGGACATTTGGAGCGCTTTGAGGCCTACGGTGAAAAAGGAAATATCTTCCCATAAAAACTAGACAGAAGCAATCTCAGAAACTTGTTTGTGACGTGTGTATTCAACTAACAGAGTTGAACCTTTCTTTTTACAGAGCAGCTTTGAAACCCTGTTTCTGTGGAATCTGCAATTGGAAATTTCGATAGTTCTGAGGATTTCGTTGGAAACGGGATTACAAATACAAAGTAGACAGCAGCATTCTCAGAAACTGCTTTGTGATGTTTGCATTCAAGTCACCTAGTTGAACATTCCCTTTCATAGAGCAGGTTTGAATCACAGTTTCTGTCGTATCTCGAAGTGGATATTTCGAGCGTTTTCAGGCCTAAGGTGAGAAAGGAAATGTCTTCAAATAAGAACTAGACAGAAGCATTCTCAGAAACTTATTTGTGATGTGTGTCCTCAACTAACAGAGATGAACCTTTGTTTTGATACAGCAGTTTGGAAACACTCTTTTTGTAGAATCTACAAGAGGATATTTTGAGAGCATTGAAAATTTCGTTGGAAGCGGGAAAACCTTCATATAAAATCTAGACAGCAGCATTCTCAGAAACTTCTTTGTGATGTTTGCATTCAACTCATAGAGTTGAACATTCCCATTCATACAGCAGGTTTGAGACACTCTTTGTATAGCATGTGGAAATGGATATTTGGAGCGCTTTGAGGCCTATGGTGAAGAAGGAAATATCTTCCCAAAAAAACTAGACGAAAGCATTCTCGCAATCTTCTTTGCCATGTGTGTACTCAACTAACAGAGTTGAACCTATCTTTTGACAGAGCAGTTTTGAAACACTCTTTTTGTGGAATCTGCAAGTGGATATTTGGATAGCTTCGAGGATTTCGTTGGAAACGGGAATATCCTCATTTAAAATCTAGACGGAAGCATTCTCAGAACCTGCTTTGTGATGTTTGCATTCAACTCACAGAGCTGAACATTCCCGTTCATAGAGCAGGTTTGAAACACTCTTTCTGTACTATCTGGAAGTGGACATTTCGAGCACTTTCAGGCCTATGGTGAAAAAGGAAACATCTTCAAATAAAAACTAGACAGAAGCATTCTCAGAAACTTATTTGTGATGTGTGTCCTCAACTCACAGAGTTCAACCTTTGTTTTGATACAGCAGTTTGGAAACACTCTTTTTGTAGAATCTACAAATGGATATTTGGAGACCTTTGAAAATTTCGTTGGACACGGGAATATCTTCATATAAAATCTAGACAAAAGCATTCTCAGAATCTTCTTTGTGATGTTTGCATTCAACTCATAGAGTTGAACATTCCCTTTCATACAGCACGTTTGAAACACACTTTGTGGAGTATGTGGAAATGGACATTTCGAGCACTCTTAGGCCTAAGGTGAAAAGGGAAATATCTTCAAATAAAAACTAGTCAGCAGCATTCTCAGAAACCTCTTTGTGATGTGTGTACTCAACTAACAGAGTTGAACCTTCCTTTTCACAGAGCAGTTTGGAAACACTCTTTTTGTGGCATTTGCAAGTGGATATTTGGATAGCTTTGAGGATTTCGTTGGAAACGGGAATATTTTCATATAAAATCTAGACAGAAGCATTCTCAGAATCTTCTTTGTGATGTATGCCCTCAATTCACAGAGTTGAACCTTTGTTTGGATACAGCATTTTGGAAACATTCCTTTTGTAGAATCTGCAAGTTGATATTTGGATAGCTTTGAGGATTTCGTTGGAAACGGGAATATCTACATATAAAATCTAGACAGAAGCATTCTCAGAAACCTCTTTGTAATGCTTGCATTCAACTCATAGGTTTCAACATTCCCTATCATAGAGCAGGTTTGAAACACTCTTTTTGTAGTATGTGGAAGTGGACATTTGGAGCGCTTTGAGGCCTACGGTGAAAAAGGAAATATCTTCCCATAAAAACTAGACAGAAGCATTCTCAGAAACTTGTTTGTGACGTGTGTATTCAACTAACAGAGTTGAACCTTTCTTTTTACAGAGCAGCTTTGAAACACGCTTTTTGTGGAATCTGCAATTGGAAATTTCGATAGTTCTGAGGATTTCGTTGGAAACGGGATTGCAAATAGAAAGTAGACAGCAGCATTCTCAGAAACTGCTTTGTGATGTTTGCATTCAAGTCACCTAGTTGAACATTCCCTTTCATAGAGCAGGTTTGAATCACTGTTTCTGTCGTATCTGGAAGTGGATATTTCGAGCGTTTTCAGGCCTAAGGTGAGAAAGGAAATGTCTTCAAATAAGAACTAGACAGAAGCATTCTCAGAAACTTATTTGTGATGTGTGTCCTCAACTAACAGAGTTGAACCTTTCTTTTGACACAGCAGTTTGGAAACACTCTTTTTGTAGAATCTACAAGTGGATATTTTGAGAGCATTGAAAATTTCGTTGGAAACGGGAAAACCTTCATATAAAATCTAGACAGAAGCATTCTCAGAAACTTCTTTGTAATGTTTGCATTCAACTCATAGAGTTGAACATTCCCTTTCATACAGCAGGTTTGAAACACTCTTTTTGTAGTATGTGGAAGTGGACATTTGGAGCGCTTTGAGGCCTACGGTGAAAAAGGAAATATCTTCCTATAAAAACTAGACAGAAGCATTCTCAGAAACTTGTTTGTGACGTGTGTATTCAACTAACAGAGTTGAACCTTTCTTTTTACAGAGCAGCTTTGAAACACGCTTTTTGTGGAATCTGCAATTGGAAATTTCGATAGTTCTGAGGATTTCGTTGGAAACGGGATTACAAATAGAAAGTAGACAGCAGCATTCTCAGAAACTGCTTTGTGATGTTTGCATTCAAGTCACCTAGTTGAACATTCCCTTTCATAGAGCAGGTTTGAATCACTGTTTCTGTCGTATCTGGAAGTGGATATTTCGAGCGTTTTCAGGCCTAAGGTGAGAAAGGAAATGTCTTCAAATCAGAACTAGACAGAAGCATTCTCAGAAACTTATTTGTGATGTGTGTCCTCAACTAACAGAGATGAACCTTTGTTTTGATACAGCAGTTTGGAAACACTCTTTTTGTAGAATCTACAAGAGGATATTTTGAGAGCATTGAAAATTTCGTTGGAAGCGGGAAAACCTTCATATAAAATCTAGACAGCAGCATTCTCAGAAACTTCTTTGTGATGTTTGCATTCAACTCATAGAGTTGAACATTCCCATTCATACAGCAGGTTTGAGACACTCTTTGTATAGCATGTGGAAATGGATATTTGGAGCGCTTTGAGGCCTATGGTGAAGAAGGAAATATCTTCCCAAAAAAACTAGACGAAAGCATTCTCGCAATCTTGTTTGCCATGTGTGTACTCAACTAACAGAGTTGAACCTATCTATCTTTTGACAGAGCAGTTTTGAAACACTCTTTTTGTGGAATCTGCAAGTGGATATTTGGATAGCTTCGAGGATTTCGTTGGAAACGGGAATATCCTCATTTAAAATCTAGACGGAAGCATTCTCAGAACCTGCTTTGTGATGTTTGCATTCAACTCACAGAGCTGAACATTCCCGTTCATAGAGCAGGTTTGAAACACTCTTTCTGTACTATGTGGAAGTGGACATTTCGAGCGCTTTCAGGCCTATGGTGAAAAAGGAAACATCTTCAAATAAAAACTAGACAGAAGCATTCTCAGAAACTTATTTGTGATGTGTGTCCTCAACTCACAGAGTTCAACCTTTGTTTTGATACAGCAGTTTGGAAACACTCTTTTTGTAGAATCTACAAATGGATATTTGGAGACCTTTGAAAATTTCGTTGGACACGGGAATATCTTCATATAAAATCTAGACAAAAGCATTCTCAGAATCTTCTTTGTGATGTTTGCATTCAACTCATAGAGTTGAACATTCCCTTTCATACAGCACGTTTGAAACACACTTTGTGGAGTATGTGGAAATGGACATTTCGAGCACTCTTAGGCCTAAGGTGAAAAGGGAAATATCTTCAAATAAAAACTAGTCAGCAGCATTCTCAGAAACCTCTTTGTGATGTGTGTACTCAACTAACAGAGTTGAACCTTCCTTTTCACAGAGCAGTTTGGAAACACTCTTTTTGTGGCATTTGCAAGTGGATATTTGGATAGCTTTGAGGATTTCGTTGGAAACGGGAATATTTTCATATAAAATCTAGACAGAAGCATTCTCAGAATCTTCTTTGTGATGTATGCCCTCAATTCACAGAGTTGAACCTTTGTTTGGATACAGCATTTTGGAAACATTCCTTTTGTAGAATCTGCAAGTTGATATTTGGATAGCTTTGAGGATTTCGTTGGAAACGGGAATATCTACATATAAAATCTAGACAGAAGCATTCTCAGAAACCTCTTTGTAATGCTTGCATTCAACTCATAGGTTTCAACATTCCCTATCATAGAGCAGGTTTGAAACACTCTTTTTGTAGTATGTGGAAGTGGACATTTGGAGCGCTTTGAGGCCTACGGTGAAAAAGGAAATATCTTCCCATAAAAACTAGACAGAAGCATTCTCAGAAACTTGTTTGTGACGTGTGTATTCAACTAACAGAGTTGAACCTTTCTTTTTACAGAGCAGCTTTGAAACACGCTTTTTGTGGAATCTGCAATTGGAAATTTCGATAGTTCTGAGGATTTCGTTGGAAACGGGATTACAAATAGAAAGTAGACAGCAGCATTCTCAGAAACTGCTTTGTGATGTTTGCATTCAAGTCACCTAGTTGAACATTCCCTTTCATAGAGCAGGTTTGAATCACTGTTTCTGTCGTATCTGGAAGTGGATATTTCGAGCGTTTTCAGGCCTAAGGTGAGAAAGGAAATGTCTTCAAATAAGAACTAGACAGAAACATTCTCAGAAACTTATTTGTGATGTGTGTCCTGAACTAACAGAGATGAACCTTTGTTTTGATACAGCAGTTTGGAAACACTCTTTTTGTAAAATCTACAAGAGGATATTTTGAGAGCATTGAAAATTTCGTTGGAAGCGGGAAAACCTTCATATAAAATCTAGACAGCAGCATTCTCAGAAACTTCTTTGTGATGTTTGCATTCAACTCATAGAGTTGAACATTCCCATTCATACAGCAGGTTTGAGACACTCTTTGTATAGCATGTGGAAATGGATATTTGGAGCGCTTTGAGGCCTATGGTGAAGAAGGAAATATCTTCCCAAAAAAACTAGACGAAAGCATTCTCGGAATCTTGTTTGCCATGTGTGTACTCAACTAACAGAGTTGAACCTATCTTTTGACAGAGCAGTTTTGAAACACTCTTTTTGTGGAATCTGCAAGTGGATATTTGGATAGCTTCGAGGATTTCGTTGGAAACGGGAATATCCTCATTTAAAATCTAGACGGAAGCATTCTCGGAACCTGCTTTGTGATGTTTGCATTCAACTCACAGAGCTGAACATTCCCGTTCATAGAGCAGGTTTGAAACACTCTTTCTGTACTATCTGGAAGTGGACATTTCGAGCGCTTTCAGGCCTATGGTGAAAAAGGAAACATCTTCAAATAAAAACTAGACAGAAGCATTCTCAGAAACTTATTTGTGATGTGTGTCCTCAACTCACAGAGTTCAACCTTTGTTTTGATACAGCAGTTTGGAAACACTCTTTTTGTAGAATCTACAAATGGATATTTGGAGACCTTTGAAAATTTCGTTGGACACGGGAATATCTTCATATAAAATCTAGACAAAAGCATTCTCAGAATCTTCTTTGTGATGTTTGCATTCAACTCATAGAGTTGAACATTCCCTTTCATACAGCACGTTTGAAACACACTTTGTGGAGTATGTGGAAATGGACATTTCGAGCACTCTTAGGCCTAAGGTGAAAAGGGAAATATCTTCAAATAAAAACTAGTCAGCAGCATTCTCAGAAACCTCTTTGTGATGTGTGTACTCAACTAACAGAGTTGAACCTTCCTTTTCACAGAGCAGTTTGGAAACACTCTTTTTGTGGCA
The DNA here is from genome assembly GCF_000001405.40 of Homo sapiens. Classification (NCBI taxonomy): domain Eukaryota; kingdom Metazoa; phylum Chordata; class Mammalia; order Primates; family Hominidae; genus Homo; species Homo sapiens. Next base: position 18,478,983 of record NC_000015.10, read on the forward strand.
TTTGCAAGTGGATATTTGGATAGCTTTGAGGATTTCGTTGGAAACGGGAATATTTTCATATAAAATCTAGACAGAAGCATTCTCAGAATCTTCTTTGTGATGTATGCCCTCAATTCACAGAGTTGAACCTTTGTTTGGATACAGCATTTTGGAAACATTCCTTTTGTAGAATCTGCAAGTTGATATTTGGATAGCTTTGAGGATTTCGTTGGAAACGGGAATATCTACATATAAAATCTAGACAGAAGCATTCTCAGAAACCTCTTTGTAATGCTTGCATTCAACTCATAGGTTTCAACATTCCCTATCATAGAGCAGGTTTGAAACACTCTTTTTGTAGTATGTGGAAGTGGACATTTGGAGCGCTTTGAGGCCTACCGTGAAAAAGGAAATATCTTCCCATAAAAACTAGACAGAAGCATTCTCAGAAACTTGTTTGTGACGTGTGTATTCAACTAACAGAGTTGAACCTTTCTTTTTACAGAGCAGCTTTGAAACCCTGTTTCTGTGGAATCTGCAATTGGAAATTTCGATGGTTCTGAGGATTTCGTTGGAAACGGGATTACAAATAGAAAGTAGACAGCAGCATTCTCAGAAACTGCTTTGTGATGTTTGCATTCAAGTCACCTAGTTGAACATTCCCTTTCATAGAGCAGGTTTGAATCACTGTTTCTGTCGTATCTGGAAGTGGATATTTCGAGCGTTTTCAGGCCTAAGGTGAGAAAGGAAATGTCTTCAAATAAGAACTAGACAGAAGCATTCTCAGAAACTTATTTGTGATGTGTGTCTTCAACTAACAGAGTTGAACCTTTCTTTTGACACAGCAGTTTGGAAACACTCTTTTTGTAGAATCTACAAGTGGATATTTTGAGAGCATTGAAAATTTCGTTGGAAACGGGAAAACCTTCATATAAAATCTAGACAGAAGCATTCTCAGAAACTTCTTTGTAATGTTTGCATTCAACTCATAGAGTTGAACATTCCCTTTCATACAGCAGGTTTGAAACACTCTTTTTGTAGTATGTGGAAGTGGACATTTGGAGCGCTTTGAGGCCTACGGTGAAAAAGGAAATATCTTCCCATAAAAACTAGACAGAAGCATTCTCAGAAACTTGTTTGTGACGTGTGTATTCAACTAACAGAGTTGAACCTTTCTTTTTACAGAGCAGCTTTGAAACACGCTTTTTGTGGAATCTGCAATTGGAAATTTCGATAGTTCTGAGGATTTCGTTGGAAACGGGATTACAAATAGAAAGTAGACAGCAGCATTCTCAGAAACTGCTTTGTGATGTTTGCATTCAAGTCACCTAGTTGAACATTCCCTTTCATAGAGCAGGTTTGAATCACTGTTTCTGTAGTATCTGGAAGTGGGTATTTCGAGCGCTTTCAGGCCTAAGGTGAGAAAGGAAATGTCTTCAAATAAGAACTAGACAGAAGCATTCTCAGAAACTTATTTGTGATGTGTGTCCTCAACTAACAGAGATGAACCTTTGTTTTGATACAGCAGTTTGGAAACACTCTTTTTGTAGAATCTACAAGAGGATATTTTGAGAGCATTGAAAATTTCGTTGGAAGCGGGAAAACCTTCATATAAAATCTAGACAGCAGCATTCTCAGAAACTTCTTTGTGATGTTTGCATTCAACTCATAGAGTTGAACATTCCCATTCATACAGCAGGTTTGAGACACTCTTTGTATAGCATGTGGAAATGGATATTTGGAGCGCTTTGAGGCCTATGGTGAAGAAGGAAATATCTTCCCAAAAAAACTAGACGAAAGCATTCTCGGAATCTTGTTTGCCATGTGTGTACTCAACTAACAGAGTTGAACCTATCTTTTGACAGAGCAGTTTTGAAACACTCTTTTTGTGGAATCTGCAAGTGGATATTTGGATAGCTTCGAGGATTTCGTTGGAAACGGGAATATCCTCATTTAAAACCTAGACGGAAGCATTCTCAGAACCTGCTTTGTGATGTTTGCATTCAACTCACAGAGCTGAACATTCCCGTTCATAGAGCAGGTTTGAAACACTCTTTCTGTACTATCTGGAAGTGGACATTTCGAGCGCTTTCAGGCCTATGGTGAAAAAGGAAACATCTTCAAATAAAAACTAGACAGAAGCATTCTCAGAAACTTATTTGTGATGTGTGTCCTCAACTCACAGAGTTCAACCTTTGTTTTGATACAGCAGTTTGGAAACACTCTTTTTGTAGAATCTACAAATGGATATTTGGAGACCTTTGAAAATTTCGTTGGACACGGGAATATCTTCATATAAAATCTAGACAAAAGCATTCTCAGAATCTTCTTTGTGATGTTTGCATTCAACTCATAGAGTTGAACATTCCCTTTCATACAGCACGTTTGAAACACACTTTGTGGAGTATGTGGAAATGGACATTTCGAGCACTCTTAAGCCTAAGGGGAAAAGGGAAATATCTTCAAATAAAAACTAGTCAGCAGCATTCTCAGAAACCTCTTTGTGATGTGTGTACTCAACTAACAGAGTTGAACCTTCCTTTTCACAGAGCAGTTTGGAAACACTCTTTTTGTGGCATTTGCAAGTGGATATTTGGATAGCTTTGAGGATTTCGTTGGAAACGGGAATATTTTCATATAAAATCTAGACAGAAGCATTCTCAGAATCTTCTTTGTGATGTATGCCCTCAATTCACAGAGTTGAACCTTTGTTTGGATACAGCATTTTGGAAACATTCCTTTTGTAGAATCTGCAAGTTGATATTTGGATAGCTTTGAGGATTTCGTTGGAAACGGGAATATCTACATATAAAATCTAGACAGAAGCATTCTCAGAAACCTCTTTGTAATGCTTGCATTCAACTCATAGGTTTCAACATTCCCTATCATAGAGCAGGTTTGAAACACTCTTTTTGTAGTATGTGGAAGTGGACATTTGGAGCGCTTTGAGGCCTACGGTGAAAAAGGAAATATCTTCCCATAAAAACTAGACAGAAGCATTCTCAGAAACTTGTTTGTGACGTGTGTATTCAACTAACAGAGTTGAACCTTTCTTTTTACAGAGCAGCTTTGAAACACGCTTTTTGTGGAATCTGCAATTGGAAATTTCGATAGTTCTGAGGATTTCGTTGGAAACGGGATTACAAATAGAAAGTAGACAGCAGCATTCTCAGAAACTGCTTTGTGATGTTTGCATTCAAGTCACCTAGTTGAACATTCCCTTTCATAGAGCAGGTTTGAATCACTGTTTCTGTCGTATCTGGAAGTGGATATTTCGAGCGTTTTCAGGCCTAAGGTGAGAAAGGAAATGTCTTCAAATAAGAACTAGACAGAAGCATTCTCAGAAACTTATTTGTGATGTGTGTCCTCAACTAACAGAGATGAACCTTTGTTTTGATACAGCAGTTTGGAAACACTCTTTTTGTAGAATCTACAAGAGGATATTTTGAGAGCATTGAAAATTTCGTTGGAAACGGGAAAACCTTCATATAAAATCTAGACAGCAGCATTCTCAGAAACTTCTTTGTGATGTTTGCATTCAACTCATAGAGTTGAACATTCCCATTCATACAGCAGGTTTGAGACACTCTTTGTATAGCATGTGGAAATGGATATTTGGAGCGCTTTGAGGCCTATGGTGAAGAAGGAAATATCTTCCCAAAAAAACTAGACGAAAGCATTCTCGGAATCTTGTTTGCCATGTGTGTACTCAACTAACAGAGTTGAACCTATCTTTTGACAGAGCAGTTTTGAAACACTCTTTTTGTGGAATCTGCAAGTGGATATTTGGATAGCTTCGAGGATTTCGTTGGAAACGGGAATATCCTCATTTAAAATCTAGACGGAAGCATTCTCAGAACCTGCTTTGTGATGTTTGCATTCAACTCACAGAGCTGAACATTCCCGTTCATAGAGCAGGTTTGAAACACTCTTTCTGTACTATCTGGAAGTGGACATTTCGAGCGCTTTCAGGCCTATGGTGAAAAAGGAAACATCTTCAAATAAAAACTAGACAGAAGCATTCTCAGAAACTTATTTGTGATGTGTGTCCTCAACTCACAGAGTTCAACCTTTGTTTTGATACAGCAGTTTGGAAACACTCTTTTTGTAGAATCTACAAATGGATATTTGGAGACCTTTGAAAATTTCGTTGGACACGGGAATATCTTCATATAAAATCTAGACAAAAGCATTCTCAGAATCTTCTTTGTGATGTTTGCATTCAACTCATAGAGTTGAACATTCCCTTTCATACAGCACGTTTGAAACACACTTTGTGGAGTATGTGGAAATGGACATTTCGAGCACTCTTAGGCCTAAGGTGAAAAGGGAAATATCTTCAAATAAAAACTAGTCAGCAGCATTCTCAGAAACCTCTTTGTGATGTGTGTACTCAACTAACAGAGTTGAACCTTCCTTTTCACAGAGCAGTTTGGAAACACTCTTTTTGTGGCATTTGCAAGTGGATATTTGGATAGCTTTGAGGATTTCGTTGGAAACGGGAATATTTTCATATAAAATCTAGACAGAAGCATTCTCAGAATCTTCTTTGTGATGTATGCCCTCAATTCACAGAGTTGAACCTTTGTTTGGATACAGCATTTTGGAAACATTCCTTTTGTAGAATCTGCAAGTTGATATTTGGATAGCTTTGAGGATTTCGTTGGAAACGGGAATATCTACATATAAAATCTAGACAGAAGCATTCTCAGAAACCTCTTTGTAATGCTTGCATTCAACTCATAGGTTTCAACATTCCCTATCATAGAGCAGGTTTGAAACACTCTTTTTGTAGTATGTGGAAGTGGACATTTGGAGCGCTTTGAGGCCTACGGTGAAAAAGGAAATATCTTCCCATAAAAACTAGACAGAAGCATTCTCAGAAACTTGTTTGTGACGTGTGTATTCAACTAACAGAGTTGAACCTTTCTTTTTACAGAGCAGCTTTGAAACACGCTTTTTGTGGAATCTGCAATTGGAAATTTCGATAGTTCTGAGGATTTCGTTGGAAACGGGATTACAAATAGAAAGTAGACAGCAGCATTCTCAGAAACTGCTTTGTGATGTTTGCATTCAAGTCACCTAGTTGAACATTCCCTTTCATAGAGCAGGTTTGAATCACTGTTTCTGTCGTATCTGGAAGTGGATATTTCGAGCGTTTTCAGGCCTAAGGTGAGAAAGGAAATGTCTTCAAATAAGAACTAGACAGAAGCATTCTCAGAAACTTATTTGTGATGTGTGTCCTCAACTAACAGAGTTGAACCTTTCTTTTGACACAGCAGTTTGGAAACACTCTTTTTGTAGAATCTACAAGTGGATATTTTGAGAGCATTGAAAATTTCGTTGGAAACGGGAAAACCTTCATATAAAATCTAGACAGAAGCATTCTCAGAAACTTCTTTGTAATGTTTGCATTCAACTCATAGAGTTGAACATTCCCTTTCATACAGCAGGTTTGAAACACTCTTTTTGTAGTATGTGGAAGTGGACATTTGGAGCGCTTTGAGGCCTACGGTGAAAAAGGAAATATCTTCCCATAAAAACTAGACAGAAGCATTCTCAGAAACTTGTTTGTGACGTGTGTATTCAACTAACAGAGTTGAACCTTTCTTTTTACAGAGCAGCTTTGAAACCCTGTTTCTGTGGAATCTGCAATTGGAAATTTCGATAGTTCTGAGGATTTCGTTGGAAACGGGATTACAAATTGAAAGTAGACAGCAGCATTCTCAGAAACTGCTTTGTGATGTTTGCATTCAAGTCACATAGTTGAACATTCCCTTTCATAGAGCAGGTTTGAATCACTGTTTCTGTAGTATCTGGAAGTGGGTATTTCGAGCGCTTTCAGGCCTAAGGTGAGAAAGGAAATGTCTTCAAATAAGAACTAGACAGAAGCATTCTCAGAAACTTATTTGTGATGTGTGTCCTCAACTAACAGAGATGAACCTTTGTTTTGATACAGCAGTTTGGAAACACTCTTTTTGTAGAATCTACAAGAGGATATTTTGAGAGCATTGAAAATTTCGTTGGAAGCGGGAAAACCTTCATATAAAATCTAGACAGCAGCATTCTCAGAAACTTCTTTGTGATGTTTGCATTCAACTCATAGAGTTGAACATTCCCATTCATACAGCAGGTTTGAGACACTCTTTGTATAGCATGTGGAAATGGATATTTGGAGCGCTTTGAGGCCTATGGTGAAGAAGGAAATATCTTCCCAAAAAAACTAGACGAAAGCATTCTCGGAATCTTGTTTGCCATGTGTGTACTCAACTAACAGAGTTGAACCTATCTTTTGACAGAGCAGTTTTGAAACACTCTTTTTGTGGAATCTGCAAGTGGATATTTGGATAGCTTCGAGGATTTCGTTGGAAACGGGAATATCCTCATTTAAAATCTAGACGGAAGCATTCTCAGAACCTGCTTTGTGATGTTTGCATTCAACTCACAGAGCTGAACATTCCCGTTCATAGAGCAGGTTTGAAACACTCTTTCTGTACTATCTGGAAGTGGACATTTCGAGCGCTTTCAGGCCTATGGTGAAAAAGGAAACATCTTCAAATAAAAACTAGACAGAAGCATTCTCAGAAACTTATTTGTGATGTGTGTCCTCAACTCACAGAGTTCAACCTTTGTTTTGATACAGCAGTTTGGAAACACTCTTTTTGTAGAATCTACAAATGGATATTTGGAGACCTTTGAAAATTTCGTTGGACACGGGAATATCTTCATATAAAATCTAGACAAAAGCATTCTCAGAATCTTCTTTGTGATGTTTGCATTCAACTCATAGAGTTGAACATTCCCTTTCATACAGCACGTTTGAAACACACTTTGTGGAATATGTGGAAATGGACATTTCGAGCACTCTTAGGCCTAAGGTGAAAAGGGAAATATCTTCAAATAAAAACTAGTCAGCAGCATTCTCAGAAACCTCTTTGTGATGTGTGTACTCAACTAACAGAGTTGAACCTTCCTTTTCACAGAGCAGTTTGGAAACACTCTTTTTGTGGCATTTGCAAGTGGATATTTGGATAGCTTTGAGGATTTCGTTGGAAACGGGAATATTTTCATATAAAATCTAGACAGAAGCATTCTCAGAATCTTCTTTGTGATGTATGCCCTCAATTCACAGAGTTGAACCTTTGTTTGGATACAGCATTTTGGAAACATTCCTTTTGTAGAATCTGCAAGTTGATATTTGGATAGCTTTGAAAATTTCGTTGGAAACGGGAAAACCTTCATATAAAATCTAGACAGAAGCATTCTCAGAAACCTCTTTGTAATGCTTGCATTCAACTCATAGGTTTCAACATTCCCTATCATAGAGCAGGTTTGAAACACTCTTTTTGTAGTATGTGGAAGTGGACATTTGGAGTGCTTTGAGGCCTACGGTGAAAAAGGAAATATCTTCCCATAAAAACTAGACAGAAGCATTCTCAGAAACTTGTTTGTGACGTGTGTATTCAACTAACAGAGTTGAACCTTTCTTTTTACAGAGCAGCTTTGAAACACGCTTTTTGTGGAATCTGCAATTGGAAATTTCGATAGTTCTGAGGATTTCGTTGGAAACGGGATTACAAATAGAAAGTAGACAGCAGCATTCTCAGAAACTGCTTTGTGATGTTTGCATTCAAGTCACCTAGTTGAACATTCCCTTTCATAGAGCAGGTTTGAATCACTGTTTCTGTCGTATCTGGAAGTGGATATTTCGAGCGTTTTCAGGCCTAAGGTGAGAAAGGAAATGTCTTCAAATAAGAACTAGACAGAAGCATTCTCAGAAACTTATTTGTGATGTGTGTCCTCAACTAACAGAGCTGAACCTTTCTTTTGACACAGCAGTTTGGAAACACTCTTTTTGTAGAATCTACAAGTGGATATTTTGAGAGCATTGAAAATTTCGTTGGAAACGGGAAAACCTTCATATAAAATCTAGACAGAAGCATTCTCAGAAACTTCTTTGTAATGTTTGCATTCAACTCATAGAGTTGAACATTCCCTTTCATACAGCAGGTTTGAAACACTCTTTTTGTAGTATGTGGAAGTGGACATTTGGAGCGCTTTGAGGCCTACGGTGAAAAAGGAAATATCTTCCCATAAAAACTAGACAGAAGCATTCTCAGAAACTTGTTTGTGACGTGTGTATTCAACTAACAGAGTTGAACCTTTCTTTTTACAGAGCAGCTTTGAAACACGCTTTTTGTGGAATCTGCAATTGGAAATTTCGATAGTTCTGAGGATTTCGTTGGAAACGGGATTACAAATAGAAAGTAGACAGCAGCATTCTCAGAAACTGCTTTGTGATGTTTGCATTCAAGTCACCTAGTTGAACATTCCCTTTCATAGAGCAGGTTTGAATCACAGTTTCTGTCGTATCTGGAAGTGGATATTTCGAGCGCTTTCAGGCCTAAGGTGAGAAAGGAAATGTCTTCAAATAAGAACTAGACAGAAGCATTCTCAGAAACTTATTTGTGATGTGTGTCCTCAACTAACAGAGATGAACCTTTGTTTTGATACAGCAGTTTGGAAACACTCTTTTTGTAGAATCTACAAGAGGATATTTTGAGAGCATTGAAAATTTCGTTGGAAGCGGGAAAACCTTCATATAAAATCTAGACAGCAGCATTCTCAGAAACTTCTTTGTGATGTTTGCATTCAACTCATAGAGTTGAACATTCCCATTCATACAGCAGGTTTGAGACACTCTTTGTATAGCATGTGGAAATGGATATTTGGAGCGCTTTGAGGCCTATGGTGAAGAAGGAAATATCTTCCCAAAAAAACTAGACGAAAGCATTCTCGGAATCTTGTTTGCCATGTGTGTACTCAACTAACAGAGTTGAACCTATCTTTTGACAGAGCAGTTTTGAAACACTCTTTTTGTGGAATCTGCAAGTGGATATTTGGATAGCTTCGAGGATTTCGTTGGAAACGGGAATATCCTCATTTAAAATCTAGACGGAAGCATTCTCAGAACCTGCTTTGTGATGTTTGCATTCAACTCACAGAGCTGAACATTCCCGTTCATAGAGCAGGTTTGAAACACTCTTTCTGTACTATCTGGAAGTGGACATTTCGAGCGCTTTCAGGCCTATGGTGAAAAAGGAAACATCTTCAAATAAAAACTAGACAGAAGCATTCTCAGAAACTTATTTGTGATGTGTGTCCTCAACTCACAGAGTTCAACCTTTGTTTTGATACAGCAGTTTGGAAACACTCTTTTTGTAGAATCTACAAATGGATATTTGGAGACCTTTGAAAATTTCGTTGGACACGGGAATATCTTCATATAAAACCTAGACAAAAGCATTCTCAGAATCTTCTTTGTGATGTTTGCATTCAACTCATAGAGTTGAACATTCCCTTTCATACAGCACGTTTGAAACACACTTTGTGGAGTATGTGGAAATGGACATTTCGAGCACTCTTAGGCCTAAGGTGAAAAGGGAAATATCTTCAAATAAAAACTAGTCAGCAGCATTCTCAGAAACCTCTTTGTGATGTGTGTACTCAACTAACAGAGTTGAACCTTCCTTTTCACAGAGCAGTTTGGAAACACTCTTTTTGTGGCATTTGCAAGTGGATATTTGGATAGCTTTGAGGATTTCGTTGGAAACGGGAATATTTTCATATAAAATCTAGACAGAAGCATTCTCAGAATCTTCTTTGTGATGTATGCCCTCAATTCACAGAGTTGAACCTTTCTTTGGATACAGCATTTTGGAAACATTCCTTTTGCAGAATCTGCAAGCTGATATTTGGATAGCTTTGAGGATTTCGTTGGAAACGGGAATATCTACATATAAAATCTAGACAGAAGCATTCTCAGAAACCTCTTTGTAATGCTTGCATTCAACTCATAGGTTTCAACATTCCCTATCATAGAGCAGGTTTGAAACACTCTTTTTGTAGTATGTGGAAGTGGACATTTGGAGCGCTTTGAGGCCTACGGTGAAAAAGGAAATATCTTCCCATAAAAACTAGACAGAAGCATTCTCAGAAACTTGTTTGTGACGTGTCTATTCAACTAACAGAGTTGAACCTTTCTTTTTACAGAGCAGCTTTGAAACACGCTTTTTGTGGAATCTGCAATTGGAAATTTCGATAGTTCTGAGGATTTCGTTGGAAACGGGATTACAAATAGAAAGTAGACAGCAGCATTCTCAGAAACTGCTTTGTGATGTTTGCATTCAAGTCACCTAGTTGAACATTCCCTTTCATAGAGCAGGTTTGAATCACTGTTTCTGTCGTATCTGGAAGTGGATATTTCGAGCGTTTTCAGGCCTAAGGTGAGAAAGGAAATGTCTTCAAATAAGAACTAGACAGAAGCATTCTCAGAAACTTATTTGTGATGTGTGTCCTCAACTAACAGAGTTGAACCTTTCTTTTGACACAGCAGTTTGGAAACACTCTTTTTGTAGAATCTACAAGTGGATATTTTCAGAGCATTGAAAATTTCGTTGGAAACGGGAAAACCTTCATATAAAATCTAGACAGAAGCATTCTCAGAAACTTCTTTGTAATGTTTGCATTCAACTCATAGAGTTGAACATTCCCTTTCATACAGCAGGTTTGAAACACTCTTTTTGTAGTATGTGGACGTGGACATTTGGAGCGCTTTGAGGCCTACGGTGAAAAAGGAAATATCTTCCCATAAAAACTAGACAGAAACATTCTCAGAAACTTGTTTGTGACGTGTGTATTCAACTAACAGAGTTGAACCTTTCTTTTTACAGAGCAGCTTTGAAACCCTGTTTCTGTGGAATCTGCAATTGGAAATTTCGATAGTTCTGAGGATTTCGTTGGAAACGGGATTACAAATAGAAAGTAGACAGCAGCATTCTCAGAAACTGCTTTGTGATGTTTGCATTCAAGTCACCTAGTTGAACATTCCCTTTCATAGAGCAGGTTTGAATCACTGTTTCTGTAGTATCTGGAAGTGGGTATTTCGAGCGCTTTCAGGCCTAAGGTGAGAAAGGAAATGTCTTCAAATAAGAACTAGACAGAAGCATTCTCAGAAACTTATTTGTGATGTGTGTCCTCAACTAACAGAGATGAACCTTTGTTTTGATACAGCAGTTTGGAAACACTCTTTTTGTAGAATCTACAAGAGGATATTTTGAGAGCATTGAAAATTTCGTTGGAAGCGGGAAAACCTTCATATAAAATCTAGACAGCAGCATTCTCAGAAACTTCTTTGTGATGTTTGCATTCAACTCATAGAGTTGAACATTCCCATTCATACAGCAGGTTTGAGACACTCTTTGTATAGCATGTGCAAATGGATATTTGGAGCGCTTTGAGGCCTATGGTGAAGAAGGAAATATCTTCCCAAAAAAACTAGACGAAAGCATTCTCGGAATCTTGTTTGCCATGTGTGTACTCAACTAACAGAGTTGAACCTATCTTTTTAAAGAGCAGTTTTGAAACACTCTTTTTGTGGAATCTGCAAGTGGATATTTGGATAGCTACGAGGATTTCGTTGGAAACGGGAATATCCTCATTTAAAATCTAGACGGAAGCATTCTCAGAACCTGCTTTGTGATGTTTGCATTCAACTCACAGAGCTGAACATTCCCGTTCATAGAGCAGGTTTGAAACACTCTTTCTGTACTATCTGGAAGTGGACATTTCGAGCGCTTTCAGGCCTATGGTGAAAAAGGAAACATCTTCAAATAAAAACTAGACAGAAGCATTCTCAGAAACTTATTTGTGATGTGTGTCCTCAACTCACAGAGTTCAACCTTTGTTTTGATACAGCAGTTTGGAAACACTCTTTTTGTAGAATCTACAAATGGATATTTGGAGACCTTTGAAAATTTCGTTGGACACGGGAATATCTTCATATAAAATCTAGACAAAAGCATTCTCAGAATCTTCTTTGTGATGTTTGCATTCAACTCATAGAGTTGAACATTCCCTTTCATACAGCACGTTTGAAACACACTTTGTGGAGTATGTGGAAATGGACATTTCGAGCACTCTTAGGCCTAAGGTGAAAAGGGAAATATCTTCAAATAAAAACTAGTCAGCAGCATTCTCAGAAACCTCTTTGTGATGTGTGTACTCAACTAACAGAGTTGAACCTTCCTTTTCACAGAGCAGTTTGGAAACACTCTTTTTGTGGCATTTGCAAGTGGATATTTGGATAGCTTTGAGGATTTCGTTGGAAACGGGAATATTTTCATATAAAATCTAGACAGAAGCATTCTCAGAATCTTCTTTGTGATGTATGCCCTCAATTCACAGAGTTGAACCTTTGTTTGGATACAGCATTTTGGAAACATTCCTTTTGTAGAATCTGCAAGCTGATATTTGGATAGCTTTGAGGATTTCGTTGGAAACGGGAATATCTACATATAAAATCTAGACAGAAGCATTCTCAGAAACCTCTTTGTAATGCTTGCATTCAACTCATAGGTTTCAACATTCCCTATCATAGAGCAGGTTTGAAACACTCTTTTTGTAGTATGTGGAAGTGGACATTTGGAGCGCTTTGAGGCCTACGGTGAAAAAGGAAATATCTTCCCATAAAAACTAGACAGAAGCATTCTCAGAAACTTGTTTGTGACGTGTGTATTCAACTAACAGAGTTGAACCTTTCTTTTTACAGAGCAGCTTTGAAACACGCTTTTTGTGGAATCTGCAATTGGAAATTTCGATAGTTCTGAGGATTTCGTTGGAAACGGGATTACAAATAGAAAGTAGACAGCAGCATTCTCAGAAACTGCTTTGTGATGTTTGCATTCAAGTCACCTAGTTGAACATTCCCTTTCATAGAGCAGGTTTGAATCACTGTTTCTGTCGTATCTGGAAGTGGATATTTCGAGCGTTTTCAGGCCTAAGGTGAGAAAGGAAATGTCTTCAAATAAGAACTAGACAGAAGCATTCTCAGAAACTTATTTGTGATGTGTGTCCTCAACTAACAGAGTTGAACCTTTCTTTTGACACAGCAGTTTGGAAACACTCTTTTTGTAGAATCTACAAGTGGATATTTTGAGAGCATTGAAAATTTCGTTGGAAACGGGAAAACCTTCATATAAAATCTAGACAGAAGCATTCTCAGAAACTTCTTTGTAATGTTTGCATTCAACTCATAGAGTTGAACATTCCCTTTCATACAGCAGGTTTGAAACACTCTTTTTGTAGTATGTGGAAGTGGACATTTGGAGCGCTTTGAGGCCTACGGTGAAAAAGGAAATATCTTCCCATAAAAACTAGACAGAAGCATTCTCAGAAACTTGTTTGTGACGTGTGTATTCAACTAACAGAGTTGAACCTTTGTTTTTACAGAGCAGCTTTGAAACACGCTTTTTGTGGAATCTGCAATTGGAAATTTCGATAGTTCTGAGGATTTCGTTGGAAACGGGATTACAAATAGAAAGTAGACAGCAGCATTCTCAGAAACTTATTTGTGATGTGTGTCCTCAACTAACAGAGTTGAACCTTTCTTTTGACACAGCAGTTTGGAAACACTCTTTTTGTAGAATCTACAAGTGGATATTTTGAGAGCATTGAAAATTTCGTTGGAAACGGGAAAACCTTCATATAAAATCTAGACAGAAGCATTCTCAGAAACTTCTTTGTAATGTTTGCATTCAACTCATAGAGTTGAACATTCCCTTTCATACAGCAGGTTTGAAACACTCTTTTTGTAGTATGTGGAAGTGGACATTTGGAGCGCTTTGAGGCCTACGGTGAAAAAGGAAATATCTTCCCATAAAAACTAGACAGAAGCATTCTCAGAAACTTGTTTGTGACGTGTGTATTCAACTAACAGAGTTGAACCTTTCTTTTTACAGAGCAGCTTTGAAACCCTGTTTCTGTGGAATCTGCAATTGGAAATTTCGATAGTTCTGAGGATTTCGTTGGAAACGGTATTACAAATAGAAAGTAGACAGCAGCATTCTCAGAAACTGCTTTGTGATGTTTGCATTCAAGTCACATAGTTGAACATTCCCTTTCATAGAGCAGGTTTGAATCACTGTTTCTGTAGTATCTGGAAGTGGGTATTTCGAGCGCTTTCAGGCCTAAGGTGTGAAAGGAAATGTCTTCAAATAAGAACTAGACAGAAGCATTCTCAGAAACTTATTTGTGATGTGTGTCCTCAACTAACAGAGATGAACCTTTGTTTTGATACAGCAGTTTGGAAACACTCTTTTTGTAGAATCTACAAGAGGATATTTTGAGAGCATTGAAAATTTCGTTGGAAGCGGGAAAACCTTCATATAAAATCTAGACAGCAGCATTCTCAGAAACTTCTTTGTGATGTTTGCATTCAACTCATAGAGTTGAACATTCCCATTCATACAGCAGGTTTGAGACACTCTTTGTATAGCATGTGGAAATGGATATTTGGAGCGCTTTGAGGCCTATGGTGAAGAAGGAAATATCTTCCCAAAAAAACTAGACGAAAGCATTCTCGCAATCTTGTTTGCCATGTGTGTACTCAACTAACAGAGTTGAACCTATCTTTTGACAGAGCAGTTTTGAAACACTCTTTTTGTGGAATCTGCAAGTGGATATTTGGATAGCTTCGAGGATTTCGTTGGAAACGGGAATATCCTCATTTAAAATCTAGACGGAAGCATTCTCGGAACCTGCTTTGTGATGTTTGCATTCAACTCACAGAGCTGAACATTCCCGTTCATAGAGCAGGTTTGAAACACTCTTTCTGTACTATCTGGAAGTGGACATTTCGAGCGCTTTCAGGCCTATGGTGAAAAAGGAAACATCTTCAAATAAAAACTAGACAGAAGCATTCTCAGAAACTTATTTGTGATGTGTGTCCTCAACTCACAGAGTTCAACCTTTGTTTTGATACAGCAGTTTGGAAACACTCTTTTTGTAGAATCTACAAATGGATATTTGGAGACCTTTGAAAATTTCGTTGGACACGGGAATATCTTCATATAAAATCTAGGCAAAAGCATTCTCAGAGTCTTCTTTGTGATGTTTGCATTCAACTCATAGAGTTGAACATTCCCTTTCATACAGCACGTTTGAAACACACTTTGTGGAGTATGTGGAAATGGACATTTCGAGCACTCTTAGGCCTAAGGTGAAAAGGGAAATATCTTCAAATAAAAACTAGTCAGCAGCATTCTCAGAAACCTCTTTGTGATGTGTGTACTCAACTAACAGAGTTGAACCTTCCTTTTCACAGAGCAGTTTGGAAACACTCTTTTTGTGGCATTTGCAAGTGGATATTTGGATAGCTTTGAGGATTTCGTTGGAAACGGGAATATTTTCATATAAAATCTAGACAGAAGCATTCTCAGAATCTTCTTTGTGATGTATGCCCTCAATTCACAGAGTTGAACCTTTGTTTGGATACAGCATTTTGGAAACATTCCTTTTGCAGAATCTGCAAGTTGATATTTGGATAGCTTTGAGGATTTCGTTGGAAACGGGAATATCTACATATAAAATCTAGACAGAAGCATTCTCAGAAACCTCTTTGTAATGCTTGCATTCAACTCATAGGTTTCAACATTCCCTATCATAGAGCAGGTTTGAAACACTCTTTTTGTAGTATGTGGAAGTGGACATTTGGAGCGCTTTGAGGCCTACGGTGAAAAAGGAAATATCTTCCCATAAAAACTAGACAGAAGCATTCTCAGAAACTTGTTTGTGACGTGTGTATTCAACTAACAGAGTTGAACCTTTCTTATTACAGAGCAGCTTTGAAACACGCTTTTTGTGGAATCTGCAATTGGAAATTTCGATAGTTCTGAGGATTTCGTTGGAAACGGGATTACAAATAGAAAGTAGACAGCAGCATTCTCAGAAACTGCTTTGTGGATGTTTGCATTCAAGTCACCTAGTTGAACATTCCCTTTCATAGAGCAGGTTTGAATCACTGTTTCTGTCGTATCTGGAAGTGGATATTTCGAGCGTTTTCAGGCCTAAGGTGAGAAAGGAAATGTCTTCAAATAAGAACTAGACAGAAGCATTCTCAGAAACTTATTTGTGATGTGTGTCCTCAACTAACAGAGTTGAACCTTTCTTTTGACACAGCAGTTTGGAAACACTCTTTTTGTAGAATCTACAAGTGGATATTTTGAGAGCATTGAAAATTTCCTTGGAAACGGGAAAACCTTCATATAAAATCTAGACAGAAGCATTCTCAGAAACTTCTTTGTAATGTTTGCATTCAACTCATAGAGTTGAACATTCCCTTTCATACAGCAGGTTTGAAACACTCTTTTTGTAGTATGTGGAAGTGGACATTTGGAGCGCTTTGAGGCCTACGGTGAAAAAGGAAATATCTTCCCATAAAAACTAGACAGAAGCATTCTCAGAAACTTGTTTGTGACGTGTGTATTCAACTAACAGAGTTGAACCTTTCTTTTTACAGAGCAGCTTTGAAACACGCTTTTTGTGGAATCTGCAATTGGAAATTTCGATAGTTCTGAGGATTTCGGTGGAAACGGGATTACAAATAGAAAGTAGACAGCAGCATTCTCAGAAACTGCTTTGTGATGTTTGCATTCAAGTCACCTAGTTGAACATTCCCTTTCATAGAGCAGGTTTGAATCACAGTTTCTGTCGTATCTGGAAGTGGATATTTCGAGCGTTTTCAGGCCTAAGGTGAGAAAGGAAATGTCTTCAAATAAGAACTAGACAGAAGCATTCTCAGAAACTTATTTGTGATGTGTGTCCTCAACTAACAGAGATGAACCTTTGTTTTGATACAGCAGTTTGGAAACACTCTTTTTGTAGAATCTACAAGAGGATATTTTGAGAGCATTGAAAATTTCGTTGGAAGCGGGAAAACCTTCATATAAAATCTAGACAGCAGCATTCTCAGAAACTTCTTTGTGATGTTTGCATTCAACTCATAGAGTTGAACATTCCCATTCATACAGCAGGTTTGAGACACTCTTTGTATAGCATGTGGAAATGGATATTTGGAGCGCTTTGAGGCCTATGGTGAAGAAGGAAATATCTTCCCAAAAAAACTAGACGAAAGCATTCTCGCAATCTTGTTTGCCATGTGTGTACTCAACTAACAGAGTTGAACCTATCTTTTGACAGAGCAGTTTTGAAACACTCTTTTTGTGGAATCTGCAAGTGGATATTTGGATAGCTTCGAGGATTTCGTTGGAAACGGGAATATCCTCATTTAAAATCTAGACGGAAGCATTCTCAGAACCTGCTTTGTGATGTTTGCATTCAACTCACAGAGCTGAACATTCCCGTTCATAGAGCAGGTTTGAAACACTCTTTCTGTACTATCTGGAAGTGGACATTTCGAGCGCTTTCAGGCCTATGGTGAAAAAGGAAACATCTTCAAATAAAAACTAGACAGAAGCATTCTCAGAAACTTATTTGTGATGTGTGTCCTCAACTCACAGAGTTCAACCTTTGTTTTGATACAGCAGTTTGGAAACACTCTTTTTGTAGAATCTACAAATGGATATTTGGAGACCTTTGAAAATTTCGTTGGACACGGGAATATCTTCATATAAAATCTAGACAAAAGCATTCTCAGAATCTTCTTTGTGATGTTTGCATTCAACTCATAGAGTTGAACATTCCCTTTCATACAGCACGTTTGAAACACACTTTGTGGAGTATGTGGAAATGGACATTTCGAGCACTCTTAGGCCTAAGGTGAAAAGGGAAATATCTTCAAATAAAAACTAGTCAGCAGCATTCTCAGAAACCTCTTTGTGATGTGTGTACTCAACTAACAGAGTTGAACCTTCCTTTTCACAGAGCAGTTTGGAAACACTCTTTTTGTGGCATTTGCAAGTGGATATTTGGATAGCTTTGAGGATTTCGTTGGAAACGGGAATATTTTCATATAAAATCTAGACAGAAGCATTCTCAGAATCTTCTTTGTGATGTATGCCCTCAATTCACAGAGTTGAACCTTTGTTTGGATACAGCATTTTGGAAACATTCCTTTTGTAGAATCTGCAAGTTGATATTTGGATAGCTTTGAGGATTTCGTTGGAAACGGGAATATCTACATATAAAATCTAGACAGAAGCATTCTCAGAAACCTCTTTGTAATGCTTGCATTCAACTCATAGGTTTCAACATTCCCTATCATAGAGCAGGTTTGAAACACTCTTTTTGTAGTATGTGGAAGTGGACATTTGGAGCACTTTGAGGCCTACGGTGAAAAAGGAAATATCTTCCCATAAAAACTAGACAGAAGCATTCTCAGAAACTTGTTTGTGACGTGTGTATTCAACTAACAGAGTTGAACCTTTCTTTTTACAGAGCAGCTTTGAAACACGCTTTTTGTGGAATCTGCAATTGGAAATTTCGATAGTTCTGAGGATTTCGTTGGAAACGGGATTACAAATAGAAAGTAGACAGCAGCATTCTCAGAAACTGCTTTGTGATGTTTGCATTCAAGTCACCTAGTTGAACATTCCCTTTCATAGAGCAGGTTTGAATCACTGTTTCTGTCGTATCTGGAAGTGGATATTTCGAGCGTTTTCAGGCCTAAGGTGAGAAAGGAAATGTCTTCAAATAAGAACTAGACAGAAGCATTCTCAGAAACTTATTTGTGATGTGTGTCCTCAACTAACAGAGTTGAACCTTTCTTTTGACACAGCAGTTTGGAAACACTCTTTTTGTAGAATCTACAAGTGGATATTTTGAGAGCATTGAAAATTTCATTGGAAACGGGAAAACCTTCGTATAAAATCTAGACAGAAGCATTCTCAGAAACTTCTTTGTAATGTTTGCATTCAACTCATAGAGTTGAACATTCCCTTTCATACAGCAGGTTTGAAACACTCTTTTTGTAGTATGTGGACGTGGACATTTGGAGCGCTTTGAGGCCTACGGTGAAAAAGGAAATATCTTCCCATAAAAACTAGACAGAAGCATTCTCAGAAACTTGTTTGTGACGTGTGTATTCAACTAACAGAGTTGAACCTTTCTTTTTACAGAGCAGCTTTGAAACCCTGTTTCTGTGGAATCTGCAATTGGAAATTTCGATAGTTCTGAGGATTTCGTTGGAAACGGGATTACAAATAGAAAGTAGACAGCAGCATTCTCAGAAACTGCTTTGTGATGTTTGCATTCAAGTCACCTAGTTGAACATTCCCTTTCATAGAGCAGGTTTGAATCACTGTTTCTGTAGTATCTGGAAGTGGGTATTTCGAGCGCTTTCAGGCCTAAGGTGAGAAAGGAAATGTCTTCAAATAAGAACTAGACAGAAGCATTCTCAGAAACTTATTTGTGATGTGTGTCCTCAACTAACAGAGATGAACCTTTGTTTTGATACAGCAGTTTGGAAACACTCTTTTTGTAGAATCTACAAGAGGATATTTTGAGAGCATTGAAAATTTCGTTGGAAGCGGGAAAACCTTCATATAAAATCTAGACAGCAGCATTCTCAGAAACTTCTTTGTGATGTTTGCATTCAACTCATAGAGTTGAACATTCCCATTCATACAGCAGGTTTGAGACACTCTTTGTATAGCATGTGGAAATGGATATTTGGAGCGCTTTGAGGCCTATGGTGAAGAAGGAAATATCTTCCCAAAAAAACTAGACGAAAGCATTCTCGCAATCTTGTTTGCCATGTGTGTACTCAACTAACAGAGTTGAACCTATCTTTTGACAGAGCAGTTTTGAAACACTCTTTTTGTGGAATCTGCAAGTGGATATTTGGATAGCTTCGAGGATTTCGTTGGAAACGGGAATATCCTCATTTAAAATCTAGACGGAAGCATTCTCAGAACCTGCTTTGTGATGTTTGCATTCAACTCACAGAGCTGAACATTCCCGTTCATAGAGCAGGTTTGAAACACTCTTTCTGTACTATCTGGAAGTGGACATTTCGAGCGCTTTCAGGCCTATGGTGAAAAAGGAAACATCTTCAAATAAAAACTAGACAGAAGCATTCTCAGAAACTTATTTGTGATGTGTGTCCTCAACTCACAGAGTTCAACCTTTGTTTTGATACAGCAGTTTGGAAACACTCTTTTTGTAGAATCTACAAATGGATATTTGGAGACCTTTGAAAATTTCGTTGGACACGGGAATATCTTCATATAAAATCTAGACAAAAGCATTCTCAGAATCTTCTTTGTGATGTTTGCATTCAACTCATAGAGTTGAACATTCCCTTTCATACAGCACGTTTGAAACACACTTTGTGGAGTATGTGGAAATGGACATTTCGAGCACTCTTAGGCCTAAGGTGAAAAGGGAAATATCTTCAAATAAAAACTAGTCAGCAGCATTCTCAGAAACCTCTTTGTGATGTGTGTACTCAACTAACAGAGTTGAACCTTCCTTTTCACAGAGCAGTTTGGAAACACTCTTTTTGTGGCATTTGCAAGTGGATATTTGGATAGCTTTGAGGATTTCTTTGGAAACGGGAATATTTTCATATAAAATCTAGACAGAAGCATTCTCAGAATCTTCCTTGTGATGTATGCCCTCAATTCACAGAGTTGAACCTTTGTTTGGATACAGCATTTTGGAAACATTCCTTTTGTAGAATCTGCAAGTTGATATTTGGATAGCTTTGAGGATTTCGTTGGAAACGGGAATATCTACATATAAAATCTAGACAGAAGCATTCTCAGAAACCTCTTTGTAATGTTCGCATTCAACTCATAGGTTTCAACATTCCCTATCATAGAGCAGGTTTGAAACACTCTTTTTGTAGTATGTGGAAGTGGACATTTGGAGCTCTTTGAGGCCTACGGTGAAAAAGGAAATATCTTCCCATAAAAACTAGACAGAAGCATTCTCAGAAACTTGTTTGTGACGTGTGTATTCAACTAACAGAGTTGAACCTTTCTTTTTACAGAGCAGCTTTGAAACCCTGTTTCTGTGGAATCTGCAATTGGAAATTTCGATAGTTCTGAGGATTTCGTTGGAAACGGGATTACAAATAGAAAGTAGACAGCAGCATTCTCAGAAACTGCTTTGTGATGTTTGCATTCAAGTCACCTAGTTGAACATTCCCTTTCATAGAGCAGGTTTGAATCACTGTTTCTGTCGTATCTGGAAGTGGATATTTCGAGCGTTTTCAGGCCTAAGGTGAGAAAGGAAATGTCTTCAAATAAGAACTAGACAGAAGCATTCTCAGAAACTTATTTGTGATGTGTGTCCTCAACTAACAGAGTTGAACCTTTCTTTTTACACAGCAGTTTGGAAACACACTTTTTGTAGAATCTACAAGTGGATATTTTGAGAGCATTGAAAATTTCGTTGGAAACGGGAAAATCTTCATATAAAATCTAGACAGAAGCATTCTCAGAAACTTCTTTGTAATGTTTGCATTCAACTCATAGAGTTGAACATTCCCTTTCATACAGCAGGTTTGAAACACTCTTTTTGTAGTATGTGGAAGTGGACATTTGGAGCGCTTTGAGGCCTACGGTGAAAAAGGAAATATCTTCCCATAAAAACTAGACAGAAGCATTCTCAGAAACTTGTTTGTGACGTGTGTATTCAACTAACAGAGTTGAACCTTTCTTTTTACAGAGCAGCTTTGAAACACGCTTTTTGTGGAATCTGCAATTGGAAATTTCGATAGTTACTGAGGATTTCGTTGGAAACGGGATTACAAATAGAAAGTAGACAGCAAGCATTCTCAGAAACTGCTTTGTGATGTTTGCATTCAAGTCACCTAGTTGAACATTCCCTTTCATAGAGCAGGTTTGAATCACTGTTTCTGTCGTATCTGGAAGTGGATATTTCGAGCGTTTTCAGGCCTAAGGTGAGAAAGGAAATGTCTTCAAATAAGAACTAGACAGAAGCATTCTCAGAAACTTATTTGTGATGTGTGTCCTCAACTAACAGAGTTGAACCTTTCTTTTGACACAGCAGTTTGGAAACACTCTTTTTGTAGAATCTACAAGTGGATATTTTGAGAGCATTGAAAATTTCGTTGGAAACGGGAAAACCTTCATATAAAATCTAGACAGAAGCATTCTCAGAAACTTCTTTGTAATGTTTGCATTCAACTCATAGAGTTGAACATTCCCTTTCATACAGCAGGTTTGAAACACTCTTTTTGTAGTATGTGGACGTGGACATTTGGAGCGCTTTGAGGCCTACGGTGAAAAAGGAAATATCTTCCCATAAAAACTAGACAGAAGCATTCTCAGAAACTTGTTTGTGACGTGTGTATTCAACTAACAGAGTTGAACCTTTCTTTTTACAGAGCAGCTTTGAAACCCTGTTTCTGTGGAATCTGCAATTGGAAATTTCGATAGTTCTGAGGATTTCGTTGGAAACGGGATTACAAATAGAAAGTAGACAGCAGCATTCTCAGAAACTGCTTTGTGATGTTTGCATTCAAGTCACCTAGTTGAACATTCCCTTTCATAGAGCAGGTTTGAATCACTGTTTCTGTAGTATCTGGAAGTGGGTATTTCGAGCGCTTTCAGGCCTAAGGTGAGAAAGGAAATGTCTTCAAATAAGAACTAGACAGAAGCATTCTCAGAAACTTATTTGTGATGTGTGTCCTCAACTAACAGAGATGAACCTTTGTTTTGATACAGCAGTTTGGAAACACTCTTTTTGTAGAATCTACAAGAGGATATTTTGAGAGCATTGAAAATTTCGTTGGAAGCGGGAAAGCCTTCATATAAAATCTAGACAGCAGCATTCTCAGAAACTTCTTTGTGATGTTTGCATTCAACTCATAGAGTTGAACATTCCCATTCATACAGCAGGTTTGAGACACTCTTTGTATAGCATGTGGAAATGGATATTTGGAGCGCTTTGAGGCCTATGGTGAAGAAGGAATTATCTTCCCAAAAAAACTAGACGAAAGCATTCTCGGAATCTTGTTTGCCATGTGTGTACTCAACTAACAGAGTTGAACGTATCCTTTGACAAAGCAGTTTTGAAACACTCTTTTTGTGGAATCTGCAAGTGGATATTTGGATAGCTTCGAGGATTTCGTTGGAAACGGGAATATCCTCATTTAAAATCTAGACGGAAGCATTCTCAGAACCTGCTTTGTGATGTTTGCATTCAACTCACAGAGGTGAACATTCCCGTTCATAGAGCAGGTTTGAAACACTCTTTCTGTACTATCTGGAAGTGGACATTTCGAGCGCTTTCAGGCCTATGGTGAAAAAGGAAACATCTTCAAATAAAAACTAGACAGAAGCATTCTCAGAAACTTATTTGTGATGTGTGTCCTCAACTCACAGAGTTCAACCTTTGTTTTGATACAGCAGTTTGGAAACAATCTTTATTTGGAGACCTTTGAAAATTTCGTTGGACACGGGAATATCTTCATATAAAATCTAGACAAAAGCATTCTCAGAATCTTCTTTGTGATGTTTGCATTCAACTCATAGAGTTGAACATTCCCTTTCATACAGCACGTTTGAAACACACTTTGTGGAGTATGTGGAAATGGACATTTCGAGCACTCTTAGGCCTAAGGTGAAAAGGGAAATATCTTCAAATAAAAACTAGTCAGCAGCATTCTCAGAAACCTCTTTGTGATGTGTGTACTCAACTAACAGAGTTGAACCTTCCTTTTCACAGAGCAGTTTGGAAACACTCTTTTTGTGGCATTTGCAAGTGGATATTTGGATAGCTTTGAGGATTTCGTTGGAAACGGGAATATTTTCATATAAAATCTAGACAGAAGCATTCTCAGAATCTTCTTTGTGATGTATGCCCTCAATTCACAGAGTTGAACCTTTGTTTGGATACAGCATTTTGGAAACATTCCTTTTGTAGAATCTGCAAGTTGATATTTGGATAGCTTTGAGGATTTCGTTGGAAACGGGAATATCTACATATAAAATCTAGACAGAAGCATTCTCAGAAACCTCTTTGTAATGCTTGCATTCAACTCATAGGTTTCAACATTCCCTATCATAGAGCAGGTTTGAAACACTCTTTTTGTAGTATGTGGAAGTGGACATTTGGAGCGCTTTGAGGCCTACGGTGAAAAAGGAAATATCTTCCCATAAAAACTAGACAGAAGCATTCTCAGAAACTTGTTTGTGACGTGTGTATTCAACTAACAGAGTTGAACCTTTCTTTTTACAGAGCAGCTTTGAAACCCTGTTTCTGTGGAATCTGCAATTGGAAATTTCGATAGTTCTGAGGATTTCGTTGGAAACGGGATTACAAATAGAAAGTAGACAGCAGCATTCTCAGAAACTGCTTTGTGATGTTTGCATTCAAGTCACATAGTTGAAAATTCCCTTTCATAGAGCAGGTTTGAATCACTGTTTCTGTAGTATCTGGAAGTGGGTATTTCGAGCGCTTTCAGGCCTAAGGTGAGAAAGGAAATGTCTTCAAATAAGAACTAGACAGAAGCATTCTCAGAAACTTATTTGTGATGTGTGTCCTCAACTAACAGAGATGAACCTTTGTTTTGATACAGCAGTTTGGAAACACTCTTTTTGTAGAATCTACAAGAGGATATTTTGAGAGCATTGAAAATTTCGTTGGAAGCGGGAAAACCTTCATATAAAATCTAGACAGTAGCATTCTGAGAAACTTCTTTGTGATGTTTGCATTCAACTCATAGAGTTGAACATTTCTTTTCATACAGCAGGTTTGAGACACTCTTTGTATAGTATGTGGAAATGGATGTTTGGAGCACTTTGAGGCCTATGGTGAAGAAGGAAATATCTTCCCAAAAAAACTAGACGAAATCATTCTCGGAATCTTGTTTGCCATGTGTGTACTCAACTAACAGAGTTGAACCTATCTTTTGACAGAGCAGTTTTGAAACACTCTTTTTGTGGAATCTGCAAATGGATATTTGGATAGCTTCGAGGATTTCGTTGGAAACGGGAATATCCTCATTTAAAATCTAGACGGAAGCATTCTCAGAACCTGCTTTGTGATGTTTGCATTCAACTCACAGAGCTGAACATTCCCGTTCATAGAGCAGGTTTGAAACACTCTTTCTGTACTATCTGGAAGTGGACATTTCGAGCGCTTTCAGGCCTATGGTGAAAAAGGAAATATCTTCAAACAAAAACTAGACAGAAGCATTCTCAGAAACTTATTTGTGATGTGTGTCCTCAACTCACAGAGTTCAACCATTGTTTTGATACAGCAGTTTGGAAACATTCTTTTTGTAGAATCTACAAATGGATATTTGGAGACCTTTGAAAATTTCGTTGGACACGGGAATATCTTCATATAAAATCTAGACAAAAGCATTCTCAGAATCTTCTTTGTGATGTTTGCATTCAACTCATAGAGTTGAACATTCCCTTTCATACAGCACGTTTGAAACACACTTTGTGGAGTATGTGGAAATGGACATTTCGAGCACTCTTAGGCCTAAGGTGAAAAGGGAAATATCTTCAAATAAAAACTAGTCAGCAGCATTCTCAGAAACCTCTTTGTGATGTGTGTACTCAACTAACAGAGTTGAACCTTCCTTTTCACAGAGCAGTTTGGAAACACTCTTTTTGTGGCATTTGCAAGTAGATATTTGGATAGCTTTGAGGATTTCATTGGAAACGGGAATATTTTCATATAAAATCTACACAGAAGCATTCTCAGAATCTTCTTTGTGATGTATGCCCTCAATTCACAGAGTTGAACCTTTGTTTGGATACAGCATTTTGGAAACATTCCTTTTGTAGTATCTGCAAGTTGATATTTGGATAGCTTTGAGGATTTCGTTGGAAACGGGAATATCTACATATAAAATCTAGACAGAAGCATTCTCAGAAACCTCTTTGTAATGTTTGCATTCAACTCATAGGTTTCAACATTCCCTATCATAGAGCAGGTTTGAAACACTCTTTTTGTAGTATGTGGAAGTGGACATTTGGAGCGCTTTGAGGCCTACGGTGAAAAAGGAAATATCTTCCCATAAAAACTAGACAGAAGCATTCTCAGAAACTTGTTTGTGGCGTGTGTATTCAGCTAACAGAGTTGAACCTTTCTTTTTACAGAGCAGCTTTGAAACACGCTTTTTGTGGAATCTGCAATTGGAAATTTCGATAGTTCTGAGGATTTCGTTGGAAACGGGATTACAAATAGAAAGTAGACAGCAGCATTCTCAGAAACTGCTTTGTGATGTTTGCATTCAAGTCACCTAGTTGAACATTCCCTTTCATAGAGCAGGTTTGAATCACTGTTTCTGTCGTATCTGGAAGTGGATATTTCGAGCGTTTTCAGGCCTAAGGTGAGAAAGGAAATGTCTTCAAATAAGAACTAGACAGAAGCATTCTCAGAAACTTATTTGTGATGTGTGTCCTCAACTAACAGAGATGAACCTTTGTTTTGATACAGCAGTTTGGAAACACTCTTTTTGTAGAATCTACAAGAGGATATTTTGAGAGCATTGAAAATTTCGTTGGAAGCGGGAAAACCTTCATATAAAATCTAGACAGCAGCATTCTCAGAAACTTCTTTGTGATGTTTGCATTCAACTCATAGAGTTGAACATTCCCATTCATACAGCAGGTTTGAGACACTCTTTGTATAGCATGTGGAAATGGATATTTGGAGCGCTTTGAGGCCTATGGTGAAGAAGGAAATATCTTCCCAAAAAAACTAGACGAAAGCATTCTCGCAATCTTGTTTGCCATGTGTGTACTCAACTAACAGAGTTGAACCTATCTTTTGACAGAGCAGTTTTGAAACACTCTTTTTGTGGAATCTGCAAGTGGATATTTGGATAGCTTCGAGGATTTCGTTGGAAACGGGAATATCCTCATTTAAAATCTAGACGGAAGCATTCTCAGAACCTGCTTTGTGATGTTTGCATTCAACTCACAGAGCTGAACATTCCCGTTCATAGAGCAGGTTTGAAACACTCTTTCTGTACTATGTGGAAGTGGACATTTCGAGCGCTTTCAGGCCTATGGTGAAAAAGGAAACATCTTCAAATAAAAACTAGACAGAAGCATTCTCAGAAACTTATTTGTGATGTGTGTCCTCAACTCACAGAGTTCAACCTTTGTTTTGATACAGCAGTTTGGAAACACTCTTTTTGTAGAATCTACAAATGGATATTTGGAGACCTTTGAAAATTTCGTTGGACACGGGAATATCTTCATATAAAATCTAGACAAAAGCATTCTCAGAATCTTCTTTGTGATGTTTGCATTCAACTCATAGAGTTGAACATTCCCTTTCATACAGCACGTTTGAAACACACTTTGTGGAGTATGTGGAAATGGACATTTCGAGCACTCTTAGGCCTAAGGTGAAAAGGGAAATATCTTCAAATAAAAACTAGTCAGCAGCATTCTCAGAAACCTCTTTGTGATGTGTGTACTCAACTAACAGAGTTGAACCTTCCTTTTCACAGAGCAGTTTGGAAACACTCTTTTTGTGGCATTTGCAAGTGGATATTTGGATAGCTTTGAGGATTTCGTTGGAAACGGGAATATTTTCATATAAAATCTAGACAGAAGCATTCTCAGAATCTTCTTTGTGATGTATGCCCTCAATTCACAGAGTTGAACCTTTGTTTGGATACAGCATTTTGGAAACATTCCTTTTGCAGAATCTGCAAGCTGATATTTGGATAGCTTTGAGGATTTCGTTGGAAACGGGAATATCTACATATAAAATCTAGACAGAAGCATTCTCAGAAACCTCTTTGTAATGCTTGCATTCAACTCATAGGTTTCAACATTCCCTATCATAGAGCAGGTTTGAAACACTCTTTTTGTAGTATGTGGAAGTGGACATTTGGAGCGCTTTGAGGCCTACGGTGAAAAAGGAAATATCTTCCCATAAAAACTAGACAGAAGCATTCTCAGAAACTTGTTTGTGACGTGTGTATTCAACTAACAGAGTTGAACCTTTCTTTTTACAGAGCAGCTTTGAAACACGCTTTTTGTGGAATCTGCAATTGGAAATTTCGATAGTTCTGAGGATTTCGTTGGAAACGGGATTACAAATAGAAAGTAGACAGCAGCATTCTCAGAAACTGCTTTGTGATGTTTGCATTCAAGTCACCTAGTTGAACATTCCCTTTCATAGAGCAGGTTTGAATCACTCTTTCTGTCGTATCTGGAAGTGGATATTTCGAGCGTTTTCAGGCCTAAGGTGAGAAAGGAAATGTCTTCAAATAAGAACTAGACAGAAGCATTCTCAGAAACTTATTTGTGATGTGTGTCCTCAACTAACAGAGTTGAACCTTTCTTTTGACACAGCAGTTTGGAAACACTCTTTTTGTAGAATCTACAAGTGGATATTTTGAGAGCATTGAAAATTTCGTTGGAAACGGGAAAACCTTCATATAAAATCTAGACAGAAGCATTCTCAGAAACTTCTTTGTAATGTTTGCATTCAACTCATAGAGTTGAACATTCCCTTTCATACAGCAGGTTTGAAACACTCTTTTTGTAGTATGTGGAAGTGGACATTTGGAGCGCTTTGAGGCCTACGGTGAAAAAGGAAATATCTTCCCATAAAAACTAGACAGAAGCATTCTCAGAAACTTGTTTGTGACGTGTGTATTCAACTAACAGAGTTGAACCTTTCTTTTTACAGAGCAGCTTTGAAACCCTGTTTCTGTGGAATCTGCAATTGGAAATTTCGATAGTTCTGAGGATTTCGTTGGAAACGGGATTACAAATAGAAAGTAGACAGCAGCATTCTCAGAAACTGCTTTGTGATGTTTGCATTCAAGTCACCTAGTTGAACATTCCCTTTCATAGAGCAGGTTTGAATCACAGTTTCTGTCGTATCTGGAAGTGGATATTTCGAGCGCTTTCAGGCCTAAGGTGAGAAAGGAAATGTCTTCAAATAAGAACTAGACAGAAGCATTCTCAGAAACTTATTTGTGATGTGTGTCCTCAACTAACAGAGATGAACCTTTGTTTTGATACAGCAGTTTGGAAACACTCTTTTTGTAGAATCTACAAGAGGATATTTTGAGAGCATTGAAAATTTCGTTGGAAGCGGGAAAACCTTCATATAAAATCTAGACAGCAGCATTCTCAGAAACTTCTTTGTGATGTTTGCATTCAACTCATAGAGTTGAACATTCCCATTCATACAGCAGGTTTGAGACACTCTTTGTATAGCATGTGGAAATGGATATTTGGAGCGCTTTGAGGCCTAAGGTGAAGAAGGAAATATCTTCCCAAAAAAACTAGACGAAAGCATTCTCGCAATCTTGTTTGCCATGTGTGTACTCAACTAACAGAGTTGAACCTATCTTTTGACAGAGCAGTTTTGAAACACTCTTTTTGTGGAATCTGCAAGTGGATATTTGGATAGCTTCGAGGATTTCGTTGGAAACGGGAATAATCCTCATTTAAAATCTAGACGGAAGCATTCTCAGCAACCTGCTTTGTGATGTTTGCATTCAACTCACAGAGCTGAACATTCCCGTTCATAGAGCAGGTTTGAAACACTCTTTCTGTACTATCTGGAAGTGGACATTTCGAGCGCTTTCAGGCCTATGGTGAAAAAGGAAACATCTTCAAATAAAAACTAGACAGAAGCATTCTCAGAAACTTATTTGTGATGTGTGTCCTCAACTCACAGAGTTCAACCTTTGTTTTGATACAGCAGTTTGGAAACACTCTTTTTGTAGAATCTACAAATGGATATTTGGAGACCTTTGAAAATTTCGTTGGACACGGGAATATCTTCATATAAAATCTAGACAAAAGCATTCTCAGAATCTTCTTTGTGATGTTTGCATTCAACTCATAGAGTTGAACATTCCCTTTCATACAGCACGTTTGAAACACACTTTGTGGAGTATGTGGAAATGGACATTTCGAGCACTCTTAGGCCTAAGGTGAAAAGGGAAATATCTTCAAATAAAAACTAGTCAGCAGCATTCTCAGAAACCTCTTTGTGATGTGTGTACTCAACTAACAGAGTTGAACCTTCCTTTTCACAGAGCAGTTTGGAAACACTCTTTTTGTGGCATTTGCAAGTGGATATTTGGATAGCTTTGAGGATTTCGTTGGAAACGGGAATATTTTCATATAAAATCTAGACAGAAGCATTCTCAGAATCTTCTTTGTGATGTATGCCCTCAATTCACAGAGTTGAACCTTTGTTTGGATACAGCATTTTGGAAACATTCCTTTTGCAGAATCTGCAAGCTGATATTTGGATAGCTTTGAGGATTTCGTTGGAAACGGGAATATCTACATATAAAATCTAGACAGAAGCATTCTCAGAAACCTCTTTGTAATGCTTGCATTCAACTCATAGGTTTCAACATTCCCTATCATAGAGCAGGTTTGAAACACTCTTTTTGTAGTATGTGGAAGTGGACATTTGGAGCGCTTTGAGGCCTACGGTGAAAAAGGAAATATCTTCCCATAAAAACTAGACAGAAGCATTCTCAGAAACTTGTTTGTGACGTGTGTATTCAACTAACAGAGTTGAACCTTTCTTTTTACAGAGCAGCTTTGAAACACGCTTTTTGTGGAATCTGCAATTGGAAATTTCGATAGTTCTGAGGATTTCGTTGGAAACGGGATTACAAATAGAAAGTAGACAGCAGCATTCTCAGAAACTGCTTTGTGATGTTTGCATTCAAGTCACCTAGTTGAACATTCCCTTTCATAGAGCAGGTTTGAATCACTGTTTCTGTCGTATCTGGAAGTGGATATTTCGAGCGTTTTCAGGCCTAAGGTGAGAAAGGAAATGTCTTCAAATAAGAACTAGACAGAAGCATTCTCAGAAACTTATTTGTGATGTGTGTCCTCAACTAACAGAGTTGAACCTTTCTTTTGACACAGCAGTTTGGAAACACTCTTTTTGTAGAATCTACAAGTGGATATTTTGAGAGCATTGAAAATTTCGTTGGAAACGGGAAAACCTTCATATAAAATCTAGACAGAAGCATTCTCAGAAACTTCTTTGTAATGTTTGCATTCAACTCATAGAGTTGAACATTCCCTTTCATACAGCAGGTTTGAAACACTCTTTTTGTAGTATGTGGAAGTGGACATTTGGAGCTCTTTGAGGCCTACGGTGAAAAAGGAAATATCTTCCCATAAAAACTAGACAGAAGCATTCTCAGAAACTTGTTTGTGACGTGTGTATTCAACTAACAGAGTTGAACCTTTCTTTTTACAGAGCAGCTTTGAAACACGCTTTTTGTGGAATCTGCAATTGGAAATTTCGATAGTTCTGAGGATTTCGTTGGAAACGGGATTACAAATAGAAAGTAGACAGCAGCATTCTCAGAAACTGCTTTGTGATGTTTGCATTCAAGTCACCTAGTTGAACATTCCCTTTCATAGAGCAGGTTTGAATCACAGTTTCTGTCGTATCTGGAAGTGGATATTTCGAGCGCTTTCAGGCCTAAGGTGAGAAAGGAAATGTCTTCAAATAAGAACTAGACAGAAGCATTCTCAGAAACTTATTTGTGATGTGTGTCCTCAACTAACAGAGATGAACCTTTGTTTTGATACAGCAGTTTGGAAACACTCTTTTTGTAGAATCTACAAGAGGATATTTTGAGAGCATTGAAAATTTCGTTGGAAGCGGGAAAACCTTCATATAAAATCTAGACAGCAGCATTCTCAGAAACTTCTTTGTGATGTTTGCATTCAACTCATAGAGTTGAACATTCCCATTCATACAGCAGGTTTGAGACACTCTTTGTATAGCATGTGGAAATGGATATTTGGAGCGCTTTGAGGCCTATGGTGAAGAAGGAAATATCTTCCCAAAAAAACTAGACGAAAGCATTCTCGGAATCTTGTTTGCCATGTGTGTACTCAACTAACAGAGTTGAACCTATCTTTTGACAGAGCAGTTTTGAAACACTCTTTTTGTGGAATCTGCAAGTGGATATTTGGATAGCTTCGAGGATTTCGTTGGAAACGGGAATATCCTCCTTTAAAATCTAGACGGAAGCATTCTCAGAACCTGCTTTGTGATGTTTGCATTCAACTCACAGAGCTGAACATTCCCGTTCATAGAGCAGGTTTGAAACACTCTTTCTGTACTATCTGGAAGTGGACATTTCGAGCGCTTTCAGGCCTATGGTGAAAAAGGAAACATCTTCAAATAAAAACTAGACAGAAGCATTCTCAGAAACTTATTTGTGATGTGTGTCCTCAACTCACAGAGTTCAACCTTTGTTTTGATACAGCAGTTTGGAAACACTTTTTTTGTAGAATCTACAAATGGATATTTGGAGACCTTTGAAAATTTCGTTGGACACGGGAATATCTTCATATAAAATCTAGACAAAAGCATTCTCAGAGTCTTCTTTGTGATGTTTGCATTCAACTCATAGAGTTGAACATTCCCTTTCATACAGCACGTTTGAAACACACTTTGTGGAGTATGTGGAAATGGACATTTCGAGCACTCTTAGGCCTAAGGTGAAAAGGGAAATATCTTCAAATAAAAACTAGTCAGCAGCATTCTCAGAAACCTCTTTGTGATGTGTGTACTCAACTAACAGAGTTGAACCTTCCTTTTCACAGAGCAGTTTGGAAACACTCTTTTTGTGGCATTTGCAAGTGGATATTTGGATAGCTTTGAGGATTTCGTTGGAAACGGGAATATTTTCATATAAAATCTAGACAGAAACATTCTCAGAATCTTCTTTGTGATGTATGCCCTCAATTCACAGAGTTGAACCTTTGTTTGGATACAGCATTTTGGAAACATTCCTTTTGTAGAATCTGCAAGTTGATATTTGGATAGCTTTGAGGATTTCGTTGGAAACGGGAATATCTACATATAAAATCTAGACAGAAGCATTCTCAGAAACCTCTTTGTAATGCTTGCATTCAACTCATAGGTTTCAACATTCCCATTCATACAGCAGGTTTGAGACACTCTTTGTATAGCATGTGGAAGTGGACATTTGGAGCGCTTTGAGGCCTACGGTGAAAAAGGAAATATCTTCCCATAAAAACTAGACAGAAGCATTCTCAGAAACTTGTTTGTGACGTGTGTATTCAACTAACAGAGTTGAACCTTTCTTTTTACAGAGCAGCTTTGAAACCCTGTTTCTGTGGAATCTGCAATTGGAAATTTCGATAGTTCTGAGGATTTCGTTGGAAACGGGATTACAAATAGAAAGTAGACAGCAGCATTCTCAGAAACTGCTTTGTGATGTTTGCATTCAAGTCACATAGTTGAACATTCCCTTTCATAGAGCAGGTTTGAATCACTGTTTCTGTCGTATCTGGAAGTGGGTATTTCGAGCGCTTTCAGGCCTAAGGTGAGAAAGGAAATGTCTTCAAATAAGAACTAGACAGAAGCATTCTCAGAAACTTATTTGTGATGTGTGTCCTCAACTAACAGAGATGAACCTTTCTTTTGATACAGCAGTTTGGAAACACTCTTTTTGTAGAATCTACAAGAGGATATTTTGAGAGCATTGAAAATTTCGTTGGAAGCGGGAAAACCTTCATATAAAATCTAGACAGCAGCATTCTCAGAAACTTCTTTGTGATGTTTGCATTCAACTCATAGAGTTGAACATTCCCATTCATACAGCAGGTTTGAGACACTCTTTGTATAGCATGTGGAAATGGATATTTGGAGCGCTTTGAGGCCTATGGTGAAGAAGGAAATATCTTCCCAAAAAAACTAGACGAAAGCATTCTCGCAATCTTGTTTGCCATGTGTGTACTCAACTAACAGAGTTGAACCTATCTTTTGACAGAGCAGTTTTGAAACACTCTTTTTGTGGAATCTGCAAGTGGATATTTGGATAGCTTCGAGGATTTCGTTGGAAACGGGAATATCCTCATTTAAAATCTAGACGGAAGCATTCTCAGAACCTGCTTTGTGATGTTTGCATTCAACTCACAGAGCTGAACATTCCCGTTCATAGAGCAGGTTTGAAACACTCTTTCTGTACTATCTGGAAGTGGACATTTCGAGCGCTTTCAGGCCTATGGTGAAAAAGGAAACATCTTCAAATAAAAACTAGACAGAAGCATTCTCAGAAACTTATTTGTGATGTGTGTCCTCAACTCACAGAGTTCAACCTTTGTTTTGATACAGCAGTTTGGAAACACTCTTTTTGTAGAATCTACAAATGGATATTTGGAGAACTTTGAAAATTTCGTTGGACACGGGAATATCTTCATATAAAATCTAGACAAAAGCATTCTCAGAATCTTCTTTGTGATGTTTGAATTCAACTCATAGAGTTGAACATTCCCTTTCATACAGCACGTTTGAAACACACTTTGTGGAGTATGTGGAAATGGACATTTCGAGCACTCTTAGGCCTAAGGTGAAAAGGGAAATATCTTCAAATAAAAACTAGTCAGCAGCATTCTCAGAAACCTCTTTGTGATGTGTGTACTCAACTAACAGAGTTGAACCTTCCTTTTCACAGAGCAGTTTGGAAACACTCTTTTTGTGGCATTTGCAAGTGGATATTTGGATAGCTTTGAGGATTTCGTTGGAAACGGGAATATTTTCATATAAAATCTAGACAGAAGCATTCTCAGAATCTTCTTTGTGATGTATGCCCTCAATTCACAGAGTTGAACCTTTGTTTGGATACAGCATTTTGGAAACATTCCTTTTGCAGAATCTGCAAGCTGATATTTGGATAGCTTTGAGGATTTCGTTGGAAACGGGAATATCTACATATAAAATCTAGACAGAAGCATTCTCAGAAACCTCTTTGTAATGCTTGCATTCAACTCATAGGTTTCAACATTCCCTATCATAGAGCAGGTTTGAAACACTCTTTTTGTAGTATGTGGAAGTGGACATTTAGAGCGCTTTGAGGCCTACGGTGAAAAAGGAAATATCTTCCCATAAAAACTAGACAGAAGCATTCTCAGAAACTTGTTTGTGACGTGTGTATTCAACTAACAGAGTTGAACCTTTCTTTTTACAGAGCAGCTTTGAAACCCTGTTTCTGTGGAATCTGCAATTGGAAATTTCGATAGTTCTGAGGATTTCGTTGGAAACGGGATTACAAATAGAAAGTAGACAGCAGCATTCTCAGAAACTGCTTTGTGATGTTTGCATTCAAGTCACATAGTTGAACATTCCCTTTCATAGAGCAGGTTTGAATCACTGTTTCTGTAGTATCTGGAAGTGGGTATTTCGAGCGCTTTCAGGCCTAAGGTGAGAAAGGAAATGTCTTCAAATAAGAACTAGACAGAAGCATTCTCAGAAACTTATTTGTGATGTGTGTCCTCAACTAACAGAGATGAACCTTTGTTTTGATACAGCAGTTTGGAAACACTCTTTTTGTAGAATCTACAGGAGGATATTTTGAGAGCATTGAAAATTTCGTTGGAAGCGGGAAAACCTTCATATAAAATCTAGACAGCAGCATTCTCAGAAACTTCTTTGTGATGTTTGCATTCAACTCATAGAGTTGAACATTCCCATTCATACAGCAGGTTTGAGACACTCTTTGTATAGCATGTGGAAATGGATATTTGGAGCGCTTTGAGGCCTATGGTGAAGAAGGAAATATCTTCCCAAAAAAACTAGACGAAAGCATTCTCGCAATCTTGTTTGCCATGTGTGTACTCAACTAACAGAGTTGAACCTATCTTTTGACAGAGCAGTTTTGAAACACTCTTTTTGTGGAATCTGCAAGTGGATATTTGGATAGCTTCGAGGATTTCGTTGGAAACGGGAATATCCTCATTTAAAATCTAGACGGAAGCATTCTCAGAACCTGCTTTGTGATGTTTGCATTCAACTCACAGAGCTGAACATTCCCGTTCATAGAGCAGGTTTGAAACACTCTTTCTGTACTATCTGGAAGTGGACATTTCGAGCGCTTTCAGGCCTATGGTGAAAAAGGAAACATCTTCAAATAAAAACTAGACAGAAGCATTCTCAGAAACTTATTTGTGATGTGTGTCCTCAACTCACAGAGTTCAACCTTTGTTTTGATACAGCAGTTTGGAAACACTCTTTTTGTAGAATCTACAAATGGATATTTGGAGACCTTTGAAAATTTCGTTGGACACGGGAATATCTTCATATAAAATCTAGACAAAAGCATTCTCAGAATCTTCTTTGTGATGTTTGCATTCAACTCATAGAGTTGAACATTCCCTTTCATACAGCACGTTTGAAACACACTTTGTGGAGTATGTGGAAATGGACATTTCGAGCACTCTTAGGCCTAAGGTGAAAAGGGAAATATCTTCAAATAAAAACTAGTCAGCAGCATTCTCAGAAACCTCTTTGTGATGTGTGTACTCAACTAACAGAGTTGAACCTTCCTTTTCACAGAGCAGTTTGGAAACACTCTTTTTGTGGCATTTGCAAGTGGATATTTGGATAGCTTTGAGGATTTCGTTGGAAACGGGAATATTTTCATATAAAATCTAGACAGAAGCATTCTCAGAATCTTCTTTGTGATGTATGCCCTCAATTCACAGAGTTGAACCTTTGTTTGGATACAGCATTTTGGAAACATTCCTTTTGCAGAATCTGCAAGCTGATATTTGGATAGCTTTGAGGATTTCGTTGGAAACGGGAATATCTACATATAAAATCTAGACAGAAGCATTCTCAGAAACCTCTTTGTAATGCTTGCATTCAACTCATAGGTTTCAACATTCCCTATCATAGAGCAGGTTTGAAACACTCTTTTTGTAGTATGTGGAAGTGGACATTTGGAGCGCTTTGAGGCCTACGGTGAAAAAGGAAATATCTTCCCATAAAAACTAGACAGAAGCATTCTCAGAAACTTGTTTGTGACGTGTGTATTCAACTAACAGAGTTGAACCTTTCTTTTTACAGAGCAGCTTTGAAACACGCTTTTTGTGGAATCTGCAATTGGAAATTTCGATAGTTCTGAGGATTTCGTTGGAAACGGGATTACAAATAGAAAGTAGACAGCAGCATTCTCAGAAACTGCTTTGTGATGTTTGCATTCAAGTCACCTAGTTGAACATTCCCTTTCATAGAGCAGGTTTGAATCACTGTTTCTGTCGTATCTGGAAGTGGATATTTCGAGCGTTTTCAGGCCTAAGGTGAGAAAGGAAATGTCTTCAAATAAGAACTAGACAGAAGCATTCTCAGAAACTTATTTGTGATGTGTGTCCTCAACTAACAGAGTTGAACCTTTCTTTTGACACAGCAGTTTGGAAACACTCTTTTTGTAGAATCTACAAGTGGATATTTTGAGAGCATTGAAAATTTCGTTGGAAACGGGAAAACCTTCATATAAAATCTAGACAGAAGCATTCTCAGAAACTTCTTTGTAATGTTTGCATTCAACTCATAGAGTTGAACATTCCCTTTCATACAGCAGGTTTGAAACACTCTTTTTGTAGTATGTGGACGTGGACATTTGGAGCGCTTTGAGGCCTACGGTGAAAAAGGAAATATCTTCCCATAAAAACTAGACAGAAGCATTCTCAGAAACTTGTTTGTGACGTGTGTATTCAACTAACGAGTTGAACCTTTCTTTTTACAGAGCAGCTTTGAAACCCTGTTTCTGTGGAATCTGCAATTGGAAATTTCGATAGTTCTGAGGATTTTGTTGGAAACGGGATTACAAATAGAAAGTAGACAGCAGCATTCTCAGTAAACTGCTTTGTGATGTTTGCATTCAAGTCACCTAGTTGAACATTCCCTTTCATAGAGCAGGTTTGAATCACTGTTTCTGTCGTATCTGGAAGTGGGTATTTCGAGCGCTTTCAGGCCTAAGGTGAGAAAGGAAATGTCTTCAAATAAGAACTAGACAGAAGCATTCTCAGAAACTTATTTGTGATGTGTGTCCTCAACTAACAGAGATGAACCTTTGTTTTGATACA
The DNA here is from genome assembly GCF_000001405.40 of Homo sapiens. NCBI lineage: Eukaryota > Metazoa > Chordata > Mammalia > Primates > Hominidae > Homo > Homo sapiens. The sequence continues at coordinate 18,516,614 of NC_000015.10, forward strand.
GCAGTTTGGAAACACTCTTTTTGTAGAATCTACAAGAGGATATTTTGAGAGCATTGAAAATTTCATTGGAAGCGGGAAAACCTTCATATAAAATCTAGACAGCAGCATTCTCAGAAACTTCTTTGTGATGTTTGCATTCAACTCATAGAGTTGAACATTCCCATTCATACAGCAGGTTTGAGACACTCTTTGTATAGCATGTGGAAATGGATATTTGGAGCGCTTTGAGGCCTATGGTGAAGAAGGAAATATCTTCCCAAAAAAACTAGACGAAAGCATTCTCGCAATCTTGTTTGCCATGTGTGTACTCAACTAACAGAGTTGAACCTATCTTTTGACAGAGCAGTTTTGAAACACTCTTTTTGTGGAATCTGCAAGTGGATATTTGGATAGCTTCGAGGATTTCGTTGGAAACGGGAATATCCTCATTTAAAATCTAGACGGAAGCATTCTCAGAACCTGCTTTGTGATGTTTGCATTCAACTCACAGAGCTGAACATTCCCGTTCATAGAGCAGGTTTGAAACACTCTTTCTGTACTATCTGGAAGTGGACATTTCGAGCGCTTTCAGGCCTATGGTGAAAAAGGAAACATCTTCAAATAAAAACTAGACAGAAGCATTCTCAGAAACTTATTTGTGATGTGTGTCCTCAACTCACAGAGTTCAACCTTTGTTTTGATACAGCAGTTTGGAAACACTCTTTTTGTAGAATCTACAAATGGATATTTGGAGACCTTTGAAAATTTCGTTGGACACGGGAATATCTTCATATAAAATCTAGACAAAAGCATTCTCAGAATCTTCTTTGTGATGTTTGCATTCAACTCATAGAGTTGAACGTTCCCTTTCATACAGCACGTTTGAAACACACTTTGTGGAGTATGTGGAAATGGACATTTCGAGCACTCTTAGGCCTAAGGTGAAAAGGGAAATATCTTCAAATAAAAACTAGTCAGCAGCATTCTCAGAAACCTCTTTGTGATGTGTGTACTCAACTAACAGAGTTGAACCTTCCTTTTCACAGAGCAGTTTGGAAACACTCTTTTTGTGGCATTTGCAAGTGGATATTTGGATAGCTTTGAGGATTTCGTTGGAAACGGGAATATTTTCATATAAAATCTAGACAGAAGCATTCTCAGAATCTTCTTTGTGATGTATGCCCTCAATTCACAGAGTTGAACCTTTGTTTGGATACAGCATTTTGGAAACATTCCTTTTGTAGAATCTGCAAGTTGATATTTGGATAGCTTTGAGGATTTCGTTGGAAACGGGAATATCTACATATAAAATCTAGACAGAAGCATTCTCAGAAACCTCTTTGTAATGCTTGCATTCAACTCATAGGTTTCAACATTCCCTATCATAGAGCAGGTTTGAAACACTCTTTTTGTAGTATGTGGAAGTGGACATTTGGAGCGCTTTGAGGCCTACGGTGAAAAAGGAAATATCTTCCCATAAAAACTAGACAGAAGCATTCTCAGAAACTTGTTTGTGACGTGTGTATTCAACTAACAGAGTTGAACCTTTCTTTTTACAGAGCAGCTTTGAAACACGCTTTTTGTGGAATCTGCAATTGGAAATTTCGATAGTTGCTGAGGATTTCGTTGGAAACGGGATTACAAATAGAAAGTAGACAGCAAGCATTCTCAGAAACTTATTTGTGATGTGTGTCCTCAACTAACAGAGTTGAACCTTTCTTTTGACACAGCAGTTTGGAAACACTCTTTTTGTAGAATCTACAAGTGGATATTTTGAGAGCATTGAAAATTTCGTTGGAAACGGGAAAACCTTCATATAAAATCTAGACAGAAGCATTCTCAGAAACTTCTTTGTAATGTTTGCATTCAACTCATAGAGTTGAACATTCCCTTTCATACAGCAGGTTTGAAACACTCTTTTTGTAGTATGTGGAAGTGGACATTTGGAGCGCTTTGAGGCCTACGGTGAAAAAGGAAATATCTTCCCATAAAAACTAGACAGAAGCATTCTCAGAAACTTGTTTGTGACGTGTGTATTCAACTAACAGAGTTGAACCTTTCTTTTTACAGAGCAGCTTTGAAACCCTGTTTCTGTGGAATCTGCAATTGGAAATTTCGATAGTTCTGAGGATTTCGTTGGAAACGGGATTACAAATAGAAAGTAGACAGCAGCATTCTCAGAAACTGCTTTGTGATGTTTGCATTCAAGTCACATAGTTGAACATTCCCTTTCATAGAGCAGGTTTGAATCACTGTTTCTGTAGTATCTGGAAGTGGGTATTTCGAGCGCTTTCAGGCCTAAGGTGAGAAAGGAAATGTCTTCAAATAAGAACTAGACAGAAGCATTCTCAGAAACTTATTTGTGATGTGTGTCCTCAACTAACAGAGATGAACCTTTGTTTTGATACAGCAGTTTGGAAACACTCTTTTTGTAGAATCTACAAGAGGATATTTTGAGAGCATTGAAAATTTCGTTGGAAGCGGGAAAACCTTCATATAAATTCTAGACAGCAGCATTCTCAGAAACTTCTTTGTGATGTTTGCATTCAACTCATAGAGTTGAACATTCCCATTCATACAGCAGGTTTGAGACACTCTTTGTATAGCATGTGGAAATGGATATTTGGAGCGCTTTGAGGCCCATGGTGAAGAAGGAAATATCTTCCCAAAAAAACTAGACGAAAGCATTCTCGCAATCTTGTTTGCCATGTGTGTACTCAACTAACGGAGTTGAACCTATCTTTTGACAGAGCAGTTTTGAAACACTCTTTTTGTGGAATCTGCAAGTGGATATTTGGATAGCTTCGAGGATTTCGTTGGAAACGGGAATATCCTCATTTAAAATCTAGACGGAAGCATTCTCAGAACCTGCTTTGTGATGTTTGCATTCAACTCACAGAGCTGAACATTCCCGTTCATAGAGCAGGTTTGAAACACTCTTTCTGTACTATCTGGAAGTGGACATTTCGAGCGCTTTCAGGCCTATGGTGGAAAAGGAAACATCTTCAAATAAAAACTAGACAGAAGCATTCTCAGAAACTTATTTGTGATGTGTGTCCTCAACTCACAGAGTTCAACCTTTGTTTTGATACAGCAGTTTGGAAACACTCTTTTTGTAGAATCTACAAATGGATATTTGGAGACCTTTGAAAATTTCGTTGGACACGGGAATATCTTCATATAAAATCTAGACAAAAGCATTCTCAGAATCTTCTTTGTGATGTTTGCATTCAACTCATAGAGTTGAACATTCCCTTTCATACAGCACGTTTGAAACACACTTTGTGGAGTATGTGGAAATGGACATTTCGAGCACTCTTAGGCCTAAGGTGAAAAGGGAAATATCTTCAAATAAAAACTAGTCAGCAGCATTCTCAGAAACCTCTTTGTGATGTGTGTACTCAACTAACAGAGTTGAACCTTCCTTTTCACAGAGCAGTTTGGAAACACTCTTTTTGTGGCATTTGCAAGTGGATATTTGGATAGCTTTGAGGATTTCGTTGGAAACGGGAATATTTTCATATAAAATCTAGACAGAAGCATTCTCAGAATCTTCTTTGTGATGTATGCCCTCAATTCACAGAGTTGAACCTTTGTTTGGATACAGCATTTTGGAAACATTCCTTTTGTAGAATCTGCAAGTTGATATTTGGATAGTTTGAGGATTTCGTTGGAAACGGGAATATCTACATATAAAATCTAGACAGAAGCATTCTCAGAAACTTCTTTGTAATGTTTGCATTCAACTCATAGAGTTGAACATTCCCTTTCATACAGCAGGTTTGAAACACTCTTTTTGTAGTATGTGGAAGTGGACATTTGGAGCGCTTTGAGGCCTACGGTGAAAAAGGAAATATCTTCCCATAAAAACTAGACAGAAGCATTCTCAGAAACTTGTTTGTGACGTGTGTATTCAACTAACAGAGTTGAACCTTTCTTTTTACAGAGCAGCTTTGAAACCCTGTTTCTGTGGAATCTGCAATTGGAAATTTCGATAGTTCTGAGGATTTCGTTGGAAACGGGATTACAAATAGAAAGTAGACAGCAGCATTCTCAGAAACTGCTTTGTGATGTTTGCATTCAAGTCACATAGTTGAACATTCCCTTTCATAGAGCAGGTTTGAATCACTGTTTCTGTAGTATCTGGAAGTGGGTATTTCGAGCGCTTTCAGGCCTAAGGTGAGAAAGGAAATGTCTTCAAATAAGAACTAGACAGAAGCATTCTCAGAAACTTATTTGTGATGTGTGTCCTCAACTAACAGAGATGAACCTTTGTTTTGATACAGCAGTTTGGAAACACTCTTTTTGTAGAATCTACAAGAGGATATTTTGAGAGCATTGAAAATTTCGTTGGAAGCGGGAAAACCTTCATATAAAATCTAGACAGCAGCATTCTCAGAAACTTCTTTGTGATGTTTGCATTCAACTCATAGAGTTGAACATTCCCATTCATACAGCAGGTTTGAGACACTCTTTGTATAGCATGTGGAAATGGATATTTGGAGCGCTTTGAGGCCTATGGTGAAGAAGGAAATATCTTCCCAAAAAAACTAGACGAAAGCATTCTCGGAATCTTGTTTGCCATGTGTGTACTCAACTAACAGAGTTGAACCTATCTTTTGACAGAGCAGTTTTGAAACACTCTTTTTGTGGAATCTGCAAGTGGATATTTGGATAGCTTCGAGGATTTCGTTGGAAACGGGAATATCCTCATTTAAAATCTAGACGGAAGCATTCTCAGAACCTGCTTTGTGATGTTTGCATTCAACTCACAGAGCTGAACATTCCCGTTCATAGAGCAGGTTTGAAACACTCTTTCTGTACTATCTGGAAGTGGACATTTCGAGCGCTTTCAGGCCTATGGTGAAAAAGGAAACATCTTCAAATAAAAACTAGACAGAAGCATTCTCAGAAACTTATTTGTGATGTGTGTCCTCAACTCACAGAGTTCAACCTTTGTTTTGATACAGCAGTTTGGAAACACTCTTTTTGTAGAATCTACAAATGGATATTTGGAGACCTTTGAAAATTTCGTTGGACACGGGAATATCTTCATATAAAATCTAGACAAAAGCATTCTCAGAGTCTTCTTTGTGATGTTTGCATTCAACTCATAGAGTTGAACATTCCCTTTCATACAGCACGTTTGAAACACACTTTGTGGAGTATGTGGAAATGGACATTTCGAGCACTCTTAGGCCTAAGGTGAAAAGGGAAATATCTTCAAATAAAAACTAGTCAGCAGCATTCTCAGAAACCTCTTTGTGATGTGTGTACTCAACTAACAGAGTTGAACCTTTCCTTTTCACAGAGCAGTTTGGAAACACTCTTTTTGTGGCATTTGCAAGTGGATATTTGGATAGCTTTGAGGATTTCGTTGGAAACGGGAATATTTTCATATAAAATCTAGACAGAAGCATTCTCAGAATCTTCTTTGTGATGTATGCCCTCAATTCACAGAGTTGAACCTTTGTTTGGATACAGCATTTTGGAAACATTCCTTTTGCAGAATCTGCAAGTTGATATTTGGATAGCTTTGAGGATTTCGTTGGAAACGGGAATATCTACATATAAAATCTAGACAGAAGCATTCTCAGAAACCTCTTTGTAATGCTTGCATTCAACTCATAGGTTTCAACATTCCCTATCATAGAGCAGGTTTGAAACACTCTTTTTGTAGTATGTGGAAGTGGACATTTGGAGCGCTTTGAGGCCTACCGTGAAAAAGGAAATATCTTCCCATAAAAACTAGACAGAAGCATTCTCAGAAACTTGTTTGTGACGTGTGTATTCAACTAACAGAGTTGAACCTTTCTTTTTACAGAGCAGCTTTGAAACCCTGTTTCTGTGGAATCTGCAATTGGAAATTTCGATGGTTCTGAGGATTTCGTTGGAAACGGGATTACAAATAGAAAGTAGACAGCAGCATTCTCAGAAACTGCTTTGTGATGTTTGCATTCAAGTCACCTAGTTGAACATTCCCTTTCATAGAGCAGGTTTGAATCACTGTTTCTGTCGTATCTGGAAGTGGATATTTCGAGCGTTTTCAGGCCTAAGGTGAGAAAGGAAATGTCTTCAAATAAGAACTAGACAGATAAGCATTCTCAGAAACTTATTTGTGATGTGTGTCCTCAACTAACAGAGTTGAACCTTTCTTTTGACACAGCAGTTTGGAAACACTCTTTTTGTAGAATCTACAAGTGGATATTTTGAGAGCATTGAAAATTTCGTTGGAAACGGGAAAACCTTCATATAAAATCTAGACAGAAGCATTCTCAGAAACTTCTTTGTAATGTTTGCATTCAACTCATAGAGTTGAACATTCCCTTTCATACAGCAGGTTTGAAACACTCTTTTTGTAGTATGTGGAAGTGGACATTTGGAGCGCTTTGAGGCCTACGGTGAAAAAGGAAATATCTTCCCATAAAAACTAGACAGAAGCATTCTCAGAAACTTGTTTGTGACGTGTGTATTCAACTAACAGAGTTGAACCTTTCTTTTTACAGAGCAGCTTTGAAACCCTGTTTTTGTGGAATCTGCAATTGGAAATTTCGATAGTTCTGAGGATTTCGTTGGAAACGGGATTACAAATAGAAAGTAGACAGCAGCATTCTCAGAAACTGCTTTGTGATGTTTGCATTCAAGTCACATAGTTGAACATTCCCTTTCATAGAGCAGGTTTGAATCACTGTTTCTGTAGTATCTGGAAGTGGGTATTTCGAGCGCTTTCAGGCCTAAGGTGAGAAAGGAAATGTCTTCAAATAAGAACTAGACAGAAGCATTCTCAGAAACTTATTTGTGATGTGTGTCCTCAACTAACAGAGTTGAACCTTTGTTTTGACACAGCAGTTTGGAAACACTCTTTTTGTAGAATCTACAAGTGGATATTTTGAGAGCATTGAAAATTTCGTTGGAAGCGGGAAAACCTTCATATAAAATCTAGACAGAAGCATTCTCAGAAACTTCTTTGTAATGTTTGCATTCAACTCATAGAGTTGAACATTCCCTTTCATACAGCAGGTTTGAAACACTCTTTTTGTAGTATGTGGAAGTGGACATTTGGAGCGCTTTGAGGCCTACGGTGAAAAAGGAAATATCTTCCCATAAAAACTAGACAGAAGCATTCTCAGAAACTTGTTTGTGACGTGTGTATTCAACTAACAGAGTTGAACCTTTCTTTTTACAGAGCAGCTTTGAAACCCTGTTTCTGTGGAATCTGCAATTGGAAATTTCGATAGTTCTGAGGATTTCGTTGGAAACGGGATTACAAATTGAAAGTAGACAGCAGCATTCTCAGAAACTGCTTTGTGATGTTTGCATTCAAGTCACATAGTTGAACATTCCCTTTCATAGAGCAGGTTTGAATCACTGTTTCTGTAGTATCTGGAAGTGGGTATTTCGAGCGCTTTCAGGCCTAAGGTGAGAAAGGAAATGTCTTCAAATAAGAACTAGACAGAAGCATTCTCAGAAACTTATTTGTGATGTGTGTCCTCACCTAACAGAGATGAACCTTTGTTTTGATACAGCAGTTTGGAAACACTCTTTTTGTAGAATCTACAAGAGGATATTTTGAGAGCATTGAAAATTTCGTTGGAAGCGGGAAAACCTTCATATAAAATCTAGACAGCAGCATTCTCAGAAACTTCTTTGTGATGTTTGCATTCAACTCATAGAGTTGAACATTCCCATTCATACAGCAGGTTTGAGACACTCTTTGTATAGCATGTGGAAATGGATATTTGGAGCGCTTTGAGGCTTATGGTGAAGAAGGAAATATCTTCCCAAAAAAACTAGACGAAAGCATTCTCGGAATCTTGTTTGCCATGTGTGTACTCAACTAACAGAGTTGAACCTATCTTTTGACAGAGCAGTTTTGAGACACTCTTTTTGTGGAATCTGCAAGTGGATATTTGGATAGCTTCGAGGATTTCGTTGGAAACGGGAATATCCTCATTTAAAATCTAGACGGAAGCATTCTCAGAACCTGCTTTGTGATGTTTGCATTCAACTCACAGAGCTGAACATTCCCGTTCATAGAGCAGGTTTGAAACACTCTTTCTGTACTATCTGGAAGTGGACATTTCGAGCGCTTTCAGGCCTATGGTGAAAAAGGAAACATCTTCAAATAAAAACTAGACAGAAGCATTCTCAGAAACTTATTTGTGATGTGTGTCCTCAACTCACAGAGTTCAACCTTTGTTTTGATACAGCAGTTTGGAAACACTCTTTTTGTAGAATCTACAAATGGATATTTGGAGACCTTTGAAAATTTCGTTGGACACGGGAATATCTTCATATAAAATCTAGACAAAAGCATTCTCAGAATCTTCTTTGTGATGTTTGCATTCAACTCATAGAGTTGAACATTCCCTTTCATACAGCACGTTTGAAACACACTTTGTGGAGTATGTGGAAATGGACATTTCGAGCACTCTTAGGCCTAAGGTGAAAAGGGAAATATCTTCAAATAAAAACTAGTCAGCAGCATTCTCAGAAACCTCTTTGTGATGTGTGTACTCAACTAACAGAGTTGAACCTTCCTTTTCACAGAGCAGTTTGGAAACACTCTTTTTGTGGCATTTGCAAGTGGATATTTGGATAGCTTTGAGGATTTCGTTGGAAACGGGAATATTTTCATATAAAATCTAGACAGAAGCATTCTCAGAATCTTCTTTGTGATGTATGCCCTCAATTCACAGAGTTGAACCTTTGTTTGGATACAGCATTTTGGAAACATTCCTTTTGTAGAATCTGCAAGTTGATATTTGGATAGCTTTGAGGATTTCGTTGGAAACGGGAATATCTACATATAAAATCTAGACAGAAGCATTCTCAGAAACCTCTTTGTAATGCTTGCATTCAACTCATAGGTTTCAACATTCCCTATCATAGAGCAGGTTTGAAACACTCTTTTTGTAGTATGTGGAAGTGGACATTTGGAGCGCTTTGAGTTCTACGGTGAAAAAGGAAATATCTTCCCATAAAAACTAGACAGAAGCATTCTCAGAAACTTGTTTGTGACGTGTGTATTCAACTAACAGAGTTGAACCTTTCTTTTTACAGAGCAGCTTTGAAACACGCTTTTTGTGGAATCTGCAATTGGAAATTTCGATAGTTCTGAGGATTTCGTTGGAAACGGGATTACAAATAGAAAGTAGACAGCAGCATTCTCAGAAACTGCTTTGTGATGTTTGCATTCAAGTCACCTAGTTGAACATTCCCTTTCATAGAGCAGGTTTGAATCACTGTTTCTGTCGTATCTGGAAGTGGATATTTCGAGCGTTTTCAGGCCTAAGGTGAGAAAGGAAATGTCTTCAAATAAGAACTAGACAGAAGCATTCTCAGAAACTTATTTGTGATGTGTGTCCTCAACTAACAGAGTTGAACCTTTCTTTTGACACAGCAGTTTGGAAACACTCTTTTTGTAGAATCTACAAGTGGATATTTTGAGAGCATTGAAAATTTCGTTGGAAACGGGAAAACCTTCATATAAAATCTAGACAGAAGCATTCTCAGAAACTTCTTTGTAATGTTTGCATTCGACTCATAGAGTTGAACATTCCCTTTCATACAGCAGGTTTGAAACACTCTTTTTGTAGTATGTGGAAGTGGACATTTGGAGCGCTTTGAGGCCTACGGTGAAAAAGGAAATATCTTCCCATAAAAACTAGACAGAAGCATTCTCAGAAACTTGTTTGTGACGTGTGTATTCAACTAACAGAGTTGAACCTTTCTTTTTACAGAGCAGCTTTGAAACCCTGTTTCTGTGGAATCTGCAATTGGAAATTTCGATAGTTCTGAGGATTTCGTTGGAAACGGGATTACAAATAGAAAGTAGACAGCAGCATTCTCAGAAACTGCTTTGTGATGTTTGCATTCAAGTCACCTAGTTGAACATTCCCTTTCATAGAGCAGGTTTGAATCACTGTTTCTGTCGTATCTGGAAGTGGATATTTCGAGCGTTTTCAGGCCTAAGGTGAGAAAGGAAATGTCTTCAAATAAGAACTAGACAGAAGCATTCTCAGAAACTTATTTGTGATGTGTGTCCTCAACTAACAGAGTTGAACCTTTCTTTTGACACAGCAGTTTGGAAACACTCTTTTTGTAGAATCTACAAGTGGATATTTTGAGAGCATTGAAAATTTCGTTGGAAACGGGAAAACCTTCATATAAAATCTAGACAGAAGCATTCTCAGAAACTTCTTTGTAATGTTTGCATTCAACTCATAGAGTTGAACATTCCCTTTCATACAGCAGGTTTGAAACACTCTTTTTGTAGTATGTGGACGTGGACATTTGGAGCGCTTTGAGGCCTACGGTGAAAAAGGAAATATCTTCCCATAAAAACTAGACAGAAGCATTCTCAGAAACTTGTTTGTGACGTGTGTATTCAACTAACAGAGTTGAACCTTTCTTTTTACAGAGCAGCTTTGAAACCCTGTTTCTGTGGAATCTGCAATTGGAAATTTCGATAGTTCTGAGGATTTCGTTGGAAACGGGATTACAAATAGAAAGTAGACAGCAGCATTCTCAGAAACTGCTTTGTGATGTTTGCATTCAAGTCACCTAGTTGAACATTCCCTTTCATAGAGCAGGTTTGAATCACTGTTTCTGTAGTATCTGGAAGTGGGTATTTCGAGCGCTTTCAGGCCTAAGGTGAGAAAGGAAATGTCTTCAATAAGAACTAGACAGAAGCATTCTCAGAAACTTATTTGTGATGTGTGTCCTCAACTAACAGAGATGAACCTTTGTTTTGATACAGCAGTTTGGAAACACTCTTTTTGTAGAATCTACAAGAGGATATTTTGAGAGCATTGAAAATTTCGTTGGAAGCGGGTAAACCTTCATATAAAATCTAGACAGCAGCATTCTCAGAAACTTCTTTGTGATGTTTGCATTCAACTCATAGAGTTGAACATTCCCATTCATACAGCAGGTTTGAGACACTCTTTGTATAGCATGTGGAAATGGATATTTGGAGTGCTTTGAGGCCTATGGTGAAGAAGGAAATATCTTCCCAAAAAAACTAGACGAAAGCATTCTCGCAATCTTGTTTGCCATGTGTGTACTCAACTAACAGAGTTGAACCTATCTTTTGACAGAGCAGTTTTGAAACACTCTTTTTGTGGAATCTGCAAGTGGATATTTGGATAGCTTCGAGGATTTCGTTGGAAACGGGAATATCCTCATTTAAAATCTAGACGGAAGCATTCTCAGAACCTGCTTTGTGATGTTTGCATTCAACTCACAGAGCTGAACATTCCCGTTCATAGAGCAGGTTTGAAACACTCTTTCTGTACTATCTGGAAGTGGACATTTCGAGCGCTTTCAGGCCTATGGTGAAAAAGGAAACATCTTCAAATAAAAACTAGACAGAAGCATTCTCAGAAACTTATTTGTGATGTGTGTCCTCAACTCACAGAGTTCAACCTTTGTTTTGATACAGCAGTTTGGAAACACTCTTTTTGTAGAATCTACAAATGGATATTTGGAGACCTTTGAAAATTTCGTTGGACACGGGAATATCTTCATATAAAATCTAGACAAAAGCATTCTCAGAATCTTCTTTGTGATGTTTGCATTCAACTCATAGAGTTGAACATTCCCTTTCATACAGCACGTTTGAAACACACTTTGTGGAGTATGTGGAAATGGACATTTCGAGCACTCTTAGGCCTAAGGTGAAAAGGGAAATATCTTCAAATAAAAACTAGTCAGCAGCATTCTCAGAAACCTCTTTGTGATGTGTGTACTCAACTAACAGAGTTGAACCTTCCTTTTCACAGAGCAGTTTGGAAACACTCTTTTTGTGGCATTTGCAAGTGGATATTTGGATAGCTTTGAGGATTTCGTTGGAAACGGGAATATTTTCATATAAAATCTAGACAGAAGCATTCTCAGAATCTTCTTTGTGATGTATGCCCTCAATTCACAGAGTTGAACCTTTGTTTGGATACAGCATTTTGGAAACATTCCTTTTGTAGAATCTGCAAGTTGATATTTGGATAGCTTTGAGGATTTCGTTGGAAACGGGAATATCTACATATAAAATCTAGACAGAAGCATTCTCAGAAACCTCTTTGTAATGCTTGCATTCAACTCATAGGTTTCAACATTCCCTATCATAGAGCAGGTTTGAAACACTCTTTTTGTAGTATGTGGAAGTGGACATTTGGAGCGCTTTGAGGCCTACGGTGAAAAAGGAAATATCTTCCCATAAAAACTAGACAGAAGCATTCTCAGAAACTTGTTTGTGACGTGTGTATTCAACTAACAGAGTTGAACCTTTCTTTTTACAGAGCAGCTTTGAAACACGCTTTTTGTGGAATCTGCAATTGGAAATTTCGATAGTTCTGAGGATTTCGTTGGAAACGGGATTACAAATAGAAAGTAGACAGCAGCATTCTCAGAAACTGCTTTGTGATGTTTGCATTCAAGTCACCTAGTTGAACATTCCCTTTCATAGAGCAGGTTTGAATCACTGTTTCTGTCGTATCTGGAAGTGGATATTTCGAGCGTTTTCAGGCCTAAGGTGAGAAAGGAAATGTCTTCAAATAAGAACTAGACAGAAGCATTCTCAGAAACTTATTTGTGATGTGTGTCCTCAACTAACAGAGTTGAACCTTTCTTTTGACACAGCAGTTTGGAAACACTCTTTTTGTAGAATCTACAAGTGGATATTTTGAGAGCATTGAAAATTTCGTTGGAAACGGGAAAACCTTCATATAAAATCTAGACAGAAGCATTCTCAGAAACTTCTTTGTAATGTTTGCATTCAACTCATAGAGTTGAACATTCCCTTTCATACAGCAGGTTTGAAACACTCTTTTTGTAGTATGTGGAAGTGGACATTTGGAGCGCTTTGAGGCCTACGGTGAAAAAGGAAATATCTTCCCATAAAAACTAGACAGAAGCATTCTCAGAAACTTGTTTGTGACGTGTGTATTCAACTAACAGAGTTGAACCTTTCTTTTTACAGAGCAGCTTTGAAACCCTGTTTCTGTGGAATCTGCAATTGGAAATTTCGATAGTTCTGAGGATTTCGTTGGAAACGGGATTACAAATAGAAAGTAGACAGCAGCATTCTCAGAAACTGCTTTGTGATGTTTGCATTCAAGTCACCTAGTTGAACATTCCCTTTCATAGAGCAGGTTTGAATCACTGTTTCTGTAGTATCTGGAAGTGGGTATTTCGAGCGCTTTCAGGCCTAAGGTGAGAAAGGAAATGTCTTCAAATAAGAACTAGACAGAAGCATTCTCAGAAACTTATTTGTGATGTGTGTCCTCAACTAACAGAGATGAACCTTTGTTTTGATACAGCAGTTTGGAAACACTCTTTTTGTAGAATCTACAAGAGGATATTTTGAGAGCATTGAAAATTTCGTTGGAAGCGGGAAAACCTTCATATAAAATCTAGACAGCAGCATTCTCAGAAACTTCTTTGTGATGTTTGCATTCAACTCATAGAGTTGAACATTCCCATTCATACAGCAGGTTTGAGACACTCTTTGTATAGCATGTGGAAATGGATATTTGGAGCGCTTTGAGGCCTATGGTGAAGAAGGAAATATCTTCCCACAAAAACTAGACGAAAGCATTCTCGCAATCTTGTTTGCCATGTGTGTACTCAACTAACAGAGTTGAACCTATCTTTTGACAGAGCAGTTTTGAAACACTCTTTTTGTGGAATCTGCAAGTGGATATTTGGATAGCTTCGAGGATTTCGTTGGAAACGGGATTACAAATAGAAAGTAGACAGCAGCATTCTCAGAAACTGCTTTGTGATGTTTGCATTCAAGTCACCTAGTTGAACATTCCCTTTCATAGAGCAGGTTTGAATCACTCTTTCTGTCGTATCTGGAAGTGGATATTTCGAGCGTTTTCAGGCCTAAGGTGAGAAAGGAAATGTCTTCAAATAAGAACTAGACAGAAGCATTCTCAGAAACTTATTTGTGATGTGTGTCCTCAACTAACAGAGTTGAACCTTTCTTTTGACACAGCAGTTTGGAAACACTCTTTTTGTAGAATCTACAAGTGGATATTTTGAGAGCATTGAAAATTTCGTTGGAAACGGGAAAACCTTCATATAAAATCTAGACAGAAGCATTCTCAGAAACTTCTTTGTAATGTTTGCATTCAACTCATAGAGTTGAACATTCCCTTTCATACAGCAGGTTTGAAACACTCTTTTTGTAGTATGTGGAAGTGGACATTTGGAGCGCTTTGAGGCCTACGGTGAAAAAGGAAATATCTTCCCATAAAAACTAGACAGAAGCATTCTCAGAAACTTGTTTGTGACGTGTGTATTCAACTAACAGAGTTGAACCTTTCTTTTTACAGAGCAGCTTTGAAACCCTGTTTCTGTGGAATCTGCAATTGGAAATTTCGATAGTTCTGAGGATTTCGTTGGAAACGGGATTACAAATAGAAAGTAGACAGCAGCATTCTCAGTAAACTGCTTTGTGATGTTTGCATTCAAGTCACCTAGTTGAACATTCCCTTTCATAGAGCAGGTTTGAATCACTGTTTCTGTAGTATCTGGAAGTGGGTATTTCGAGCGCTTTCAGGACTAAGGTGAGAAAGGAAATGTCTTCAAATAAGAACTAGACAGAAGCATTCTCAGAAACTTATTTGTGATGTGTGTCCTCAACTAACAGAGATGAACCTTTGTTTTGATACAGCAGTTTGGAAACACTCTTTTTGTAGAATCTACAAGAGGATATTTTGAGAGCATTGAAAATTTCGTTGGAAGCGGGAAAACCTTCATATAAAATCTAGACAGCAGCATTCTCAGAAACTTCTTTGTGATGTTTGCATTCAACTCATAGAGTTGAACATTCCCATTCATACAGCAGGTTTGAGACACTCTTTGTATAGCATGTGGAAATGGATATTTGGAGCGCTTTGAGGCCTATGGTGAAGAAGGAAATATCTTCCCAAAAAAACTAGACGAAAGCATTCTCGGAATCTTGTTTGCCATGTGTGTACTCAACTAACAGAGTTGAACCTATCTTTTGACAGAGCAGTTTTGAAACACTCTTTTTGTGGAATCTGCAAGTGGATATTTGGATAGCTTCGAGGATTTCGTTGGAAACGGGAATATCCTCATTTAAAATCTAGACGGGAAGCATTCTCAGAACCTGCTTTGTGATGTTTGCATTCAACTCACAGAGCTGAACATTCCCGTTCATAGAGCAGGTTTGAAACACTCTTTCTGTACTATCTGGAAGTGGACATTTCGAGCGCTTTCAGGCCTATGGTGAAAAAGGAAACATCTTCAAATAAAAACTAGACAGAAGCATTCTCAGAAACTTATTTGTGATGTGTGTCCTCAACTCACAGAGTTCAACCTTTGTTTTGATACAGCAGTTTGGAAACACTCTTTTTGTAGAATCTACAAATGGATATTTGGAGACCTTTGAAAATTTCGTTGGACACGGGAATATCTTCATATAAAATCTAGACAAAAGCATTCTCAGAATCTTCTTTGTGATGTTTGCATTCAACTCATAGAGTTGAACATTCCCTTTCATACAGCACGTTTGAAACACACTTTGTGGAGTATGTGGAAATGGACATTTCGAGCACTCTTAGGCCTAAGGTGAAAAGGGAAATATCTTCAAATAAAAACTAGTCAGCAGCATTCTCAGAAACCTCTTTGTGATGTGTGTACTCAACTAACAGAGTTGAACCTTCCTTTTCACAGAGCAGTTTGGAAACACTCTTTTTGTGGCATTTGCAAGTGGATATTTGGATAGCTTTGAGGATTTCGTTGGAAACGGGAATATTTTCATATAAAATCTAGACAGAAGCATTCTCAGAATCTTCTTTGTGATGTATGCCCTCAATTCACAGAGTTGAACCTTTGTTTGGATACAGCATTTTGGAAACATTCCTTTTGCAGAATCTGCAAGCTGATATTTGGATAGCTTTGAGGATTTCGTTGGAAACGGGAATATCTACATATAAAATCTAGACAGAAGCATTCTCAGAAACCTCTTTGTAATGCTTGCATTCAACTCATAGGTTTCAACATTCCCTATCATAGAGCAGGTTTGAAACACTCTTTTTGTAGTATGTGGAAGTGGACATTTGGAGCGCTTTGAGGCCTACGGTGAAAAAGGAAATATCTTCCCATAAAAACTAGACAGAAGCATTCTCAGAAACTTGTTTGTGACGTGTGTATTCAACTAACAGAGTTGAACCTTTCTTTTTACAGAGCAGCTTTGAAACACGCTTTTTGTGGAATCTGCAATTGGAAATTTCGATAGTTCTGAGGATTTCGTTGGAAAAGGGATTAAAAATAGAAAGTAGACAGCAGAATTCTCAGAAACTGCTTTCTGATGTTTGCATTCAAGTCACCTAGTTGAACATTCCCTTTCATAGAGCAGGTTTGAATCACTGTTTCTGTCGTATCTGGAAGTGGATATTTCGAGCGTTTTCAGGCCTAAGGTGAGAAAGGAAATGTCTTCAAATAAGAACTAGACAGAAGCATTCTCAGAAACTTATTTGTGATGTGTGTCCTCAACTAACAGAGTTGAACCTTTCTTTTGACACAGCAGTTTGGAAACACTCTTTTTGTAGAATCTACAAGTGGATATTTTGAGAGCATTGAAAATTTCGTTGGAAACGGGAAAACCTTCATATAAAATCTAGACAGAAGCATTCTCAGAAACTTCTTTGTAATGTTTGCATTCAACTCATAGAGTTGAACATTCCCTTTCATACAGCAGGTTTGAAACACTCTTTTTGTAGTATGTGGAAGTGGACATTTGGAGCGCTTTGAGGCCTACGGTGAAAAAGGAAATATCTTCCCATAAAAACTAGACAGAAGCATTCTCAGAAACTTGTTTGTGACGTGTGTATTCAACTAACAGAGTTGAACCTTTCTTTTTACAGAGCAGCTTTGAAACCCTGTTTCTGTGGAATCTGCAATTGGAAATTTCGATAGTTCTGAGGATTTCGTTGGAAACGGGATTACAAATAGAAAGTAGACAGCAGCATTCTCAGAAACTGCTTTGTGATGTTTGCATTCAAGTCACATAGTTGAACATTCCCTTTCATAGAGCAGGTTTGAATCCCTGTTTCTGTCGTATCTGGAAGTGGGTATTTCGAGCGTTTTCAGGCCTAAGGTGAGAAAGGAAATGTCTTCAAATAAGAACTAGACAGAAGCATTCTCAGAAACTTATTTGTGATGTGTGTCCTCAACTAACAGAGATGAACCTTTGTTTTGATACAGCAGTTTGGAAACACTCTTTTTGTAGAATCTACAAGAGGATATTTTGAGAGCATTGAAAATTTCGTTGGAAGCGGGAAAACCTTCATATAAAATCTAGACAGCAGCATTCTCAGAAACTTCTTTGTGATGTTTGCATTCAACTCATAGAGTTGAACATTCCCATTCATACAGCAGGTTTGAGACACTCTTTGTATAGCATGTGGAAATGGATATTTGGAGCGCTTTGAGGCCTATGGTGAAGAAGGAAATATCTTCCCAAAAAAACTAGACGAAAGCATTCTCGGAATCTTGTTTGCCATGTGTGTACTCAACTAACAGAGTTGAACCTATCTTTTGAGAGAGCAGTTTTGAAACACTCTTTCTGTGGAATCTGCAAGTGGATATTTGGATAGCTTCGAGGATTTCGTTGGAAACGGGAATATCCTCATTTAAAATCTAGACGGAAGCATTCTCAGAACCTGCTTTGTGATGTTTGCATTCAACTCACGGAGCTGAACATTCCCGTTCATAGAGCAGGTTTGAAACACTCTTTCTGTACTATCTGGAAGTGGACATTTCGAGCGCTTTCAGGCCTATGGTGAAAAAGGAAACATCTTCAAATAAAAACTAGACAGAAGCATTCTCAGAAACTTATTTGTGATGTGTGTCCTCAACTCACAGAGTTCAACCTTTGTTTTGATACAGCAGTTTGGAAACACTCTTTTTGTAGAATCTACAAATGGATATTTGGAGACCTTTGAAAATTTCGTTGGACACGGGAATATCTTCATATAAAATCTAGACAAAAGCATTCTCAGAATCTTCTTTGTGATGTTTGCATTCAACTCATAGAGTTGAACATTCCCTCTCATACAGCACGTTTGAAACACACTTTGTGGAGTATGTGGAAATGGACATTTCGAGCACTCTTAGGCGTAAGGTGAAAAGGGAAATATCTTCAAATAAAAACTAGTCAGCAGCATTCTCAGAAACCTCTTTGTGATGTGTGTACTCAACTAACAGAGTTGAACCTTCCTTTTCACAGAGCAGTTTGGAAACACTCCTTTTGTGGCATTTGCAAGTGGATATTTGGATAGCTTTGAGGATTTCGTTGGAAACGGGAATATTTTCATATAAAATCTAGACAGAAGCATTCTCAGAATCTTCTTTGTGATGTATGCCCTCAATTCACAGAGTTGAACCTTTGTTTGGATACAGCATTTTGGAAACATTCCTTTTGTAGAATCTGCAAGTTGATATTTGGATAGCTTTGAGGATTTCGTTGGAAACGGGAATATCTACATATAAAATCTAGACAGAAGCATTCTCAGAAACCTCTTTGTAATGCTTGCATTCAACTCATAGGTTTCAACATTCCCTATCATAGAGCAGGTTTGAAACACTCTTTTTGTAGTATGTGGAAGTGGACATTTGGAGCGCTTTGAGGCCTACCGTGAAAAAGGAAATATCTTCCCATAAAAACTAGACAGAAGCATTCTCAGAAACTTGTTTGTGACGTGTGTATTCAACTAACAGAGTTGAACCTTTCTTTTTACAGAGCAGCTTTGAAACCCTGTTTCTGTGGAATCTGCAATTGGAAATTTCGATAGTTCTGAGGATTTCGTTGCAAACGGGATTACAAATAGAAAGTAGACAGCAGCATTCTCAGAAACTGCTTTGTGATGTTTGCATTCAAGTCACCTAGTTGAACATTCCCTTTCATAGAGCAGGTTTGAATCACTGTTTCTGTAGTATCTGGAAGTGGGTATTTCGAGCGCTTTCAGGCCTAAGGTGAGAAAGGAAATGTCTTCAAATAAGAACTAGACAGAAGCATTCTCAGAAACTTATTTGTGATGTGTGTCCTCAACTAACAGAGATGAACCTTTGTTTTGATACAGCAGTTTGGAAACACTCTTTTTGTAGAATCTACAAGAGGATATTTTGAGAGCATTGAAAATTTCGTTGGAAGCGGGAAAACCTTCATATAAAATCTAGACAGCAGCATTCTCAGAAACTTCTTTGTGATGTTTGCATTCAACTCATAGAGTTGAACATTCCCATTCATACAGCAGGTTTGAGACACTCTTTGTATAGCATGTGGAAATGGATATTTGGAGCGCTTTGAGGCCTATGGTGAAGAAGGAAATATCTTCCCAAAAAAACTAGACGAAAGCATTCTCGCAATCTTGTTTGCCATGTGTGTACTCAACTAACAGAGTTGAACCTATCTTTTGACAGAGCAGTTTTGAAACACTCTTTTTGTGGAATCTGCAAGTGGATATTTGGATAGCTTCGAGGATTTCGTTGGAAACGGGAATATCCTCATTTAAAATCTAGACGGAAGCATTCTCAGAACCTGCTTTGTGATGTTTGCATTCAACTCACAGAGCTGAACATTCCCGTTCATAGAGCAGGTTTGAAACACTCTTTCTGTACTATCTGGAAGTGGACATTTCGAGTGCTTTCAGGCCTATGGTGAAAAAGGAAACATCTTCAAATAAAAACTAGACAGAAGCATTCTCAGAAACTTATTTGTGATGTGTGTCCTCAACTCACAGAGTTCAACCTTTGTTTTGATACAGCAGTTTGGAAACACTCTTTTTGTAGAATCTACAAATGGATATTTGGAGACCTTTGAAAATTTCGTTGGACACGGGAATATCTTCATATAAAATCTAGACAAAAGCATTCTCAGAATCTTCTTTGTGATGTTTGCATTCAACTCATAGAGTTGAACATTCCCTTTCATACAGCACGTTTGAAACACACTTTGTGGAGTATGTGGAAATGGACATTTCGAGCACTCTTAGGCCTAAGGTGAAAAGGGAAATATCTTCAAATAAAAACTAGTCAGCAGCATTCTCAGAAACCTCTTTGTGATGTGTGTACTCAACTAACAGAGTTGAACCTTCCTTTTCACAGAGCAGTTTGGAAACACTCTTTTTGTGGCATTTGCAAGTGGATATTTGGATAGCTTTGAGGATTTCGTTGGAAACGGGAATATTTTCATATAAAATCTAGACAGAAGCATTCTCAGAATCTTCTTTGTGATGTATGCCCTCAATTCACAGAGTTGAACCTTTGTTTGGATACAGCATTTTGGAAACATTCCTTTTGCAGAATCTGCAAGTTGATATTTGGATAGCTTTGAGGATTTCGTTGGAAACGGGAATATCTACATATAAAATCTAGACAGAAGCATTCTCAGAAACCTCTTTGTAATGCTTGCATTCAACTCATAGGTTTCAACATTCCCTATCATAGAGCAGGTTTGAAACACTCTTTTTGTAGTATGTGGAAGTGGACATTTGGAGCGCTTTGAGGCCTACCGTGAAAAAGGAAATATCTTCCCATAAAAACTAGACAGAAGCATTCTCAGAAACTTGTTTGTGACGTGTGTATTCAACTAACAGAGTTGAACCTTTCTTTTTACAGAGCAGCTTTGAAACCCTGTTTCTGTGGAATCTGCAATTGGAAATTTCGATGGTTCTGAGGATTTCGTTGGAAACGGGATTACAAATAGAAAGTAGACAGCAGCATTCTCAGAAACTGCTTTGTGATGTTTGCATTCAAGTCACCTAGTTGAACATTCCCTTTCATAGAGCAGGTTTGAATCACTGTTTCTGTCGTATCTGGAAGTGGATATTTCGAGCGTTTTCAGGCCTAAGGTGAGAAAGGAAATGTCTTCAAATAAGAACTAGACAGAAGCATTCTCAGAAACTTATTTGTGATGTGTGTCCTCAACTAACAGAGATGAACCTTTGTTTTGATACAGCAGGTTGGAAACACTCTTTTTGTAGAATCTACAAGAGGATATTTTGAGAGCATTGAAAATTTCGTTGGAAGCGGGAAAACCTTCATATAAAATCTAGACAGAAGCATTCTCAGAAACTTCTTTGTAATGTTTGCATTCAACTCATAGAGTTGAACATTCCCTTTCATACAGCAGGTTTGAAACACTCTTTTTGTAGTATGTGGAAGTGGACATTTGGAGCGCTTTGAGGCCTACGGTGAAAAAGGAAATATCTTCCCATAAAAACTAGACAGAAGCATTCTCAGAAACTTGTTTGTGACGTGTGTATTCAACTAACAGAGTTGAACCTTTCTTTTTACAGAGCAGCTTTGAAACCCTGTTTCTGTGCAATCTGCAATTGGAAATTTCGATAGTTCTGAGGATTTCGTTGGAAACGGGATTACAAATAGAAAGTAGACAGCAGCATTCTCAGAAACTGCTTTGTGATGTTTGCATTCAAGTCACCTAGTTGAACATTCCCTTTCATAGAGCAGGTTTGAATCACTGTTTCTGTAGTATCTGGAAGTGGGTATTTCGAGCGCTTTCAGGCCTAAGGTGAGAAAGGAAATGTCTTCAAATAAGAACTAGACAGAAGCATTCTCAGAAACTTATTTGTGATGTGTGTCCTCAACTAACAGAGATGAACCTTTGTTTTGATACAGCAGTTTGGAAACACTCTTTTTGTAGAATCTACAAGAGGATATTTTGAGAGCATTGAAAATTTCGTTGGAAGCGGGAAAACCTTCATATAAAATCTAGACAGCAGCATTGTCAGAAACTTCTTTGTGATGTTTGCATTCAACTCATAGAGTTGAACATTCCCATTCATACAGCAGGTTTGAGACACTCTTTGTATAGCATGTGGAAATGGATATTTGGAGCGCTTTGAGGCCTATGGTGAAGAAGGAAATATCTTCCCAAAAAAACTAGATGAAAGCATTCTCGGAATCTTGTTTGCCATGTGTGTACTCAACTAACAGAGTTGAACCTATCTTTTGACAGAGCAGTTTTGAAACACTCTTTTTGTGGAATCTGCAAGTGGATATTTGGATAGCTTCGAGGATTTCGTTGGAAACGGGAATATCCTCATTTAAAATCTAGACGGAAGCATTCTCAGAACCTGCTTTGTGATGTTTGCATTCAACTCACAGAGCTGAACATTCCCGTTCATAGAGCAGGTTTGAAACACTCTTTCTGTACTATCTGGAAGTGGACATTTCGAGCGCTTTCAGGCCTATGGTGAAAAAGGAAACATCTTCAAATAAAAACTAGACAGAAGCATTCTCAGAAACTTATTTGTGATGTGTGTCCTCAACTCACAGAGTTCAACCTTTGTTTTGATACAGCAGTTTGGAAACACTCTTTTTGTAGAATCTACAAATGGATATTTGGAGACCTTTGAAAATTTCGTTGGACACGGGAATATCTTCATATAAAATCTAGACAAAAGCATTCTCAGAATCTTCTTTGTGATGTTTGCATTCAACTCATAGAGTTGAACATTCCCTTTCATACAGCACGTTTGAAACACACTTTGTGGAGTATGTGGAAATGGACATTTCGAGCACTCTTAGGCCTAAGGTGAAAAGGGAAATATCTTCAAATAAAAACTAGTCAGCAGCATTCTCAGAAACCTCTTTGTGATGTGTGTCCTCAACTAACAGAGTTGAACCTTCCTTTTCACAGAGCAGTTTGGAAACACTCTTTTTGTGGCATTTGCAAGTGGATATTTGGATAGCTTTGAGGATTTCGTTGGAAACGGGAATATTTTCATATAAAATCTAGACAGAAGCATTCTCAGAATCTTCTTTGTGATGTATGCCCTCAATTCACAGAGTTGAACCTTTGTTTGGATACAGCATTTTGGAAACATTCCTTTTGTAGAATCTGCAAGTTGATATTTGGATAGCTTTGAGGATTTCGTTGGAAACGGGAATATCTACATATAAAATCTAGACAGAAGCATTCTCAGAAACCTCTTTGTAATGCTTGCATTCAACTCATAGGTTTCAACATTCCCTATCATAGAGCAGGTTTGAAACACTCTTTTTGTAGTATGTGGAAGTGGACATTTGGAGCGCTTTGAGGCCTACGGTGAAAAAGGAAATATCTTCCCATAAAAACTAGACAGAAGCATTCTCAGAAACTTGTTTGTGACGTGTGTATTCAACTAACAGAGTTGAACCTTTCTTTTTACAGAGCAGCTTTGAAACACGCTTTTTGTGGAATCTGCAATTGGAAATTTCGATAGTTCTGAGGATTTCGTTGGAAACGGGATTACAAATAGAAAGTAGACAGCAGCATTCTCAGAAACTGCTTTGTGATGTTTGCATTCAAGTCACCTAGTTGAACATTCCCTTTCATAGAGCAGGTTTGAATCACTGTTTCTGTCGTATCTGGAAGTGGATATTTCGAGCGTTTTCAGGCCTAAGGTGAGAAAGGAAATGTCTTCAAATAAGAACTAGACAGAAGCATTCTCAGAAACTTATTTGTGATGTGTGTCCTCAACTAACAGAGTTGAACCTTTCTTTTGACACAGCAGTTTGGAAACACTCTTTTTGTAGAATCTACAAGTGGATATTTTGAGAGCATTGAAAATTTCGTTGGAAACGGGAAAACCTTCATATAAAATCTAGAACAGAAGCATTCTCAGAAACTTCTTTGTAATGTTTGCATTCAACTCATAGAGTTGAACATTCCCTTTCATACAGCAGGTTTGAAACACTCTTTTTGTATTATGTGGAAGTGGACATTTGGAGCGCTTTGAGGCCTACGGTGAAAAAGGAAATATCTTCCCATAAAAACTAGACAGAAGCATTCTCAGAAATTTGTTTGTGACGTGTGTATTCAACTAACAGAGTTGAACCTTTCTTTTTACAGAGCAGCTTTGAAACCCTGTTTTTGTGGAATCTGCAATTGGAAATTTCGATAGTTCTGAGGATTTCGTTGGAAACGGGATTACAAATAGAAAGTAGACAGCAGCATTCTCAGAAACTGCTTTCTGATGTTTGCATTCAAGTCACATAGTTGAACATTCCCTTTCATAGGGCAGGTTTGAATCACTATTTCTGTAGTATCTGGAAGTGGATATTTCGAGCGCTTTCAGGCCTAAGGTGAGAAAGGAAATATCTTCAAATAAGAACTAGACAGAAGCATTCTCAGAAACTTATTTGTGATGTGTGTCCTCAACTAACAGAGTTGAACCTTTGTTTTGACACAGCAGTTTGGAAACACTCTTTTTGTAGAATCTACAAGTGGATATTTTGAGAGCATTGAAAATTTCGTTGGAAGCGGGAAAACCTTCATATAAAATCTAGACAGAAGCATTCTAAGAAACTACTTTGTAATGTTTGCATTCAACTCATAGAGTTGAACATTCCGTTTCATACAGCAGGTTTGAAACACTCTTTTTGTAGTATGTGGAAATGGACATTTGGAGCCCTTTGAGGCCTACGGTGAAAAAGGAAATATCTTCCCATAAAAACTAGACAGAAGCATTCTCAGAAACTTGTTTGTGACGTGTGTATTCAACTAACAGAGTTGAACCTTTCTTTTTACAGGGCAGCTTTGAAACACTCTTTTTGTGGAATCTGCAATTGGAAATTTCGATAGTTCTGAGGATTTCGTTGGAAACGGGATTACAAATAGAAAGTAGACAGCAGCATTCTCAGAAACTGCTTTGTGATGTTTGCATTCAAGTCACCTAGTTGAACATTCCCTTTCATAGAGCAGGTTTGAATCACTGTTTCTGTTGTATCTGGAAGTGGGTATTTCGAGCGCTTTCAGGCCTAAGGTGAGAAAGGAAATGTCTTCAAATAAGAACTAGACAGAAGCATTCTCAGAAACTTATTTGTGATGTGTGTCCTCAACTAACAGAGTTGAACCTTTCTTTTGACACAGCAGTTTGGAAACACTCTTTTTGTAGAATCTACAAGTGGATATTTTGAGAGCATTGAAAATTTCGTTGGAAACGGGAAAACCTTCATATAAAATCTAGACAGAAGCATTCTCAGAAACTTCTTTGTAATGTTTGCATTCAACTCATAGAGTTGAACATTCCCTTTCATACAGCAGGTTTGAAACACTCTTTTTGTAGTATGTGGACGTGGACATTTGGAGCGCTTTGAGGCCTACGGTGAAAAAGGAAATATCTTCCCATAAAAACTAGACAGAAGCATTCTCAGAAACTTGTTTGTGACGTGTGTATTCAACTAACAGAGTTGAACCTTTCTTTTTACAGAGCAGCTTTGAAACCCTGTTTCTGTGGAATCTGCAATTGGAAATTTCGATAGTTCTGAGGATTTCGTTGGAAACGGGATTACAAATAGAAAGTAGACAGCAGCATTCTCAGTAAACTGCTTTGTGATGTTTGCATTCAAGTCACCTAGTTGAACATTCCCTTTCATAGAGCAGGTTTGAATCACTGTTTCTGTCGTATCTGGAAGTGGGTATTTCGAGCGCTTTCAGGCCTAAGGTGAGAAAGGAAATGTCTTCAAATAAGAACTAGACAGAAGCATTCTCAGAAACTTATTTGTGATGTGTGTCCTCACCTAACAGAGATGAACCTTTGTTTTGATACAGCAGTTTGGAAACACTCTTTTTGTAGAATCTACAAGAGGATATTTTGAGAGCATTGAAAATTTCGTTGGAAGCGGGAAAACCTTCATATAAAATCTAGACAGCAGCATTCTCAGAAACTTCTTTGTGATGTTTGCATTCAACTCATAGAGTTGAACATTCCCATTCATACAGCAGGTTTGAGACACTCTTTGTATAGCATGTGGAAATGGATATTTGGAGCGCTTTGAGGCCTATGGTGAAGAAGGAAATATCTTCCCAAAAAAACTAGACGAAAGCATTCTCGGAATCTTGTTTGCCATGTGTGTACTCAACTAACAGAGTTGAACCTATCTTTTGACAGAGCAGTTTTGAAACACTCTTTTTGTGGAATCTGCAAGTGGATATTTGGATAGCTTCGAGGATTTCGTTGGAAACGGGAATATCCTCATTTAAAATCTAGACGGAAGCATTCTCAGAACCTGCTTTGTGATGTTTGCATTCAACTCACAGAGCTGAACATTCCCGTTCATAGAGCAGGATTGAAACACTCTTTCTGTACTATCTGGAAGTGGACATTTCGAGCGCTTTCAGGCCTATGGTGAAAAAGGAAACATCTTCAAATAAAAACTAGACAGAAGCATTCTCAGAAACTTATTTGTGATGTGTGTCCTCAACTCACAGAGTTCAACCTTTGTTTTGATACAGCAGTTTGGAAACAATCTTTATTTGGAGACCTTTGAAAATTTCGTTGGACACGGGAATATCTTCATATAAAATCTAGACAAAAGCATTCTCAGAATCTTCTTTGTGATGTTTGCATTCAACTCATAGAGTTGAACATTCCCTTTCATACAGCACGTTTGAAACACACTTTGTGGAGTATGTGGAAATGGACATTTCGAGCACTCTTAGGCCTAAGGTGAAAAGGGAAATATCTTCAAATAAAAACTAGTCAGCAGCATTCTCAGAAACCTCTTTGTGATGTGTGTACTCAACTAACAGAGTTGAACCTTCCTTTTCACAGAGCAGTTTGGAAACACTCTTTTTGTGGCATTTGCAAGTGGATATTTGGATAGCTTTGAGGATTTCGTTGGAAACGGGAATATTTTCATATAAAATCTAGACAGAAGCATTCTCAGAATCTTCTTTGTGATGTATGCCCTCAATTCACAGAGTTGAACCTTTGTTTGGATACAGCATTTTGGAAACATTCCTTTTGTAGAATCTGCAAGTTGATATTTGGATAGCTTTGAGGATTTCGTTGGAAACGGGAATATCTACATATAAAATCTAGACAGAAGCATTCTCAGAAACTTCTTTGTAATGCTTGCATTCAACTCATAGGTTTCAACATTCCCTATCATAGAGCAGGTTTGAAACACTCTTTTTGTAGTATGTGGAAGTGGACATTTGGAGCGCTTTGAGGCCTACGGTGAAAAAGGAAATATCTTCCCATAAAAACTAGACAGAAGCATTCTCAGAAACTTGTTTGTGACGTGTGTATTCAACTAACAGAGTTGAACCTTTCTTTTTACAGAGCAGCTTTGAAACACGCTTTTTGTGGAATCTGCAATTGGAAATTTCGATAGTTCTGAGGATTTCTTTGGAAACGGGATTACAAATAGAAAGTAGACAGCAGCATTCTCAGAATCTGCTTTGTGATGTTTGCATTCAAGTCACCTAGTTGAACATTCCCTTTCATAGAGCAGGTTTGAATCACTGTTTCTGTCGTATCTGGAAGTGGATATTTCGAGCGTTTTCAGGCCTAAGGTGAGAAAGGAAATGTCTTCAAATAAGAACTAGACAGAAGCATTCTCAGAAACTTATTTGTGATGTGTGTCCTCAACTAACAGAGTTGAACCTTTCTTTTGACACAGCAGTTTGGAAACACTCTTTTTGTAGAATCTACCAGTGGATATTTTGAGAGCATTGAAAATTTCGTTGGAAACGGGAAAACCTTCATATAAAATCTAGACAGAAGCATTCTCAGAAACTTCTTTGTAATGTTTGCATTCAACTCATAGAGTTGAACATTCCCTTTCATACAGCAGGTTTGAAACACTCTTTTTGTAGTATGTGGAAGTGGACATTTGGAGCGCTTTGAGGCCTACGGTGAAAAAGGAAATATCTTCCCATAAAAACTAGACAGAAGCATTCTCAGAAACTTGTTTGTGACGTGTGTATTCAACTAACAGAGTTGAACCTTTCTTTTTACAGAGCAGCTTTGAAACCCTGTTTCTGTGGAATCTGCAATTGGAAATTTTGATAGTTCTGAGGATTTCGTTGGAAACGGGATTACAAATAGAAAGTAGACAGCAGCATTCTCAGAAACTGCTTTGTGATGTTTGCATTCAAGTCACCTAGTTGAACATTCCCTTTCATAGAGCAGGTTTGAATCACTGTTTCTGTAGTATCTGGAAGTGGGTATTTCGAGCGCTTTCAGGCCTAAGGTGAGAAAGGAAATGTCTTCAAATAAGAACTAGACAGAAGCATTCTCAGAAACTTATTTGTGATGTGTGTCCTCAACTAACAGAGATGAACCTTTGTTTTGATACAGCAGTTTGGAAACACTCTTTTTGTAGAATCTACAAGAGGATATTTTGAGAGCATTGAAAATTTCGTTGGAAGTGGGAAAACCTTCATATAAAATCTAGACAGCAGCATTCTCAGAAACTTCTTTGTGATGTTTGCATTCAACTCATAGAGTTGAACATTCCCATTCATACAGCAGGTTTGAGACACTCTTTGTATAGCATGTGGAAATGGATATTTGGAGCGCTTTGAGGCCTATGGTGAAGAAGGAAATATCTTCCCAAAAAAACTAGACGAAAGCATTCTCGGAATCTTGTTTGCCATGTGTGTACTCAACTAACAGAGTTGAACCTATCTTTTGACAGAGCAGTTTTGAAACACTCTTTTTGTGGAATCTGCAAGTGGATATTTGGATAGCTTCGAGGATTTCGTTGGAAACGGGAATATCCTCATTTAAAATCTAGACGGAAGCATTCTCAGAACCTGCTTTGTGATGTTTGCATTCAACTCACAGAGCTGAACATTCCCGTTCATAGAGCAGGTTTGAAACACTCTTTCTGTACTATCTGGAAGTGGACATTTCGAGCGCTTTCAGGCCTATGGTGAAAAAGGAAACATCTTCAAATAAAAACTAGACAGAAGCATTCTCAGAAACTTATTTGTGATGTGTGTCCTCAACTCACAGAGTTCAACCTTTGTTTTGATACAGCAGTTTGGAAACACTCTTTTTGTAGAATCTACAAATGGATATTTGGAGACCTTTGAAAATTTCGTTGGACACGGGAATATCTTCATATAAAATCTAGACAAAAGCATTCTCAGAATCTTCTTTGTGATGTTTGCATTCAACTCATAGAGTTGAACATTCCCTTTCATACAGCACGTTTGAAACACACTTTGTGGAGTATGTGGAAATGGACATTTCGAGCACTCTTAGGCCTAAGGTGAAAAGGGAAATATCTTCAAATAAAAACTAGTCAGCAGCATTCTCAGAAACCTCTTTGTGATGTGTGTCCTCAACTAACAGAGTTGAACCTTTCCTTTGACACAGCAGATTGGAAACACTCTTTTTGTAGAATCTACAAGTGGATACTTTGAGAGCATTGAAAATTTCCTTGGAAACGGGAAAACCTTCATATAAAATCTAGACAGAAGCATTCTCAGAAACTTCTTTGTAATGTTTGCATTCAAGTCATAGAGTTGAACATTCCCTTTCATACAGCAGGTTTGAAACACTCTTTTTGTAGTATGTGGAAGTGGACATTTGGAGCGCTTTGAGGCCTACGGTGAAAAAGGAAATATCTTCCCATAAAAACTAGACAGAAGCATTCTCAGAAACTTGTTTGTGACGTGTGTATTCAACTAACAGAGTTGAACCTTTCTTTTTACAGAGCAGCTTTGAAACCCTGTTTCTGTGGAATCTGCAATTGGAAATTTCGATAGTTCTGAGGATTTCGTTGGAAACGGGATTACAAATAGAAAGTAGACAGCAGCATTCTCAGAAACTGCTTTGTGATGTTTGCATTCAACTCACAGAGCTGAACATTCACTTTCATAGAGCAGGTATGAATCACTGTTTCTGTAGTATCTGGAAGTGGGTATTTCGAGCGCTTTCAGGCCTAAGGTGAGAAAGGAAATGTCTTCAAATAAGAACTAGACAGAAACATTCTCAGAAACTTATTTGTGATGTGTGTCCTGAACTAACAGAGATGAACCTTTGTTTTGATACAGCAGTTTGGAAACACTCTTTTTGTAGAATCTACAAGAGGATATTTTGAGAGCATTGAAAATTTCGTTGGAAGCGGGAAAACCTTCATATAAAATCTAGACAGCAGCATTCTCAGAAACTTCTTTGTGATGTTTGCATTCAACTCATAGAGTTGAACATTCCCATTCATACAGCAGGTTTGAGACACTCTTTGTATAGCATGTGGAAATGGATATTTGGAGCGCTTTGAGGCCTATGGTGAAGAAGGAAATATCTTCCCAAAAAAACTAGACGAAAGCATTCTCGGAATCTTGTTTGCCATGTGTGTACTCAACTAACAGAGTTGAACCTATCTTTTGACAGAGCAGTTTTGAAACACTCTTTTTGTGGAATCTGCAAGTGGATATTTGGATAGCTTCGAGGATTTCGTTGGAAACGGGAATATCCTCATTTAAAATCTAGACGGAAGCATTCTCAGAACCTGCTTTGTGATGTTTGCATTCAACTCACAGAGCTGAACATTCCCGTTCACAGAGCAGGTTTGAAACCCTCTTTCTGTACTATCTGGAAGTGGACATTTCGAGCGCTTTCAGGCCTATGGTGAAAAAGGAAACATCTTCAAATAAAAACTAGACAGAAGCATTCTCAGAAACTTATTTGTGATGTGTGTCCTCAACTCACAGAGTTCAACCTTTGTTTTGATACAGCAGTTTGGAAACACTCTTTTTGTAGAATCTACAAATGGATATTTGGAGACCTTTGAAAATTTCGTTGGACACGGGAATATCTTCATATAAAATCTAGACAAAAGCATTCTCAGAATCTTCTTTGTGATGTTTGCATTCAACTCATAGAGTTGAACATTCCCTCTCATACAGCACGTTTGAAACACACTTTGTGGAGTATGTGGAAATGGACATTTCGAGCACTCTTAGGCCTAAGGTGAAAAGGGAAATATCTTCAAATAAAAACTAGTCAGCAGCATTCTCAGAAACCTCTTTGTGATGTGTGTACTCAACTAACAGAGTTGAACCTTCCTTTTCACAGAGCAGTTTGGAAACACTCTTTTTGTGGCATTTGCAAGTGGATATTTGGATAGCTTTGAGGATTTCGTTGGAAACGGGAATATTTTCATATAAAATCTAGACAGAAGCATTCTCAGAATCTTCTTTGTGATGTATGCCCTCAATTCACAGAGTTGAACCTTTGTTTGGATACAGCATTTTGGAAACATTCCTTTTGTAGAATCTGCAAGTTGATATTTGGATAGCTTTGAGGATTTCGTTGGAAACGGGAATATCTACATATAAAATCTAGACAGAAGCATTCTCAGAAACCTCTTTGTAATGCTTGCATTCAACTCATAGGTTTCAACATTCCCTATCATAGAGCAGGTTTGAAACACTCTTTTTGTAGTATGTGGAAGTGGACATTTGGAGCGCTTTGAGGCCTACGGTGAAAAAGGAAATATCTTCCCATAAAAACTAGACAGAAGCATTCTCAGAAACTTGTTTGTGACGTGTGTATTCAACTAACAGAGTTGAACCTTTCTTTTTACAGAGCAGCTTTGAAACACGCTTTTTGTGGAATCTGCAATTGGAAATTTCGATAGTTCTGAGGATTTCGTTGGAAACGGGATTACAAATAGAAAGTAGACAGCAGCATTCTCAGAAACTGCTTTGTGATGTTTGCATTCAAGTCACCTAGTTGAACATTCCGTTTCATAGAGCAGGTTTGAATCACTGTTTCTGTCGTATCTGGAAGTGGATATTTCGAGCGTTTTCAGGCCTAAGGTGAGAAAGGAAATGTCTTCAAATAAGAACTAGACAGAAGGATTCTCAGAAACTTATTTGTGATGTGTGTCCTCAACTAACAGAGTTGAACCTTTCTTTTGACACAGCAGTTTGGAAACACTCTTTTTGTAGAATCTACAAGTGGATATTTTGAGAGCATTGAAAATTTCGTTGGAAACGGGAAAACCTTCATATAAAATCTAGACAGAAGCATTCTCAGAAACTTCTTTGTAATGTTTGCATTCAACTCATAGAGTTGAACATTCCCTTTCATACAGCAGGTTTGAAACACTCTTTTTGTAGTATGTGGACGTGGACATTTGGAGCGCTTTGAGGCCTACGGTGAAAAAGGAAATATCTTCCCATAAAAACTAGACAGAAGCATTCTCAGAAACTTGTTTGTGACGTGTGTATTCAACTAACAGAGTTGAACCTTTCTTTTTACAGAGCAGCTTTGAAACCCTGTTTCTGTGGAATCTGCAATTGGAAATTTCGATAGTTCTGAGGATTTCGTTGGAAACGGGATTACAAATAGAAAGTAGACAGCAGCATTCTCAGAAACTGCTTTGTGATGTTTGCATTCAAGTCACCTAGTTGAACATTCCCTTTCATAGAGCAGGTTTGAATCACTGTTTCTGTAGTATCTGGAAGTGGGTATTTCGAGCGCTTTCAGGCCTAAGGTGAGAAAGGAAATGTCTTCAAATAAGAACTAGACAGAAGCATTCTCAGAAACTTATTTGTGATGTGTGTCCTCAACTAACAGAGATGAACCTTTGTTTTGATACAGCAGTTTGGAAACACTCTTTTTGTAGAATCTACAAGAGGATATTTTGAGAGCATTGAAAATTTCGTTGGAAGCGGGAAAACCTTCATATAAAATCTAGACAGCAGCATTCTCAGAAACTTCTTTGTGATGTTTGCATTCAACTCATAGAGTTGAACATTCCCATTCATACAGCAGGTTTGAGACACTCTTTGTATAGCATGTGGAAATGGATATTTGGAGCGCTTTGAGGCCTATGGTGAAGAAGGAAATATCTTCCCAAAAAAACTAGACGAAAGCATTCTCGGAATCTTGTTTGCCATGTGTGTACTCAACTAACAGAGTTGAACCTATCTTTTGACAGAGCAGTTTTGAAACACTCTTTTTGTGGAATCTGCAAGTGGATATTTGGATAGCTTCGAGGATTTCGTTGGAAACGGGAATATCCTCATTTAAAATCTAGACGGAAGCATTCTCAGAACCTGCTTTGTGATGTTTGCATTCAACTCACAGAGCTGAACATTCCCGTTCATAGAGCAGGTTTGAAACACTCTTTCTGTACTATCTGGAAGTGGACATTTCGAGCGCTTTCAGGCCTATGGTGAAAAAGGAAACATCTTCAAATAAAAACTAGACAGAAGCATTCTCAGAAACTTATTTGTGATGTGTGTCCTCAACTCACAGAGTTCAACCTTTGTTTTGATACAGCAGTTTGGAAACAATCTTTATTTGGAGACCTTTGAAAATTTCGTTGGACACGGGAATATCTTCATATAAAATCTAGACAAAAGCATTCTCAGAGTCTTCTTTGTGATGTTTGCATTCAACTGATAGAGTTGAACATTCCCTTTCATACAGCACGTTTGAAACACACTTTGTGGAGTATGTGGAAATGGACATTTCGAGCACTCTTAGGCCTAAGGTGAAAAGGGAAATATCTTCAAATAAAAACTAGTCAGCAGCATTCTCAGAAACCTCTTTGTGATGTGTGTACTCAACTAACAGAGTTGAACCTTCCTTTTCACAGAGCAGTTTGGAAACACTCTTTTTGTGGCATTTGCAAGTGGATATTTGGATAGCTTTGAGGATTTCGTTGGAAACGGGAATATTTTCATATAAAATCTAGACAGAAGCATTCTCAGAATCTTCTTTGTGATGTATGCCCTCAATTCCCAGAGTTGAACCTTTGTTTGGATACAGCATTTTGGAAACATTCCTTTTGTAGAATCTGCAAGTTGATATTTGGATAGCTTTGAGGATTTCGTTGGAAACGGGAATATCTACATATAAAATCTAGACAGAAGCATTCTCAGAAACCTCTTTGTAATGCTTGCATTCAACTCATAGGTTTCAACATTCCCTATCATAGAGCAGGTTTGAAACACTCTTTTTGTAGTATGTGGAAGTGGACATTTGGAGCGCTTTGAGGCCTACGGTGAAAAAGGAAATATCTTCCCATAAAAACTAGACAGAAGCATTCTCAGAAACTTGTTTGTGACGTGTGTATTCAACTAACAGAGTTGAACCTTTCTTTTTACAGAGCAGCTTTGAAACACGCTTTTTGTGGAATCTGCAATTGGAAATTTCGATAGTTCTGAGGATTTCGTTGGAAACGGGATTACAAATAGAAAGTAGACAGCAGCATTCTCAGAAACTGCTTTGTGATGTTTGCATTCAAGTCACCTAGTTGAACATTCCCTTTCATAGAGCAGGTTTGAATCACTGTTTCTGTCGTATCTGGAAGTGGATATTTCGAGCGTTTTCAGGCCTAAGGTGAGAAAGGAAATGTCTTCAAATAAGAACTAGACAGAAGCATTCTCAGAAACTTATTTGTGATGTGTGTCCTCAACTAACAGAGATGAACCTTTGTTTTGATACAGCAGTTTGGAAACACTCTTTTTGTAGAATCTACAAGAGGATATTTTGAGAGCATTGAAAATTTCGTTGGAAGCGGGAAAACCTTCATATAAAATCTAGACAGAAGCATTCTCAGAAACTTCTTTGTAATGTTTGCATTCAACTCATAGAGTTGAACATTCCCTTTCATACAGCAGGTTTGAAACACTCTTTTTGTAGTATGTGGAAGTGGACATTTGGAGCGCTTTGAGGCCTACGGTGAAAAAGGAAATATCTTCCCATAAAAACTAGACAGAAGCATTCTCAGAAACTTGTTTGTGACGTGTGTATTCAACTAACAGAGTTGAACCTTTCTTTTTACAGAGCAGCTTTGAAACCCTGTTTCTGTGGAATCTGCAATTGGAAATTTCGATAGTTCTGAGGATTTCGTTGGAAACGGGATTACAAATAGAAAGTAGACAGCAGCATTCTCAGAAACTGCTTTGTGATGTTTGCATTCAAGTCACCTAGTTGAACATTCCCTTTCATAGAGCAGGTTTGAATCACTGTTTCTGTAGTATGTGGAAGTGGGTATTTCGAGCGCTTTCAGGCCTAAGGTGAGAAAGGAAATGTCTTCAAATAAGAACTAGACAGAAGCATTCTCAGAAACTTATTTGTGATGTGTGTCCTCAACTAACAGAGATGAACCTTTGTTTTGATACAGCAGTTTGGAAACACTCTTTTTGTAGAATCTACAAGAGGATATTTTGAGAGCATTGAAAATTTCGTTGGAAGCGGGAAAACCTTCATATAAAATCTAGACAGCAGCATTCTCAGAAACTTCTTTGTGATGTTTGCATTCAACTCATAGAGTTGAACATTCCCATTCATACAGCAGGTTTGAGACACTCTTTGTATAGCATGTGGAAATGGATATTTGGAGCGCTTTGAGGCCTATGGTGAAGAAGGAAATATCTTCCCAAAAAAACTAGACGAAAGCATTCTCGCAATCTTGTTTGCCATGTGTGTACTCAACTAACAGAGTTGAACCTATCTTTTGACAGAGCAGTTTTGAAACACTCTTTTTGTGGAATCTGCAAGTGGATATTTGGATAGCTTCGAGGATTTCGTTGGAAACGGGAATATCCTCATTTAAAATCTAGACGGAAGCATTCTCAGAACCTGCTTTGTGATGTTTGCATTCAACTCACAGAGCTGAACATTCCCGTTCATAGAGCAGGTTTGAAACACTCTTTCTGTACTATCTGGAAGTGGACATTTCGAGCGCTTTCAGGCCTATGGTGAAAAAGGAAACATCTTCAAATAAAAACTAGACAGAAGCATTCTCAGAAACTTATTTGTGATGTGTGTCCTCAACTCACAGAGTTCAACCTTTGTTTTGATACAGCAGTTTGGAAACACTCTTTTTGTAGAATCTACAAATGGATATTTGGAGACCTTTGAAAATTTCGTTGGACACGGGAATATCTTCATATAAAATCTAGACAAAAGCATTCTCAGAATCTTCTTTGTGATGTTTGCATTCAACTCATAGAGTTGAACATTCCCTTTCATACAGCACGTTTGAAACACACTTTGTGGAGTATGTGGAAATGGACATTTCGAGCACTCTTAGGCCTAAGGTGAAAAGGGAAATATCTTCAAATAAAAACTAGTCAGCAGCATTCTCAGAAACCTCTTTGTGATGTGTGTACTCAACTAACAGAGTTGAACCTTCCTTTTCACGGAGCAGTTTGGAAACACTCTTTTTGTGGCATTTGCAAGTGGATATTTGGATAGCTTTGAGGATTTCGTTGGAAACGGGAATATTTTCATATAAAATCTAGACAGAAGCATTCTCAGAATCTTCTTTGTGATGTATGCCCTCAATTCACAGAGTTGAACCTTTGTTTGGATACAGCATTTTGGAAACATTCCTTTTGTAGAATCTGCAAGTTGATATTTGGATAGCTTTGAGGATTTCGTTGGAAACGGGAATATCTACATATAAAATCTAGACAGAAGCATTCTCAGAAACCTCTTTGTAATGCTTGCATTCAACTCATAGGTTTCAACATTCCCTATCATAGAGCAGGTTTGAAACACTCTTTTTGTAGTATGTGGAAGTGGACATTTGGAGCGCTTTGAGGCCTACGGTGAAAAAGGAAATATCTTCCCATAAAAACTAGACAGAAGCATTCTCAGAAACTTGTTTGTGACGTGTGTATTCAACTAACAGAGTTGAACCTTTCTTTTTACAGAGCAGCTTTGAAACACGCTTTTTGTGGAATCTGCAATTGGAAATTTCGATAGTTCTGAGGATTTCGTTGGAAACGGGATTACAAATAGAAAGTAGACAGCAGCATTCTCAGAAACTGCTTTGTGATGTTTGCATTCAAGTCACCTAGTTGAACATTCCCTTTCATAGAGCAGGTTTGAATCACTGTTTCTGTCGTATCTGGAAGTGGATATTTCGAGCGTTTTCAGGCCTAAGGTGAGAAAGGAAATGTCTTCAAATAAGAACTAGACAGAAGCATTCTCAGAAACTTATTTGTGATGTGTGTCCTCAACTAACAGAGTTGAACCTTTCTTTTGACACAGCAGTTTGGAAACACTCTTTTTGTAGAATCTACAAGTGGATATTTTGAGAGCATTGAAAATTTCGTTGGAAACGGGAAAACCTTCATATAAAATCTAGACAGAAGCATTCTCAGAAACTTCTTTGTAATGTTTGCATTCAACTCATAGAGTTGAACATTCCCTTTCATACAGCAGGTTTGAAACACTCTTTTTGTAGTATGTGGAAGTGGACATTTGGAGCGCTTTGAGGCCTACGGTGAAAAAGGAAATATCTTCCCATAAAAACTAGACAGAAGCATTCTCAGAAACTTGTTTGTGACGTGTGTATTCAACTAACAGAGTTGAACCTTTCTTTTTACAGAGCAGCTTTGAAACCCTGTTTCTGTGGAATCTGCAATTGGAAATTTCGATAGTTCTGAGGATTTCGTTGGAAACGGGATTACAAATAGAAAGTAGACAGCAGCATTCTCAGAAACTGCTTTGTGATGTTTGCATTCAAGTCACATAGTTGAACATTCCCTTTCATAGAGCAGGTTTGAATCACTGTTTCTGTAGTATCTGGAAGTGGGTATTTCGAGCGCTTTCAGGCCTAAGGTGAGAAAGGAAATGTCTTCAAATAAGAACTAGACAGAAGCATTCTCAGAAACTTATTTGTGATGTGTGTCCTCAACTAACAGAGATGAACCTTTGTTTTGATACAGCAGTTTGGAAACACTCTTTTTGTAGAATCTACAAGAGGATATTTTGAGAGCATTGAAAATTTCGTTGGAAGCGGGAAAACCTTCATATAAAATCTAGACAGCAGCATTCTCAGAAACTTCTTTGTGATGTTTGCATTCAACTCATAGAGTTGAACATTCCCATTCATACAGCAGGTTTGAGACACTCTTTGTATAGCATGTGGAAATGGATATTTGGAGCGCTTTGAGGCCTATGGTGAAGAAGGAAATATCTTCCCAAAAAAACTAGACGAAAGCATTCTCGGAATCTTGTTTGCCATGTGTGTACTCAACTAACAGAGTTGAACCTATCTTTTGACAGAGCAGTTTTGAAACACTCTTTTTGTGGAATCTGCAAGTGGATATTTGGATAGCTTCGAGGATTTTGTTGGAAACGGGAATATCCTCATTTAAAATCTAGACGGAAGCATTCTCAGAACCTGCTTTGTGATGTTTGCATTCAACTCACAGAGCTGAACATTCCCGTTCATAGAGCAGGTTTGAAACACTCTTTCTGTACTATCTGGAAGTGGACATTTCGAGCGCTTTCAGGCCTATGGTGAAAAAGGAAACATCTTCAAATAAAAACTAGACAGAAGCATTCTCAGAAACTTATTTGTGATGTGTGTCCTCAACTCACAGAGTTCAACCTTTGTTTTGATACAGCAGTTTGGAAACACTCTTTTTGTAGAATCTACAAATGGATATTTGGAGACCTTTGAAAATTTCGTTGGACACGGGAATATCTTCATATAAAATCTAGACAAAAGCATTCTCAGAGTCTTCTTTGTGATGTTTGCATTCAACTCATAGAGTTGAACATTCCCTTTCATACAGCACGTTTGAAACACACTTTGTGGAGTATGTGGAAATGGACATTTCGAGCACTCTTAGGCCTAAGGTGAAAAGGGAAATATCTTCAAATAAAAACTAGTCAGCAGCGTTCTCAGAAACCTCTTTGTGATGTGTGTACTCAACTAACAGAGTTGAACCTTCCTTTTCACAGAGCAGTTTGGAAACACTCTTTTTGTGGCATTTGCAAGTGGATATTTGGATAGCTTTGAGGATTTCGTTGGAAACGGGAATATTTTCATATAAAATCTAGACAGAAGCATTCTCAGAATCTTCTTTGTGATGTATGCCCTCAATTCACAGAGTTGAACCTTTGTTTGGATACAGCATTTTGGAAACATTCCTTTTGTAGAATCTGCAAGTTGATATTTGGATAGCTTTGAGGATTTCGTTGGAAACGGGAATATCTACATATAAAATCTAGACAGAAGCATTCTCAGAAACCTCTTTGTAATGCTTGCATTCAACTCATAGGTTTCAACATTCCCTATCATAGAGCAGGTTTGAAACACTCTTTTTGTAGTATGTGGAAGTGGACATTTGGAGCGCTTTGAGGCCTACGGTGAAAAAGGAAATATCTTCCCATAAAAACTAGACAGAAGCATTCTCAGAAACTTGTTTGTGACGTGTGTATTCAACTAACAGAGTTGAACCTTTCTTTTTACAGAGCAGCTTTGAAACACGCTTTTTGTGGAATCTGCAATTGGAAATTTCGATAGTTCTGAGGATTTCGTTGGAAACGGGATTACAAATAGAAAGTAGACAGCAGCATTCTCAGAAACTGCTTTCTGATGTTTGCATTCAAGTCACCTAGTTGAACATTCCCTTTCATAGAGCAGGTTTGAATCACTGTTTCTGTCGTATCTGGAAGTGGATATTTCGAGCGTTTTCAGGCCTAAGGTGAGAAAGGAAATGTCTTCAAATAAGAACTAGACAGAAGCATTCTCAGAAACTTATTTGTGATGTGTGTCCTCAACTAACAGAGTTGAACCTTTCTTTTGACACAGCAGTTTGGAAACACTCTTTTTGTAGAATCTACAAGTGGATATTTTGAGAGCATTGAAAATTTCGTTGGAAACGGGAAAACCTTCATATAAAATCTAGAACAGAAGCATTCTCAGAAACTTCTTTGTAATGTTTGCATTCAACTCATAGAGTTGAACATTCCCTTTCATACAGCAGGTTTGAAACACTCTTTTTGTATTATGTGGAAGTGGACATTTGGAGCGCTTTGAGGCCTACGGTGAAAA
Organism: Homo sapiens; assembly: GCF_000001405.40. Classification (NCBI taxonomy): domain Eukaryota; kingdom Metazoa; phylum Chordata; class Mammalia; order Primates; family Hominidae; genus Homo; species Homo sapiens. Next base: position 18,556,196 of record NC_000015.10, read on the forward strand.
AGGAAATATCTTCCCATAAAAACTAGACAGAAGCATTCTCAGAAACATGTTTGTGACGTGTGTATTCAACAAACAGAGTTGAACCTTTCTTTTTACAGAGCAGCTTTGAAACCCTGTTTTTGTGGAATCTGCAATTGGAAATTTCGATAGTTCTGAGGATTTCGTTGGAAACGGGATTACAAATAGAAAGTAGACAGCAGCATTCTCAGAAACTGCTTTGTGATGTTTGCATTCAACTCACATAGTTGAACATTCCCTTTCATAGATCAGGTTTGAATCACTGTTTCTGTAGTATCTGGAAGTGGGTATTACGAGCGCTTTCAGGCCTAAGGTGAGAAAGGAAATGTCTTCAAATAAGAACTAGACAGAAGCATTCTCAGAAACTTATTTCTGATGTGTGTCCTCAACTAACACAGTTGAACCTTTGTTTTGATACAGCAGTTTGGAAACACTCTTTTTGTAGAATCTACAAGAGGATATTTTGAGAGCATTGAAAATTTCGTTGGAAGCGGGAAAACCTTCATATAAAATCCAGACAGCAGCATTCTCAGAAACTTCTTTGTGATGTTTGCATTCAACTCATAGAGTTGAACGTTCCCTTTCATACAGCAGGTTTGAGACACTCTTTCTATAGTATGTGGAAATGGATATTTGGAGCGATTGAGGCCTATGGTGAAGAAGGAAATATCTTCCCAAAAAAACTAGACGAAAGCATTCTCGGAATCTTGTTTGCCATGTGTGTACTCAACTAACAGAGTTGAACCTATCTTTTGACAGAGCAGTTTTGAAACACTCTTTTTGTGGAATCTGCAAATTGATATTTGGATAGCTTCGAGGATTTCGTTGGAAACGGGAATATCCTCATATAAAATCTAGATGGAAGCATTCTCAGAACCTGCTTTGTGATGTTTGCATTCAACTCACAGAGCTGAACATTCCCGTTCATAGAGCAGGTTTGAAACACTCTTTCTGGCCTTCCTGAAAGTGGATATTTCGAGCGCTTTCAGGCCTATGGTGAAAAAGGAAATATCTTCAAATAAAAACTAGACAGAAACTTATTTGTGATGTGTGTCCTCAACTCACAGAGTTCAACCTTTGTTTTGATACAGCAGTTTGGAAACACTCTTTTTGTAGAATCTACAAATGGATATTTGGAGACCTTTGAAAATTTCGTTGGACACGGGAATATCTTCATATAAAATCTAGACAAAAGCATTCTCAGAATCTTCTTTGTGATGTTTGCATTCAACTCATAGAGTTGAACATTCCCTTTCATACAGCACGTTTGAAACACACTTTGTGGAGTATGTGGAAATGGACATTTCGAGCACTCTTAGGCCTAAGGTGAAAAGGGAAATATCTTCAAATAAAAACTAGTCAGCAGCATTCTCAGAAACCTCTTTGTGATGTGTGTACTCAACTAACAGAGTTGAACCTTCCTTTTCACAGAGCAGTTTGGAAACACTCTTTTTGTGGCATTTGCAAGTGGATATTTGGATAGCTTTGAGGATTTCGTTGGAAACGGGAATATTTTCATATAAAATCTAGACAGAAGCATTCTCAGAATCTTCTTTGTGATGTATGCCCTCAATTCACAGACTTGAACCTTTGTTTGGATACAGCATTTTGGAAACATTCCTTTTGCAGAATCTGCAAGTTGATATTTGGATAGCTTTGAGGATTTCGTTGGAAACGGGAATATCTACATATAAAATCTAGACAGAAGCATTCTCACAAACCTCTTTGTAATGCTTGCATTCAACTCATAGGTTTCAACATTCCCTATCATAGAGCAGGTTTGAAACACTCTTTTTGTAGTATGTGGAAGTGGACATTTGGAGCGCTTTGAGTTCTACGGTGAAAAAGGAAATATCTTCCCATAAAAACTAGACAGAAGCATTCTCAGAAACTTGTTTGTGACGTGTGTATTCAACTAACAGAGTTGAACCTTTCTTTTTGCAGAGCAGCTTTGAAACACGCTTTTTGTGGAATCTGCAATTGGAAATTTCGATAGTTCTGAGGATTTCGTTGGAAACGGGATTACAAATAGAAAGTAGACAGCAGCATTCTCAGAAACTTATTTGTGATGTGTGTCCTCAACTAACAGAGTTGAACCTTTCTTTTGACACAGCAGTTTGGAAACACTCTTTTTGTAGAATCTACAAGTGGATATTTTGAGAGCATTGAAAATTTCGTTGGAAACGGGAAAACCTTCATATAAAATCTAGACAGAAGCATTCTCAGAAACTTCTTTGTAATGTTTGCATTCAACTCATAGAGTTGAACATTCCCTTTCATACAGCAGGTTTGAAACACTCTTTTTGTAGTATGTGGAAGCGGACATTTGGAGCGCTTTGAGGCCTACGGTGAAAAAGGAAATATCTTCCCATAAAAACTAGACAGAAGCAATCTCAGAAACTTGTTTGTGACGTGTGTATTCAACTAACAGAGTTGAACCTATCTTTTGACAGAGCAGTTTTGAAACACTCTTTTTGTGGAATCTGCAAGTGGATATTTGGATAGCTTCGAGGATTTCTTTGGAAACGGGAATATCCTCATTTAAAATCTAGACGGAAGCATTCTCAGAACCTGCTTTGTGATGTTTGCATTCAACTCACAGAGCTGAACATTCCCGTTCATAGAGCAGGTTTGAAACACTCTTTCTGTACTATCTGGAAGTGGACATTTCGAGCGCTTTCAGGCCTATGGTGAAAAAGGAAACATCTTCAAATAAAAACTAGACAGAAGCATTCTCAGAAACTTATTTGTGATGTGTGTCCTCAACTCACAGAGTTCAACCTTTGTTTTGATACAGCAGTTTGGAAACACTCTTTTTGTAGAATCTACAAATGGATATTTGGAGACCTTTGAAAATTTCGTTGGACACGGGAATATCTTCATATAAAATCTAGACAAAAGCATTCTCAGAATCTTCTTTGTGATGTTTGCATTCAACTCATAGAGTTGAACATTCCCTTTCATACAGCACGTTTGAAACACACTTTGTGGAGTATGTGGAAATGGACATTTCGAGCACTCTTAGGCCTAAGGTGAAAAGGGAAATATCTTCAAATAAAAACTAGTCAGCAGCATTCTCAGAAACCTCTTTGTGATGTGTGTACTCAACTAACAGAGTTGAACCTTCCTTTTCACAGAGCAGTTTGGAAACACTCTTTTTGTGGCATTTGCAAGTGGATATTTGGATAGCTTTGAGGATTTCGTTGGAAACGGGAATATTTTCATATAAAATCTAGACAGAAGCATTCTCAGAATCTTCTTTGTGATGTATGCCCTCAATTCACAGAGTTGAACCTTTGTTTGGATACAGCATTTTGGAAACATTCCTTTTGCAGAATCTGCAAGTTGATATTTGGATAGCTTTGAGGATTTCGTTGGAAACGGGAATATCTACATATAAAATCTAGACAGAAGCATTCTCAGAAACCTCTTTGTAATGCTTGCATTCAACTCATAGGTTTCAACATTCCCTATCATAGAGCAGGTTTGAAACACTCTTTTTGTAGTATGTGGAAGTGGACATTTGGAGCGCTTTGAGGCCTACGGTGAAAAAGGAAATATCTTCCCATAAAAACTAGACAGAAGCATTCTCAGAAACTTGTTTGTGACGTGTGTATTCAACTAACAGAGTTGAACCTTTCTTTTTACAGAGCAGCTTTGAAACACGCTTTTTGTGGAATCTGCAATTGGAAATTTCGATAGTTCTGAGGATTTCGTTGGAAACGGGATTACAAATAGAAAGTAGACAGCAGCATTCTCAGAAACTGCTTTGTGATGTTTGCATTCAAGTCACCTAGTTGAACATTCCCTTTCATAGAGCAGGTTTGAATCACTGTTTCTGTCGTATCTGGAAGTGGATATTTCGAGCGTTTTCAGGCCTAAGGTGAGAAAGGAAATGTCTTCAAATAAGAACTAGACAGAAGCATTCTCAGAAACTTATTTGTGATGTGTGTCCTCAACTAACAGAGTTGAACCTTTCTTTTGACACAGCAGTTTGGAAACACTCTTTTTGTAGAATCTACAAGTGGATATTTTGAGAGCATTGAAAATTTCGTTGGAAACGGGAAAACCTTCATATAAAATCTAGACAGAAGCATTCTCAGAAACTTCTTTGTAATGTTTGCATTCGACTCATAGAGTTGAACATTCCCTTTCATACAGCAGGTTTGAAACACTCTTTTTGTAGTATGTGGAAGTGGACATTTGGAGCGCTTTGAGGCCTACGGTGAAAAAGGAAATATCTTCCCATAAAAACTAGACAGAAGCATTCTCAGAAACTTGTTTGTGACGTGTGTATTCAACTAACAGAGTTGAACCTTTCTTTTTACAGAGCAGCTTTGAAACCCTGTTTCTGTGGAATCTGCAATTGGAAATTTCGATAGTTCTGAGGATTTCGTTGCAAACGGGATTACAAATAGAAAGTAGACAGCAGCATTCTCAGAAACTGCTTTGTGATGTTTGCATTCAAGTCACATAGTTGAACATTCCCTTTCATAGAGCAGGTTTGAATCACTGTTTCTGTAGTATCTGGAAGTGGGTATTTCGAGCGCTTTCAGGCCTAAGGTGAGAAAGGAAATGTCTTCAAATAAGAACTAGACAGAAGCATTCTCAGAAACTTATTTGTGATGTGTGTCCTCAACTAACAGAGATGAACCTTTGTTTTGATACAGCAGTTTGGAAACACTCTTTTTGTAGAATCTACAAGAGGATATTTTGAGAGCATTGAAAATTTCGTTGGAAGCGGGAAATCCTTCATATAAAAATCTAGACAGCAGCATTCTCAGAAACTTCTTTGTGATGTTTGCATTCAACTCATAGAGTTGAACATTCCCATTCATACAGCAGGTTTGAGACACTCTTTTTATAGCATGTGGAAATGGATATTTGGAGCGCTTTGAGGCCTATGGTGAAGAAGGAAATATCTTCCCAAAAAAACTAGACGAAAGCATTCTCGCAAACTTGTTTGCCATGTGTGTACTCAACTAACAGAGTTGAACCTATCTTTTGACAGAGCAGTTTTGAAACACTCTTTTTGTGGAATCTGCAAGTGGATATTTGGATAGCTTCGAGGATTTCGTTGGAAACGGGAATATCCTCATTTAAAATCTAGACGGAAGCATTCTCAGAACCTGCTTTGTGATGTTTGCATTCAACTCACGGAGCTGAACATTCCTGTTCATAGAGCAGGTTTGAAACACTCTTTCTGTACTATCTGGAAGTGGACATTTCGAGCGCTTTCAGGCCTATGGTGAAAAAGGAAACATCTTCAAATAAAAACTAGACAGAAGCATTCTCAGAAACTTATTTGTGATGTGTGTCCTCAACTCACAGAGTTCAACCTTTGTTTTGATACAGCAGTTTGGAAACACTCTTTTTGTAGAATCTACAAATGGATATTTGGAGACCTTTGAAAATTTCGTTGGACACGGGAATATCTTCATATAAAATCTAGACAAAAGCATTCTCAGAATCTTCTTTGTGATGTTTGCATTCAACTCATAGAGTTGAACATTCCCTTTCATACAGCACGTTTGAAACACACTTTGTGGAGTATGTGGAAATGGACATTTCGAGCACTCTTAGGCCTAAGGTGAAAAGGGAAATATCTTCAAATAAAAACTAGTCAGCAGCATTCTCAGAAACCTCTTTGTGATGTGTGTACTCAACTAACAGAGTTGAACCTTCCTTTTCACAGAGCAGTTTGGAAACACTCTTTTTGTGGCATTTGCAAGTGGATATTTGGATAGCTTTGAGGATTTCGTTGGAAACGGGAATATTTTCATATAAAATCTAGACAGAAGCATTCTCAGAATCTTCTTTGTGATGTATGCCCTCAATTCACAGAGTTGAACCTTTGTTTGGATACAGCATTTTGGAAACATTCCTTTTGTAGAATCTGCAAGTTGATATTTGGATAGTTTGAGGATTTCGTTGGAAACGGGAATATCTACATATAAAATCTAGACAGAAGCATTCTCAGAAACCTCTTTGTAATGCTTGCATTCAACTCATAGGTTTCAACATTCCCTATCATAGAGCAGGTTTGAAACACTCTTTTTGTAGTATGTGGAAGTGGACATTTGGAGCGCTTTGAGGCCTACGGTGAAAAAGGAAATATCTTCCCATAAAAACTAGACAGAAGCATTCTCAGAAACTTGTTTGTGACGTGTGTATTCAACTAACAGAGTTGAACCTTTCTTTTTACAGAGCAGCTTTGAAACCCTGTTTCTGTGGAATCTGCAATTGGAAATTTCGATAGTTCTGAGGATTTCGTTGGAAACGGGATTACAAATAGAAAGTAGACAGCAGCATTCTCAGAAACTGCTTTCTGATGTTTGCATTCAAGTCACCTAGTTGAACATTCCCTTTCATAGAGCAGGTTTGAATCACTGTTTCTGTCGTATCTGGAAGTGGATATTTCGAGCGTTTTCAGGCCTAAGGTGAGAAAGGAAATGTCTTCAAATAAGAACTAGACAGAAGCATTCTCAGAAACTTATTTGTGATGTGTGTCCTCAACTAACAGAGTTGAACCTTTCTTTTGACACAGCAGTTTGGAAACACTCTTTTTGTAGAATCTACAAGTGGATATTTTGAGAGCATTGAAAATTTCGTTGGAAACGGGAAAACCTTCATATAAAATCTAGACAGAAGCATTCTCAGAAACTTCTTTGTAATGTTTGCATTCAACTCATAGAGTTGAACATTCCCTTTCATACAGCAGGTTTGAAACACTCTTTTTGTAGTATGTGGACGTGGACATTTGGAGCGCTTTGAGGCCTACGGTGAAAAAGGAAATATCTTCCCATAAAAACTAGACAGAAGCATTCTCAGAAACTTGTTTGTGACGTGTGTATTCAACTAACAGAGTTGAACCTTTCTTTTTACAGAGCAGCTTTGAAACCCTGTTTCTGTGGAATCTGCAATTGGAAATTTCGATAGTTCTGAGGATTTCGTTGCAAACGGGATTACAAATAGAAAGTAGACAGCAGCATTCTCAGAAACTGCTTTGTGATGTTTGCATTCAAGTCACCTAGTTGAACATTCCCTTTCATAGAGCAGGTTTGAATCACTGTTTCTGTAGTATCTGGAAGTGGGTATTTCGAGGGCTTTCAGGCCTAAGGTGAGAAAGGAAATGTCTTCAAATAAGAACTAGACAGAAGCATTCTCAGAAACTTATTTGTGATGTGTGTCCTCAACTAACAGAGATGAACCTTTGTTTTGATACAGCAGTTTGGAAACACTCTTTTTGTAGAATCTACAAGAGGATATTTTGAGAGCATTGAAAATTTCGTTGGAAGCGGGAAAACCTTCATATAAAATCTAGACAGCAGCATTCTCAGAAACTTCTTTGTGATGTTTGCATTCAACTCATAGAGTTGAACATTCCCATTCATACAGCAGGTTTGAGACACTCTTTGTATAGCATGTGGAAATGGATATTTGGAGCGCTTTGAGGCCTATGGTGAAGAAGGAAATATCTTCCCAAAAAAACTAGACGAAAGCATTCTCGCAATCTTGTTTGCCATGTGTGTACTCAACTAACAGAGTTGAACCTATCTTTTGACAGAGCAGTTTTGAAACACTCTTTTTGTGGAATCTGCAAGTGGATATTTGGATAGCTTCGAGGATTTCGTTGGAAACGGGAATATCCTCATTTAAAATCTAGACGGAAGCATTCTCAGAACCTGCTTTGTGATGTTTGCATTCAACTCACAGAGCTGAACATTCCCGTTCATAGAGCAGGTTTGAAACACTCTTTCTGTACTATCTGGAAGTGGACATTTCGAGCGCTTTCAGGCCTATGGTGAAAAAGGAAACATCTTCAAATAAAAACTAGACAGAAGCATTCTCAGAAACTTATTTGTGATGTGTGTCCTCAACTCACAGAGTTCAACCTTTGTTTTGATACAGCAGTTTGGAAACACTCTTTTTGTAGAATCTACAAATGGATATTTGGAGACCTTTGAAAATTTCGTTGGACACGGGAATATCTTCATATAAAATCTAGACAAAAGCATTCTCAGAGTCTTCTTTGTGATGTTTGCATTCAACTCATAGAGTTGAACATTCCCTTTCATACAGCACGTTTGAAACACACTTTGTGGAGTATGTGGAAATGGACATTTCGAGCACTCTTAGGCCTAAGGTGAAAAGGGAAATATCTTCAAATAAAAACTAGTCAGCAGCATTCTCAGAAACCTCTTTGTGATGTGTGTACTCAACTAACAGAGTTGAACCTTCCTTTTCACAGAGCAGTTTGGAAACACTCTTTTTGTGGCATTTGCAAGTGGATATTTGGATAGCTTTGAGGATTTCGTTGGAAACGGGAATATTTTCATATAAAATCTAGACAGAAGCATTCTCAGAATCTTCTTTGTGATGTATGCCCTCAATTCACAGAGTTGAACCTTTGTTTGGATACAGCATTTTGGAAACATTCCTTTTGTAGAATCTGCAAGTTGATATTTGGATAGCTTTGAGGATTTCGTTGGAAACGGGAATATCTACATATAAAATCTAGACAGAAGCATTCTCAGAAACCTCTTTGTAATGCTTGCATTCAACTCATAGGTTTCAACATTCCCTATCATAGAGCAGGTTTGAAACACTCTTTTTGTAGTATGTGGAAGTGGACATTTGGAGCGCTTTGAGGCCTACGGTGAAAAAGGAAATATCTTCCCATAAAAACTAGACAGAAGCATTCTCAGAAACTTGTTTGTGACGTGTGTATTCAACTAACAGAGTTGAACCTTTCTTTTTACAGAGCAGCTTTGAAACCCTGTTTCTGTGGAATCTGCAATTGGAAATTTCGATAGTTCTGAGGATTTCGTTGGAAACGGGATTACAAATAGAAAGTAGACAGCAGCATTCTCAGAAACTGCTTTGTGATGTTTGCATTCAAGTCACCTAGTTGAACATTCCCTTTCATAGAGCAGGTTTGAATCACTGTTTATGTAGTATCTGGAAGTGGGTATTTCGAGCGCTTTCAGGCCTAAGGTGAGAAAGGAAATGTCTTTCAAATAAGAACTAGACAGAAGCATTCTCAGAAACTTATTTGTGATGTGTGTCCTCAACTAACAGAGATGAACCTTTGTTTTGATACAGCAGTTTGGAAACACTCTTTTTGTAGAATCTACAAGAGGATATTTTGAGAGCATTGAAAATTTCGTTGGAAGCGGGAAAACCTTCATATAAAATCTAGACAGCAGCATTCTCAGAAACTTCTTTGTGATGTTTGCATTCAACTCATAGAGTTGAACATTCCCATTCATACAGCAGGTTTGAGACACTCTTTGTATAGCATGTGGAAATGGATATTTGGAGCGCTTTGAGGCCTATGGTGAAGAAGGAAATATCTTCCCAAAAAAACTAGACGAAAGCATTCTCGGAATCTTGTTTGCCATGTGTGTACTCAACTAACAGAGTTGAACCTATCTTTTGACAGAGCAGTTTTGAAACACTCTTTTTGTGGAATCTGCAAGTGGATATTTGGATAGCTTCGAGGATTTCGTTGGAAACGGGAATATCCTCATTTAAAATCTAGACGGAAGCATTCTCAGAACCTGCTTTGTGATGTTTGCATTCAACTCACAGAGCTGAACATTCCCGTTCATAGAGCAGGTTTGAAACACTCTTTCTGTACTATCTGGAAGTGGACATTTCGAGCGCTTTCAGGCCTATGGTGAAAAAGGAAACATCTTCAAATAAAAACTAGACAGAAGCATTCTCAGAAACTTATTTGTGATGTGTGTCCTCAACTCACAGAGTTCAACCTTTGTTTTGATACAGCAGTTTGGAAACACTCTTTTTGTAGAATCTACAAATGGATATTTGGAGACCTTTGAAAATTTCGTTGGACACGGGAATATCTTCATATAAAATCTAGACAAAAGCATTCTCAGAATCTTCTTTGTGATGTTTGCATTCAACTCATAGAGTTGAACATTCCCTTTCATACAGCACGTTTGAAACACACTTTGTGGAGTATGTGGAAATGGACATTTCGAGCACTCTTAGGCCTAAGGTGAAAAGGGAAATATCTTCAAATAAAAACTAGTCAGCAGCATTCTCAGAAACCTCTTTGTGATGTGTGTCCTCAACTAACAGAGTTGAACCTTTCCTTTGACACAGCAGATTGGAAACACTCTTTTTGTAGAATCTACAAGTGGATATTTTGAGAGCATTGAAAATTTCCTTGGAAACGGGAAAACCTTCATATAAAATCTAGACAGAAGCATTCTCAGAAACTTCTTTGTAATGTTTGCATTCAACTCATAGAGTTGAACATTCCCTTTCATACAGCAGGTTTGAAACACTCTTTTTGTAGTATGTGGAAGTGGACATTTGGAGCGCTTTGAGGCCTACGGTGAAAAAGGAAATATCTTCCCATAAAAACTAGACAGAAGCATTCTCAGAAACTTGTTTGTGACGTGTGTATTCAACTAACAGAGTTGAACCTTTCTTTTTACAGAGCAGCTTTGAAACCCTGTTTCTGTGGAATCTGCAATTGGAAATTTCGATAGTTCTGAGGATTTCGTTGGAAACGGGATTACAAATAGAAAGTAGACAGCAGCATTCTCAGAAACTGCTTTGTGATGTTTGCATTCAAGTCACATAGTTGAACATTCCCTTTCATAGAGCAGGTTTGAATCACTGTTTCTGTAGTATCTGGAAGTGGGTATTTCGAGCGCTTTCAGGCCTAAGGTGAGAAAGGAAATGTCTTCAAATAAGAACTAGACAGAAGCATTCTCAGAAACTTATTTGTGATGTGTGTCCTCAACTAACAGAGTTGAACCTTTCTTTTGACACAGCAGTTTGGAAACACTCTTTTTGTAGAATCTACAAGTGGATATTTTGAGAGCATTGAAAATTTCGTTGGAAGCGGGAAAACCTTCATATAAAATCTAGACAGAAGCATTCTCAGAAACTTCTTTGTGATGTTTGCATTCAACTCATAGAGTTGAACATTCCCATTCATACAGCAGGTTTGAGACACTCTTTGTATAGCATGTGGAAATGGATATTTGGAGCGCTTTGAGGCCTATGGTGAAGAAGGAAATATCTTCCCAAAAAAACTAGACGAAAGCATTCTCGGAATCTTGTTTGCCATGTGTGTACTCAACTAACAGAGTTGAACCTATCTTTTGACAGAGCAGTTTTGAAACACTCTTTTTGTGGAATCTGCAAGTGGATATTTGGATAGCTTCGAGGATTTCGTTGGAAACGGGAATATCCTCATTTAAAATCTAGACGGAAGCATTCTCAGAACCTGCTTTGTGATGTTTGCATTCAACTCACAGAGCTGAACATTCCCGTTCATAGAGCAGGTTTGAAACACTCTTTCTGTACTATCTGGAAGTGGACATTTCGAGCGCTTTCAGGCCTATGGTGAAAAAGGAAACATCTTCAAATAAAAACTAGACAGAAGCATTCTCAGAAACTTATTTGTGATGTGTGTCCTCAACTCACAGAGTTCAACCTTTGTTTTGATACAGCAGTTTGGAAACACTCTTTTTGTAGAATCTACAAATGGATATTTGGAGACCTTTGAAAATTTCGTTGGACACGGGAATATCTTCATATAAAATCTAGACAAAAGCATTCTCAGAATCTTCTTTGTGATGTTTGCATTCAACTCATAGAGTTGAACACTCCCTTTCATACAGCACGTTTGAAACACACTTTGTGGAGTATGTGGAAATGGACATTTCGAGCACTCTTAGGCCTAAGGTGAAAAGGGAAATATCTTCAAATAAAAACTAGTCAGCAGCATTCTCAGAAACCTCTTTGTGATGTGTGTACTCAACTAACAGAGTTGAACCTTCCTTTTCACAGAGCAGTTTGGAAACACTCTTTTTGTGGCATTTGCAAGTGGATATTTGGATAGCTTTGAGGATTTCGTTGGAAACGGGAATATTTTCATATAAAATCTAGACAGAAGCATTCTCAGAATCTTCTTTGTGATGTATGCCCTCAATTCACAGAGTTGAACCTTTCTTTGGATACAGCATTTTGGAAACATTCCTTTTGTAGAATCTGCAAGTTGATATTTGGATAGCTTTGAGGATTTCGTTGGAAACGGGAATATCTACATATAAAATCTAGACAGAAGCATTCTCAGAAACCTCTTTGTAATGCTTGCATTCAACTCATAGGTTTCAACATTCCCTATCATAGAGCAGGTTTGAAACACTCTTTTTGTAGTATGTGGAAGTGGACATTTGGAGCGCTTTGAGGCCTACCGTGAAAAAGGAAATATCTTCCCATAAAAACTAGACAGAAGCATTCTCAGAAACTTGTTTGTGACGTGTGTATTCAACTAACAGAGTTGAACCTTTCTTTTTACAGAGCAGCTTTGAAACCCTGTTTCTGTGGAATCTGCAATTGGAAATTTCGATAGTTCTGAGGATTTCGTTGGAAACGGGATTACAAGTAGAAAGTAGACAGCAGCATTCTCAGAAACTGCTTTGTGATGTTTGCATTCAAGTCTCATAGTTGAACATTCCCTTTCATAGAGCAGGTTTGAATCACTGTTTCTGTAGTATCTGGAAGTGGGTATTTCGAGCGCTTTCAGGCCTAAGGTGAGAAAGGAAATGTCTTCAAATAAGAACTAGACAGAAGCATTCTCAGAAACTTATTTGTGATGTGTGTCCTCAACTAACAGAGATGAACCTTTGTTTTGATACAGCAGTTTGGAAACACTCTTTTTGTAGAATCTACAAGAGGATATTTTGAGAGCATTGAAAATTTCGTTGGAAGCGGGAAAACCTTCATATAAAATCTAGACAGCAGCATTCTCAGAAACTTCTTTGTGATGTTTGCATTCAACTCATAGAGTTGAACATTCCCATTCATACAGCAGGTTTGAGACACTCTTTGTATAGTATGTGGAAATGGATATTTGGAGCGCTTTGAGGCCTATGGTGAAGAAGGAAATATCTTCCCAAAAAAACTAGACGAAAGCATTCTCGCAATCTTGTTTGCCATGTGTGTACTCAACTAACAGAGTTGAACCTATCTTTTGACAGAGCAGTTTTGAAACACTCTTTTTGTGGAATCTGCAAGTGGATATTTGGATAGCTTCGAGGATTTCGTTGGAAACGGGAATATCCTCATTTAAAATCTAGACGGAAGCATTCTCAGAACCTGCTTTGTGATGTTTGCATTCAACTCACAGAGCTGAACATTCCCGTTCATAGAGCAGGTTTGAAACACTCTTTCTGTACTATCTGGAAGTGGACATTTCGAGCGCTTTCAGGCCTATGGTGAAAAAGGAAACATCTTCAAATAAAAACTAGACAGAAGCATTCTCAGAAACTTATTTGTGATGTGTGTCCTCAACTCACAGAGTTCAACCTTTGTTTTGATACAGCAGTTTGGAAACACTCTTTTTGTAGAATCTACAAATGGATATTTGGAGACCTTTGAAAATTTCGTTGGACACGGGAATATCTTCATATAAAATCTAGACAAAAGCATTCTCAGAATCTTCTTTGTGATGTTTGCATTCAACTCATAGAGTTGAACATTCCCTTTCATACAGCACGTTTGAAACACACTTTGTGGAGTATGTGGAAATGGACATTTCGAGCACTCTTAGGCCTAAGGTGAAAAGGGAAATATCTTCAAATAAAAACTAGTCAGCAGCATTCTCAGAAACCTCTTTGTGATGTGTGTACTCAACTAACAGAGTTGAACCTTCCTTTTCACAGAGCAGTTTGGAAACACTCTTTTTGTGGCATTTGCAAGTGGATATTTGGATAGCTTTGAGGATTTCGTTGGAAACGGGAATATTTTCATATAAAATCTAGACAGAAGCATTCTCAGAATCTTCTTTGTGATGTATGCCCTCAATTCACAGAGTTGAACCTTTGTTTGGATACAGCATTTTGGAAACATTCCTTTTGTAGAATCTGCAAGTTGATATTTGGATAGCTTTGAGGATTTCGTTGGAAACGGGAATATCTACATATAAAATCTAGACAGAAGCATTCTCAGAAACCTCTTTGTAATGCTTGCATTCAACTCATAGGTTTCAACATTCCCTATCATAGAGCAGGTTTGAAACACTCTTTTTGTAGTATGTGGAAGTGGACATTTGGAGCGCTTTGAGGCCTACGGTGAAAAAGGAAATATCTTCCCATAAAAACTAGACAGAAGCATTCTCAGAAACTTGTTTGTGACGTGTGTATTCAACTAACAGAGTTGAACCTTTCTTTCTACAGAGCAGCTTTGAAACACGCTTTTTGTGGAATCTGCAATTGGAAATTTCGATAGTTCTGAGGATTTCGTTGGAAACGGGATTACAAATAGAAAGTAGACAGCAGCATTCTCAGAAACTGCTTTGTGATGTTTGCATTCAAGTCACCTAGTTGAACATTCCCTTTCATAGAGCAGGTTTGAATCACAGTTTCTGTCATATCTGGAAGTGGATATTTCGAGCGTTTTCAGGCCTAAGGTGAGAAAGGAAATGTCTTCAAATAAGAACTAGACAGAAGCATTCTCAGAAACTTATTTGTGATGTGTGTCCTCAACTAACAGAGATGAACCTTTGTTTTGATACAGCAGTTTGGAAACACTCTTTTTGTAGAATCTACAAGAGGATATTTTGAGAGCATTGAAAATTTCGTTGGAAGCGGGAAAACCTTCATATAAAATCTAGACAGCAGCATTCTCAGAAACTTCTTTGTGATGTTTGCATTCAACTCATAGAGTTGAACATTCCCATTCATACAGCAGGTTTGAGACACTCTTTGTATAGCATGTGGAAATGGATATTTGGAGCGCTTTGAGGCCTATGGTGAAGAAGGAAATATCTTCCCAAAAAAACTAGACGAAAGCATTCTCGGAATCTTGTTTGCCATGTGTGTACTCAACTAACAGAGTTGAACCTATCTTTTGACAGAGCAGTTTTGAAACACTCTTTTTGTGGAATCTGCAAGTGGATATTTGGATAGCTTCGAGGATTTCGTTGGAAACGGGAATATCCTCATTTAAAATCTAGACGGAAGCATTCTCAGAACCTGCTTTGTGATGTTTGCATTCAACTCACAGAGCTGAACATTCCCGTTCATAGAGCAGGTTTGAAACACTCTTTCTGTACTATCTGGAAGTGGACATTTCGAGCGCTTTCAGGCCTATGGTGAAAAAGGAAACATCTTCAAATAAAAACTAGACAGAAGCATTCTCAGAAACTTATTTGTGATGTGTGTCCTCAACTCACAGAGTTCAACCTTTGTTTTGATACAGCAGTTTGGAAACACTCTTTTTGTAGAATCTACAAATGGATATTTGGAGACCTTTGAAAATTTCGTTGGACACGGGAATATCTTCATATAAAATCTAGACAAAAGCATTCTCAGAATCTTCTTTGTGATGTTTGCATTCAACTCATAGAGTTGAACATTCCCTTTCATACAGCACGTTTGAAACACACTTTGTGGAGTATGTGGAAATGGACATTTCGAGCACTCTTAGGCCTAAGGTGAAAAGGGAAATATCTTCAAATAAAAACTAGTCAGCAGCATTCTCAGAAACCTCTTTGTGATGTGTGTACTCAACTAACAGAGTTGAACCTTCCTTTTCACAGAGCAGTTTGGAAACACTCTTTTTGTGGCATTTGCAAGTGGATATTTGGATAGCTTTGAGGATTTCTTTGGAAACGGGAATATTTTCATATAAAATCTAGACAGAAGCATTCTCAGAATCTTCTTTGTGATGTATGCCCTCAATTCACAGAGTTGAACCTTTGTTTGGATACAGCATTTTGGAAACATTCCTTTTGCAGAATCTGCAAGCTGATATTTGGATAGCTTTGAGGATTTCGTTGGAAACGGGAATATCTACATATAAAATCTAGACAGAAGCATTCTCAGAAACCTCTTTGTAATGCTTGCATTCAACTCATAGGTTTCAACATTCCCTATCATAGAGCAGGTTTGAAACACTCTTTTTGTAGTATGTGGAAGTGGACATTTGGAGCGCTTTGAGGCCTACGGTGAAAAAGGAAATATCTTCCCATAAAAACTAGACAGAAGCATTCTCAGAAACTTGTTTGTGACGTGTGTATTCAACTAACAGAGTTGAACCTTTCTTTTTACAGAGCAGCTTTGAAACCCTGTTTCTGTGGAATCTGCAATTGGAAATTTCGATAGTTCTGAGGATTTCGTTGGAAACGGGATTACAAATAGAAAGTAGACAGCAGCATTCTCAGAAACTGCTTTGTGATGTTTGCATTCAAGTCACATAGTTGAACATTCCCTTTCATAGAGCAGGTTTGAATCACTGTTTCTGTAGTATCTGGAAGTGGGTATTTCGAGCGCTTTCAGGCCTAAGGTGAGAAAGGAAATGTCTTCAAATAAGAACTAGACAGAAGCATTCTCAGAAACTTATTTGTGATGTGTGTCCTCAACTAACAGAGATGAACCTTTGTTTTGATACAGCAGTTTGGAAACACTCTTTTTGTAGAATCTACAAGAGGATATTTTGAGAGCATTGAAAATTTCGTTGGAAGCGGGAAAACCTTCATATAAAATCTAGACAGCAGCATTCTCAGAAACTTCTTTGTGATGTTTGCATTCAACTCATAGAGTTGAACATTCCCATTCATACAGCAGGTTTGAGACACTCTTTGTATAGCATGTGGAAATGGATATTTGGAGCGCTTTGAGGCCTATGGTGAAGAAGGAAATATCTTCCCAAAAAAACTAGACGAAAGCATTCTCGCAATCTTGTTTGCCATGTGTGTACTCAACTAACAGAGTTGAACCTATCTTTTGACAGAGCAGTTTTGAAACACTCTTTTTGTGGAATCTGCAAGTGGATATTTGGATAGCTTCGAGGATTTCGTTGGAAACGGGAATATCCTCATTTAAAATCTAGACGGAAGCATTCTCGGCACCTGCTTTGTGATGTTTGCATTCAACTCACAGAGCTGAACATTCCCGTTCATAGAGCAGGTTTGAAACACTCTTTCTGTACTATCTGGAAGTGGACATTTCGAGCGCTTTCAGGCCTATGGTGAAAAAGGAAACATCTTCAAATAAAAACTAGACAGAAGCATTCTCAGAAACTTATTTGTGATGTGTGTCCTCAACTCACAGAGTTCAACCTTTGTTTTGATACAGCAGTTTGGAAACACTCTTTTTGTAGAATCTACAAATGGATATTTGGAGACCTTTGAAAATTTCGTTGGACACGGGAGTATCTTCATATAAAATCTAGACAAAAGCATTCTCAGAGTCTTCTTTGTGATGTTTGCATTCAACTCATAGAGTTGAACATTCCCTTTCATACAGCACGTTTGAAACACACTTTGTGGAGTATGTGGAAATGGACATTTCGAGCACTCTTAGGCCTAAGGTGAAAAGGGAAATATCTTCAAATAAAAACTAGTCAGCAGCATTCTCAGAAACCTCTTTGTGATGTGTGTACTCAACTAACAGAGTTGAACCTTCCTTTTCACAGAGCAGTTTGGAAACACTCTTTTTGTGGCATTTGCAAGTGGATATTTGGATAGCTTTGAGGATTTCGTTGGAAACGGGAATATTTTCATATAAAATCTAGACAGAAGCATTCTCAGAATCTTCTTCGTGATGTATGCCCTCAATTCACAGAGTTGAACCTTTGTTTGGATACAGCATTTTGGAAACATTCCTTTTGCAGAATTTGCAAGTTGATATTTGGATAGCTTTGAGGATTTCGTTGGAAACGGGAATATCTACATATAAAATCTAGACAGAAGCATTCTCAGAAACCTCTTTGTAATGCTTGCATTCAACTCATAGGTTTCAACATTCCCTATCATAGAGCAGGTTTGAAACACTCTTTTTGTAGTATGTGGAAGTGGACATTTGGAGCGCTTTGAGGCCTACCGTGAAAAAGGAAATATCTTCCCATAAAAACTAGACAGAAGCATTCTCAGAAACTTGTTTGTGACGTGTGTATTCAACTAACAGAGTTGAACCTTTCTTTTTACAGAGCAGCTTTGAAACACGCTTTTTGTGGAATCTGCAATTGGAAATTTCGATAGTTCTGAGGATTTCGTTGGAAACGGGATTACAAATAGAAAGTAGACAGCAGCATTCTCAGAAACTGCTTTGTGATGTTTGCATTCAAGTCACCTAGTTGAACATTCCCTTTCATAGAGCAGGTTTGAATCACTGTTTCTGTCGTATCTGGAAGTGGATATTTCGAGCGTTTTCAGGCCTAAGGTGAGAAAGGAAATGTCTTCAAATAAGAACTAGACAGAAGCATTCTCAGAAACTTATTTGTGATGTGTGTCCTCAACTAACAGAGTTGAACCTTTCTTTTGACACAGCAGTTTGGAAACACTCTTTTTGTAGAATCTACAAGTGGATATTTTGAGAGCATTGAAAATTTCGTTGGAAACGGGAAAACCTTCATATAAAATCTAGACAGAAGCATTCTCAGAAACTTCTTTGTAATGTTTGCATTCAACTCATAGAGTTGAACATTCCCTTTCATACAGCAGGTTTGAAACACTCTTTTTGTAGTATGTGGAAGTGGACATTTGGAGCGCTTTGAGGCCTACGGTGAAAAAGGAAATATCTTCCCATAAAAACTAGACAGAAGCATTCTCAGAAACTTGTTTGTGACGTGTGTATTCAACTAACAGAGTTGAACCTTTCTTTTTACAGAGCAGCTTTGAAACCCTGTTTCTGTGGAATCTGCAATTGGAAATTTCGATAGTTCTGAGGATTTCGTTGGAAACGGGATTACAAATAGAAAGTAGACAGCAGCATTCTCAGAAACTGCTTTGTGATGTTTGCATTCAAGTCACATTGTTGAACATTCCCTTTCATAGAGCAGGTTTGAATCACTGTTTCTGTAGTATCTGGAAGTGGGTATTTCGAGCGCTTTCAGGCCTAAGGTGAGAAAGGAAATGTCTTCAAATAAGAACTAGACAGAAGCATTCTCAGAAACTTATTTGTGATGTGTGTCCTCAACTAACAGAGATGAACCTTTGTTTTGATACAGCAGTTTGGAAACACTCTTTTTGTAGAATCTACAAGAGGATATTTTGAGAGCATTGAAAATTTCGTTGGAAGCGGGAAAACCTTCATATAAAATCTAGACAGCAGCATTCTCAGAAACTTCTTTGTGATGTTTGCATTCAACTCATAGAGTTGAACATTCCCATTCATACAGCAGGTTTGAGACACTCTTTGTATAGCATGTGGAAATGGATATTTGGAGCGCTTTGAGGCCTATGGTGAAGAAGGAAATATCTTCCCAAAAAAACTAGACGAAAGCATTCTCGGAATCTTGTTTGCCATGTGTGTACTCAACTAACAGAGTTGAACCTATCTTTTGACAGAGCAGTTTTGAAACACTCTTTTTGTGGAATCTGCAAGTGGATATTTGGATAGCTTCGAGGATTTCGTTGGAAACGGGAATATCCTCATTTAAAATCTAGACGGAAGCATTCTCGGAACCTGCTTTGTGATGTTTGCATTCAACTCACAGAGCTGAACATTCCCGTTCATAGAGCAGGTTTGAAACACTCTTTCTGTACTATCTGGAAGGGGACATTTCGAGCGCTTTCAGGCCTATGGTGAAAAAGGAAACATCTTCAAATAAAAACTAGACAGAAGCATTCTCAGAAACTTACTTGTGATGTGTGTCCTCAACTCACAGAGTTCAACCTTTGTTTTGATACAGCAGTTTGGAAACACTCTTTTTGTAGAATCTACAAATGGATATTTGGAGACCTTTGAAAATTTCGTTGGACACGGGAATATCTTCATATAAAATCTAGACAAAAGCATTCTCAGAGTCTTCTTTGTGATGTTTGCATTCAACTCATAGAGTTGAACATTCCCTTTCATACAGCACGTTTGAAACACACTTTGTGGAGTATGTGGAAATGGACATTTCGAGCACTCTTAGGCCTAAGGTGAAAAGGGAAATATCTTCAAATAAAAACTAGTCAGCAGCATTCTCAGAAACCTCTTTGTGATGTGTGTACTCAACTAACAGAGTTGAACCTTCCTTTTCACAGAGCAGTTTGGAAACACTCTTTTTGTGGCATTTGCAAGTGGATATTTGGATAGCTTTGAGGATTTCGTTGGAAACGGGAATATTTTCATATAAAATCTAGACAGAAGCATTCTCAGAATCTTCTTTGTGATGTATGCCCTCAATTCCCAGAGTTGAACCTTTGTTTGGATACAGCATTTTGGAAACATTCCTTTTGTAGAATCTGCAAGTTGATATTTGGATAGCTTTGAGGATTTCGTTGGAAACCGGAATATCTACATATAAAATCTAGACAGAAGCATTCTCAGAAACCTCTTTGTAATGCTTGCATTCAACTCATAGGTTTCAACATTCCCTATCATAGAGCAGGTTTGAAACACTCTTTTTGTAGTATGTGGAAGTGGACATTGGGAGCGCTTTGAGGCCTACGGTGAAAAAGGAAATATCTTCCCATAAAAACTAGACAGAAGCATTCTCAGAAACTTGTTTGTGACGTGTGTATTCAACTAACAGAGTTGAACCTTTCTTTTTACAGAGCAGCTTTGAAACACGCTTTTTGTGGAATCTGCAATTGGAAATTTCGATAGTTCTGAGGATTTCGTTGGAAACGGGATTACAAATAGAAAGTAGACAGCAGCATTCTCAGAAACTGCTTTGTGATGTTTGCATTCAAGTCACCTAGTTGAACATTCCCTTTCATAGAGCAGGTTTGAATCACTGTTTCTGTCGTATCTGGAAGTGGATATTTCGAGCGTTTTCAGGCCTAAGGTGAGAAAGGAAATGTCTTCAAATAAGAACTAGACAGAAGCATTCTCAGAAACTTATTTGTGATGTGTGTCCTCAACTAACAGAGTTGAACCTTTCTTTTGACACAGCAGTTTGGAAACACTCTTTTTGTAGAATCTACAAGTGGATATTTTGAGAGCATTGAAAATTTCGTTGGAAACGGGAAAACCTTCATATAAAATCTAGACAGAAGCATTCTCAGAAACTTCTTTGTAATGTTTGCATTCAACTCATAGAGTTGAACATTCCCTTTCATACAGCAGGTTTGAAACACTCTTTTTGTAGTATGTGGAAGTGGACATTTGGAGCGCTTTGAGGCCTACGGTGAAAAAGGAAATATCTTCCCATAAAAACTAGACAGAAGCATTCTCAGAAACTTGTTTGTGACGTGTGTATTCAACTAACAGAGTTGAACCTTTCTTTTTACAGAGCAGCTTTGAAACCCTGTTTCTGTGGAATCTGCAATTGGAAATTTCGATAGTTCTGAGGATTTCGTTGGAAACGGGATTACAAATAGAAAGTAGACAGCAGCATTCTCAGAAACTGCTTTGTGATGTTTGCATTCAAGTCACATAGTTGAACATTCCCTTTCATAGAGCAGGTTTGAATCACTGTTTCTGTAGTATCTGGAAGTGGGTATTTCGAGCGCTTTCAGGCCTAAGGTGAGAAAGGAAATGTCTTCAAATAAGAACTAGACAGAAGCATTCTCAGAAACTTATTTGTGATGTGTGTCCTCAACTAACAGAGATGAACCTTTGTTTTGATACAGCAGTTTGGAAACACTCTTTTTGTAGAATCTACAAGAGGATATTTTGAGAGCATTGAAAATTTCGTTGGAAGCGGGAAAACCTTCATATAAAATCTAGACAGCAGCATTCTCAGAAACTTCTTTGTGATGTTTGCATTCAACTCATAGAGTTGAACATTCCCATTCATACAGCAGGTTTGAGACACTCTTTGTATAGCATGTGGAAATGGATATTTGGAGCGCTTTGAGGCCTATGGTGAAGAAGGAAATATCTTCCCAAAAAAACTAGACGAAAGCATTCTCGGAATCTTGTTTGCCATGTGTGTACTCAACTAACAGAGTTGAACCTATCTTTTGACAGAGCAGTTTTGAAACACTCTTTTTGTGGAATCTGCAAGTGGATATTTGGATAGCTTCGAGGATTTCGTTGGAAACGGGAATATCCTCATTTAAAATCTAGACGGAAGCATTCTCAGAACCTGCTTTGTGATGTTTGCATTCAACTCACAGAGCTGAACATTCCCGTTCATAGAGCAGGTTTGAAACACTCTTTCTGTACTATCTGGAAGTGGACATTTCGAGCGCTTTCAGGCCTATGGTGAAAAAGGAAACATCTTCAAATAAAAACTAGACAGAAGCATTCTCAGAAACTTATTTGTGATGTGTGTCCTCAACTCACAGAGTTCAACCTTTGTTTTGATACAGCAGTTTGGAAACACTCTTTTTGTAGAATCTACAAATGGATATTTGGAGACCTTTGAAAATTTCGTTGGACACGGGAATATCTTCATATAAAATCTAGACAAAAGCATTCTCAGAATCTTCTTTGTGATGTTTGCATTCAACTCATAGAGTTGAACATTCCCTTTCATACAGCACGTTTGAAACACACTTTGTGGAGTATGTGGAAATGGACATTTCGAGCACTCTTAGGCCTAAGGTGAAAAGGGAAATATCTTCAAATAAAAACTAGTCAGCAGCATTCTCAGAAACCTCTTTGTGATGTGTGTACTCAACTAACAGAGTTGAACCTTCCTTTTCACAGAGCAGTTTGGAAACACTCTTTTTGTGGCATTTGCAAGTGGATATTTGGATAGCTTTGAGGATTTCGTTGGAAACGGGAATATTTTCATATAAAATCTAGACAGAAGCATTCTCAGAATCTTCTTTGTGATGTATGCCCTCAATTCACAGAGTTGAACCTTTGTTTGGATACAGCATTTTGGAAACATTCCTTTTGCAGAATCTGCAAGCTGATATTTGGATAGCTTTGAGGATTTCGTTGGAAACGGGAATATCTACATATAAAATCTAGACAGAAGCATTCTCAGAAACCTCTTTGTAATGCTTGCATTCAACTCATAGGTTTCAACATTCCCTATCATAGAGCAGGTTTGAAACACTCTTTTTGTAGTATGTGGAAGTGGACATTTGGAGCGCTTTGAGGCCTACGGTGAAAAAGGAAATATCTTCCCATAAAAACTAGACAGAAGCATTCTCAGAAACTTGTTTGTGACGTGTGTATTCAACTAACAGAGTTGAACCTTTCTTTTTACAGAGCAGCTTTGAAACACGCTTTTTGTGGAATCTGCATTTGGAAATTTCGATAGTTCTGAGGATTTCGTTGGAAACGGGATTACAAATAGAAAGTAGACAGCAGCATTCTCAGAAACTTATTTGTGATGTGTGTCCTCAACTAACAGAGTTGAACCTTTCTTTTGACACAGCAGTTTGGAAACACTCTTTTTGTAGAATCTACAAGTGGATATTTTGAGAGCATTGAAAATTTCGTTGGAAACGGGAAAACCTTCATATAAAATCTAGACAGAAGCATTCTCAGAAACTTCTTTGTAATGTTTGCATTCAACTCATAGAGTTGAACATTCCCTTTCATACAGCAGGTTTGAAACACTCTTTTTGTAGTATGTGGAAGTGGACATTTGGAGCGCTTTGAGGCCTACGGTGAAAAAGGAAGTATCTTCCCATAAAAACTAGACAGAAGCATTCTCAGAAACTTGTTTGTGACGTGTGTATTCAACTAACAGAGTTGAACCTTTCTTTTTACAGAGCAGCTTTGAAACCCTGTTTCTGTGGAATCTGCAATTGGAAATTTCGATAGTTCTGAGGATTTCGTTGGAAACGGGATTACAAATAGAAAGTAGACAGCAGCATTCTCAGAAACTGCTTTGTGATGTTTGCATTCAAGTCACCTAGTTGAACATTCCCTTTCATAGAGCAGGTTTGAATCACTGTTTCTGTCGTATCTGGAAGTGGATATTTCGAGCGTTTTCAGGCCTAAGGTGAGAAAGGAAATGTCTTCAAATAAGAACTAGACAGAAGCATTCTCAGAAACTTATTTGTGATGTGTGTCCTCAACTAACAGAGTTGAACCTTTCTTTTGACACAGCAGTTTGGAAACACTCTTTTTGTAGAATCTACAAGTGGATATTTTGAGAGCATTGAAAATTTCGTTGGAAACGGGAAAACCTTCATATAAAATCTAGACAGAAGCATTCTCAGAAACTTCTTTGTAATGTTTGCATTCAACTCATAGAGTTGAACATTCCCTTTCATACAGCAGGTTTGAAACACCCTTTTTGTAGTATGTGGAAGTGGACATTTGGAGCGCTTTGAGGCCTACGGTGAAAAAGGAAATATCTTCCCATAAAAACTAGACAGAATCATTCTCAGAAACTTGTTTGTGACGTGTGTATTCAACTAACAGAGTTGAACCTTTCTTTTTACAGAGCAGCTTTGAAACCCTGTTTCTGTGGAATCTGCAATTGGAAATTTCGATAGTTCTGAGGATTTCGTTGGAAACGGGATTACAAATAGAAAGTAGACAGCAGCATTCTCAGAAACTGCTTTGTGATGTTTGCATTCAAGTCACATAGTTGAACATTCCCTTTCATAGAGCAGGTTTGAATCACTGTTTCTGTAGTATCTGGAAGTGGGTATTTCGAGCGCTTTCAGGCCTAAGGTGAGAAAGGAAATGTCTTCAAATAAGAACTAGACAGAAGCATTCTCAGAAACTTATTTGTGATGTGTGTCCTCAACTAACAGAGATGAACCTTTGTTTTGATACAGCAGTTTGGAAACACTCTTTTTGTAGAATCTACAAGAGGATATTTTGAGAGCATTGAAAATTTCGTTGGAAGCGGGAAAACCTTCATATAAAATCTAGACAGCAGCATTCTCAGAAACTTCTTTGTGATGTTTGCATTCAACTCATAGAGTTGAACATTCCCATTCATACAGCAGGTTTGAGACACTCTTTGTATAGCATGTGGAAATGGATATTTGGAGCGCTTTGAGGCCTATGGTGAAGAAGGAAATATCTTCCCAAAAAAACTAGACGAAAGCATTCTCGGAATCTTGTTTGCCATGTGTGTACTCAACTAACAGAGTTGAACCTATCTTTTGACAGAGCAGTTTTGAAACACTCTTTTTGTGGAATCTGCAAGTGGATATTTGGATAGCTTCGAGGATTTCGTTGGAAACGGGAATATCCTCATTTAAAATCTAGACGGAAGCATTCTCAGAACCTGCTTTGTGATGTTTGCATTCAACTCACAGAGCTGAACATTCCCGTTCATAGAGCAGGTTTGAAACACTCTTTCTGTACTATCTGGAAGTGGACATTTCGAGCGCTTTCAGGCCTATGGTGAAAAAGGAAACATCTTCAAATAAAAACTAGACAGAAGCATTCTCAGAAACTTATTTGTGATGTGTGTCCTCAACTCACAGAGTTCAACCTTTGTTTTGATACAGCAGTTTGGAAACACTCTTTTTGTAGAATCTACAAATGGATATTTGGAGACCTTTGAAAATTTCGTTGGACACGGGAATATCTTCATATAAAATCTAGACAAAAGCATTCTCAGAATCTTCTTTGTGATGTTTGCATTCAACTCATAGAGTTGAACATTCCCTTTCATACAGCACGTTTGAAACACACTTTGTGGAGTATGTGGAAATGGACATTTCGAGCACTCTTAGGCCTAAGGTGAAAAGGGAAATATCTTCAAATAAAAACTAGTCAGCAGCATTCTCAGAAACCTCTTTGTGATGTGTGTACTCAACTAACAGAGTTGAACCTTCCTTTTCACAGAGCAGTTTGGAAACACTCTTTTTGTGGCATTTGCAAGTGGATATTTGGATAGCTTTGAGGATTTCGTTGGAAACGGGAATATTTTCATATAAAATCTAGACAGAAGCATTCTCAGAATCTTCTTTGTGATGTATGCCCTCAATTCACAGAGTTGAACCTTTGTTTGGATACAGCATTTTGGAAACATTCCTTTTGTAGAATCTGCAAGTTGATATTTGGATAGCTTTGAGGATTTCGTTGGAAACGGGAATATCTACATATAAAATCTAGACAGAAGCATTCTCAGAAACCTCTTTGTAATGCTTGCATTCAACTCATAGGTTTCAACATTCCCTATCATAGAGCAGGTTTGAAACACTCTTTTTGTAGTATGTGGAAGTGGACATTTGGAGCGCTTTGAGGCCTACGGTGAAAAAGGAAATATCTTCCCATAAAAACTAGACAGAAGCATTCTCAGAAACTTGTTTGTGACGTGTGTATTCAACTAACAGAGTTGAACCTTTCTTTTTACAGAGCAGCTTTGAAACACGCTTTTTCTGGAATCTGCAATTGGAAATTTCGATAGTTCTGAGGATTTCGTTGGAAACGGGATTACAAATAGAAAGTAGACAGCAGCATTCTCAGAAACTGCTTTGTGATGTTTGCATTCAAGTCACCTAGTTGAACATTCCCTTTCATAGAGCAGGTTTGAATCACTGTTTCTGTCGTATCTGGAAGTGGATATTTCGAGCGTTTTCAGGCCTAAGGTGAGAAAGGAAATGTCTTCAAATAAGAACTAGACAGAAGCATTCTCAGAAACTTATTTGTGATGTGTGTCCTCAACTAACAGAGTTGAACCTTTCTTTTGACACAGCAGTTAGGAAACACTCTTTTTGTAGAATCTACAAGTGGATATTTTGAGAGCATTGAAAATTTCGTTGGAAACGGGAAAACCTTCATATAAAATCTAGACAGAAGCATTCTCAGAAACTTCTTTGTAATGTTTGCATTCAACTCATAGAGTTGAACATTCCCTTTCATACAGCAGGTTTGAAACACTCTTTTTGTAGTATGTGGAAGTGGACATTTGGAGCGCTTTGAGGCCTATGGTGAAAAAGGAAATATCTTCCCATAAAAACTAGACAGAAGCATTCTCAGAAACTTGTTTGTGACGTGTGTATTCAACTAACAGAGTTGAACCTTTCTTTTTACAGAGCAGCTTTGAAACCCTGTTTCTGTGGAATCTGCAATTGGAAATTTCGATAGTTCTGAGGATTTCGTTGGAAACGGGATTACAAATAGAAAGTAGACAGCAGCATTCTCAGAAACTGCTTTGTGATGTTTGCATTCAAGTCACCTAGTTGAACATTCCCTTTCATAGAGCAGGTTTGAATCACTGTTTCTGTAGTATCTGGAAGTGGGTATTTCGAGCGCTTTCAGGCCTAAGGTGAGAAAGGAAATGTCTTCAAATAAGAACTAGACAGAAGCATTCTCAGAAACTTATTTGTGATGTGTGTCCTCAACTAACAGAGATGAACCTTTGTTTTGATACAGCAGTTTGGAAACACTCTTTTTGTAGAATCTACAAGAGGATATTTTGAGAGCATTGAAAATTTCGTTGGAAGCGGGAAAACCTTCATATAAAATCTAGACAGCAGCATTCTCAGAAACTTCTTTGTGATGTTTGCATTCAACTCATAGAGTTGAACATTCCCATTCATACAGCAGGTTTGAGACACTCTTTG
The DNA here is from genome assembly GCF_000001405.40 of Homo sapiens. Lineage (NCBI taxonomy): Eukaryota > Metazoa > Chordata > Mammalia > Primates > Hominidae > Homo > Homo sapiens. The sequence continues at coordinate 18,583,584 of NC_000015.10, forward strand.
TATAGCATGTGGAAATGGATATTTGGAGCGCTTTGAGGCCTATGGTGAAGAAGGAAATATCTTCCCAAAAAAACTAGACGAAAGCATTCTCGGAATCTTGTTTGCCATGTGTGTACTCAACTAACAGAGTTGAACCTATCTTTTGACAGAGCAGTTTTGAAACACTCTTTTTGTGGAATCTGCAAGTGGATATTTGGATAGCTTCGAGGATTTCGTTGGAAACGGGAATATCCTCATTTAAAATCTAGACGGAAGCATTCTCAGAACCTGCTTTGTGATGTTTGCATTCAACTCACAGAGCTGAACATTCCCGTTCATAGAGCAGGTTTGAAACACTCTTTCTGTACTATCTGGAAGTGGACATTTCGAGCGCTTTCAGGCCTATGGTGAAAAAGGAAACATCTTCAAATAAAAACTAGACAGAAGCATTCTCAGAAACTTATTTGTGATGTGTGTCCTCAACTCACAGAGTTCAACCTTTGTTTTGATACAGCAGTTTGGAAACAATCTTTATTTGGAGACCTTTGAAAATTTCGTTGGACACGGGAATATCTTCATATAAAATCTAGACAAAAGCATTCTCAGAATCTTCTTTGTGATGTTTGCATTCAACTCATAGAGTTGAACATTCCCTTTCATACAGCACGTTTGAAACACACTTTGTGGAGTATGTGGAAATGGACATTTCGAGCACTCTTAGGCCTAAGGTGAAAAGGGAAATATCTTCAAATAAAAACTAGTCAGCAGCATTCTCAGAAACCTCTTTGTGATGTGTGTACTCAACTAACAGAGTTGAACCTTCCTTTTCACAGAGCAGTTTGGAAACACTCTTTTTGTGGCATTTGCAAGTGGATATTTGGATAGCTTTGAGGATTTCGTTGGAAACGGGAATATTTTCATATAAAATCTAGACAGAAGCATTCTCAGAATCTTCTTTGTGATGTATGCCCTCAATTCACAGAGTTGAACCTTTGTTTGGATACAGCATTTTGGAAACATTCCTTTTGTAGAATCTGCAAGTTGATATTTGGATAGCTTTGAGGATTTCGTTGGAAACGGGAATATCTACATATAAAATCTAGACAGAAGCATTCTCAGAAACCTCTTTGTAATGTTTGCATTCAACTCATAGGTTTCAACATTCCCTATCATAGAGCAGGTTTGAAACACTCTTTTTGTAGTATGTGGAAGTGGACATTTGGAGCGCTTTGAGGCCTACGGTGAAAAAGGAAATATCTTCCCATAAAAACTAGACAGAAGCATTCTCAGAAACTTGTTTGTGACGTGTGTATTCAACTAACAGAGTTGAACCTTTCTTTTTACAGAGCAGCTTTGAAACATGCTTTTTGTGGAATCTGCAATTGGAAATTTCGATAGTTCTGAGGATTTCGTTGGAAACGGGATTACAAATAGAAAGTAGACAGCAGCATTCTCAGAAACTGCTTTGTGATGTTTGCATTCAAGTCACCTAGTTGAACATTCCCTTTCATAGAACAGGTTTGAATCACTGTTTCTGTAGTATCTGGAAGTGGGTATTTCGAGCGCTTTCAGGCCTAAGGTGAGAAAGGAAATGTCTTCAAATAAGAACTAGACAGAAGCATTCTCAGAAACTTATTTGTGATGTGTGTCCTCAACTAACAGAGATGAACCTTTGTTTTGATACAGCAGTTTGGAAACACTCTTTTTGTAGAATCTACAAGAGGATATTTTGAGAGCATTGAAAATTTCGTTGGAAGCGGGAAAACCTTCATATAAAATCTAGACAGCAGCATTCTCAGAAACTTCTTTGTGATGTTTGCATTCAACTCATAGAGTTGAACATTCCCATTCATACAGCAGGTTTGAGACACTCTTTGTATAGCATGTGGAAATGGATATTTGGAGCGCTTTGAGGCCTATGGTGAAGAAGGAAATATCTTCCCAAAAAAACTAGACGAAAGCATTCTCGGAATCTTGTTTGCCATGTGTGTACTCAACTAACAGAGTTGAACCTATCTTTTGACAGAGCAGTTTTGAAACACTCTTTTTGTGGAATCTGCAAGTGGATATTTGGATAGCTTCGAGGATTTCGTTGGAAACGGGAATATCCTCCTTTAAAATCTAGACGGAAGCATTCTCAGAACCTGCTTTGTGATGTTTGCATTCAACTCACAGAGCTGAACATTCCCGTTCATAGAGCAGGTTTGAAACACTCTTTCTGTACTATCTGGAAGTGGACATTTCGAGCGCTTTCAGGCCTATGGTGAAAAAGGAAACATCTTCAAATAAAAACTAGACAGAAGCATTCTCAGAAACTTATTTGTGATGTGTGTCCTCAACTCACAGAGTTCAACCTTTGTTTTGATACAGCAGTTTGGAAACACTCTTTTTGTAGAATATACAAATGGATATTTGGAGACCTTTGAAAATTTCGTTGGACACGGGAATATCTTCATATAAAATCTAGACAAAAGCATTCTCAGAATCTTCTTTGTGATGTTTGCATTCAACTCATAGAGTTGAACATTCCCTTTCATACAGCACGTTTGAAACACACTTTGTGGAGTATGTGGAAATGGACATTTCGAGCACTCTTAGGCCTAAGGTGAAAAGGGAAATATCTTCAAATAAAAACTAGTCAGCAGCATTCTCAGAAACCTCTTTGTGATGTGTGTACTCAACTAACAGAGTTGAACCTTCCTTTTCACAGAGCAGTTTGGAAACACTCTTTTTGTGGCATTTGCAAGTGGATATTTGGATAGATTTGAGGATTTCGTTGGAAACGGGAATATTTTCATATAAAATCTAGACAGAAGCATTCTCAGAATCTTCTTTGTGATGTATGCCCTCAATTCACAGAGTTGAACCTTCGTTTGGATACAGCATTTTGGAAACATTCCTTTTGTAGAATCTGCAAGTTGATATTTGGATAGCTTTGAGGATTTCGTTGGAAACGGGAATATCTACATATAAAATCTAGACAGAAGCATTCTCAGAAACCTCTTTGTAATGCTTGCATTCAACTCATAGGTTTCAACATTCCCTATCATAGAGCAGGTTTGAAACACTCTTTTTGTAGTATGTGGAAGTGGACATTTGGAGCGCTTTGAGGCCTACGGTGAAAAAGGAAATATCTTCCCATAAAAACTAGACAGAAGCATTCTCAGAAACTTGTTTGTGACGTGTGTATTCAACTAACAGAGTTGAACCTTTCTTTTTACAGAGCAGCTTTGAAACACGCTTTTTGTGGAATCTGCAATTGGAAATTTCGATAGTTCTGAGGATTTCGTTGGAAACGGGATTACAAATAGAAAGTAGACAGCAGCATTCTCAGAAACTGCTTTGTGATGTTTGCATTCAAGTCACCTAGTTGAACATTCCCTTTCATAGAGCAGGTTTGAATCACTGTTTCTGTCGTATCTGGAAGTGGATATTTCGAGCGTTTTCAGGCCTAAGGTGAGAAAGGAAATGTCTTCAAATAAGAACTAGACAGAAGCATTCTCAGAAACTTATTTGTGATGTGTGTCCTCAACTAACAGAGTTGAACCTTTCTTTTGACACAGCAGTTTGGAAACACTCTTTTTGTAGAATCTACAAGTGGATATTTTGAGAGCATTGAAAATTTCGTTGGAAACGGGAAAATCTTCATATAAAATCTAGACAGAAGCATTCTCAGAAACTTCTTTGTAATGTTTGCATTCAACTCATAGAGTTGAACATTCCCTTTCATACAGCAGGTTTGAAACACTCTTTTTGTAGTATGTGGAAGTGGACATTTGGAGCGCTTTGAGGCCTACGGTGAAAAAGGAAATATCTTCCCATCAAAACTAGACAGAAGCATTCTCAGAAACTTGTTTGTGACGTGTGTATTCAACTAACAGAGTTGAACCTTTCTTTTTACAGAGCAGCTTTGAAACCCTGTTTCTGTGGAATCTGCAATTGGAAATTTCGATAGTTCTGAGGATTTCGTTGGAAACGGGATTACAAATAGAAAGTAGACAGCAGCATTCTCAGAAACTGCTTTGTGATGTTTGCATTCAAGTCACCTAGTTGAACATTCCCTTTCATAGAGCAGGTTTGAATCACTGTTTCTGTAGTATCTGGAAGTGGGTATTTCGAGCGCTTTCAGGCCTAAGGTGAGAAAGGAAATTGTCTTCAAATAAGAACTAGAAACAAAGCATTCTCAGAAACTTATTTGTGATGTGTGTCCTCAACTAACAGAGATGAACCTTTGTTTTGATACAGCAGTTTGGAAACACTCTTTTTGTAGAATCTACAAGAGGATATTTTGAGAGCATTGAAAATTTCGTTGGAAGCGGGAAAACCTTCATATAAAATCTAGACAGCAGCATTCTCAGAAACTTCTTTGTGATGTTTGCATTCAACTCATAGAGTTGAACATTCCCATTCATACAGCAGGTTTGAGACACTCTTTGTATAGCATGTGGAAATGGATATTTGGAGCGCTTTGAGGCCTATGGTGAAGAAGGAAATATCTTCCCAAAAAAACTAGACGAAAGCATTCTCGCAATCTTGTTTGCCATGTGTGTACTCAACTAACGGAGTTGAACCTATCTTTTGACAGAGCAGTTTTGAAACACTCTTTTTGTGGAATCTGCAAGTGGATATTTGGATAGCTTCGAGGATTTCGTTGGAAACGGGAATATCCTCATTTAAAATCTAGACGGAAGCATTCTCAGAACCTGCTTTGTGATGTTTGCATTCAACTCACAGAGCTGAACATTCCCGTTCATAGAGCAGGTTTGAAACACTCTTTCTGTACTATCTGGAAGTGGACATTTCGAGCGCTTTCAGGCCTATGGTGAAAAAGGAAACATCTTCAAATAAAAACTAGACAGAAGCATTCTCAGAAACTTATTTGTGATGTGTGTCCTCAACTCACAGAGTTCAACCTTTGTTTTGATACAGCAGTTTGGAAACACTCTTTTTGTAGAATCTACAAATGGATATTTGGAGACCTTTGAAAATTTCGTTGGACACGGGAATATCTTCATATAAAATCTAGACAAAAGCATTCTCAGAATCTTCTTTGTGATGTTTGCATTCAACTCATAGAGTTGAACATTCCCTTTCATACAGCACGTTTGAAACACACTTTGTGGAGTATGTGGAAATGGACATTTCGAGCACTCTTAGGCCTAAGGTGAAAAGGGAAATATCTTCAAATAAAAACTAGTCAGCAGCATTCTCAGAAACCTCTTTGTGATGTGTGTACTCAACTAACAGAGTTGAACCTTCCTTTTCACAGAGCAGTTTGGAAACACTCTTTTTGTGGCATTTGCAAGTGGATATTTGGATAGCTTTGAGGATTTCTTTGGAAACGGGAATATTTTCATATAAAATCTAGACAGAAGCATTCTCAGAATCTTCCTTGTGATGTATGCCCTCAATTCACAGAGTTGAACCTTTGTTTGGATACAGCATTTTGGAAACATTCCTTTTGTAGAATCTGCAAGTTGATATTTGGATAGCTTTGAGGATTTCGTTGGAAACGGGAATATCTACATATAAAATCTAGACAGAAGCATTCTCAGAAACCTCTTTGTAATGCTGGCATTCAACTCATAGGTTTCAACATTCCCTATCATAGAGCAGGTTTGAAACACTCTTTTTGTAGTATGTGGAAGTGGACATTTGGAGCGCTTTGAGGCCTACGGTGAAAAAGGAAATATCTTCCCATAAAAACTAGACAGAAGCATTCTCAGAAACTTGTTTGTGACGTGTGTATTCAACTAACAGAGTTGAACCTTTCTTTTTACAGAGCAGCTTTGAAACCCTGTTTCTGTGGAATCTGCAATTGGAAATTTCGATAGTTCTGAGGATTTCGTTGGAAACGGGATTACAAATAGAAAGTAGACAGCAGCATTCTCAGAAACTGCTTTGTGATGTTTGCATTCAAGTCACCTAGTTGAACATTCCCTTTCATAGAGCAGGTTTGAATCACTGTTTCTGTAGTATCTGGAAGTGGGTATTTCGAGCGCTTTCAGGCCTAAGGTGAGAAAGGAAATGTCTTCAAATAAGAACTAGACAGAAGCATTCTCAGAAACTTATTTGTGATGTGTGTCCTCAACTAACAGAGATGAACCTTTGTTTTGATACAGCAGTTTGGAAACACTCTTTTTGTTTTAATCTACAAGAGGATATTTTGAGAGCATTGAAAATTTCGTTGGAAGCGGGAAAACCTTCATATAAAATCTAGACAGCAGCATTCTCAGAAACTTCTTTGTGATGTTTGCATTCAACTCATAGAGTTGAACATTCCCATTCATACAGCAGGTTTGAGACACTCTTTGTATAGCATGTGGAAATGGATATTTGGAGCGCTTTGAGGCCTATGGTGAAGAAGGAAATATCTTCCCAAAAAAACTAGACGAAAGCATTCTCGGAATCTTGTTTGCCATGTGTGTACTCAACTAACAGAGTTGAACCTATCTTTTGACAGAGCAGTTTTGAAACACTCTTTTTGTGGAATCTGCAAGTGGATATTTGGATAGCTTCGAGGATTTCGTTGGAAACGGGAATATCCTCATTTAAAATCTAGACGGAAGCATTCTCAGAACCTGCTTTGTGATGTTTGCATTCAACTCACAGAGCTGAACATTCCCGTTCATAGAGCAGGTTTGAAACACTCTTTCTGTACTATCTGGAAGTGGACATTTCGAGCGCTTTCAGGCCTATGGTGAAAAAGGAAACATCTTCAAATAAAAACTAGACAGAAGCATTCTCAGAAACTTATTTGTGATGTGTGTCCTCAACTCACAGAGTTCAACCTTTGTTTTGATACAGCAGTTTGGAAACACTCTTTTTGTAGAATCTACAAATGGATATTTGGAGACCTTTGAAAATTTCGTTGGACACGGGAATATCTTCATATAAAATCTAGACAAAAGCATTCTCAGAATCTTCTTTGTGATGTTTGCATTCAACTCATAGAGTTGAACATTCCCTTTCATACAGCACGTTTGAAACACACTTTGTGGAGTATGTGGAAATGGACATTTCGAGCACTCTTAGGCCTAAGGTGAAAAGGGAAATATCTTCAAATAAAAACTAGTCAGCAGCATTCTCAGAAACCTCTTTGTGATGTGTGTACTCAACTAACAGAGTTGAACCTTCCTTTTCACAGAGCAGTTTGGAAACACTCTTTTTGTGGCATTTGCAAGTGGATATTTGGATAGCTTTGAGGATTTCGTTGGAAACGGGAATATTTTCATATAAAATCTAGACAGAAGCATTCTCAGAATCTTCTTTGTGATGTATGCCCTCAATTCACAGAGTTGAACCTTTGTTTGGATACAGCATTTTGGAAACATTCCTTTTGTAGAATCTGCAAGTTGATATTTGGATAGCTTTGAGGATTTCGTTGGAAACGGGAATATCTACATATAAAATACTAGACAGAAGCATTCTCAGAAACCTCTTTGTAATGCTTGCATTCAACTCATAGGTTTCAACATTCCCTATCATAGAGCAGGTTTGAAACACTCTTTTTGTAGTATGTGGAAGTGGACATTTGGAGCGCTTTGAGGCCTACGGTGAAAAAGGAAATATCTTCCCATAAAAACTAGACAGAAGCATTCTCAGAAACTTGTTTGTGACGTGTGTATTCAACTAACAGAGTTGAACCTTTCTTTTTACAGAGCAGCTTTGAAACACGCTTTTTGTGGAATCTGCAATTGGAAATTTCGATAGTTCTGAGGATTTCGTTGGAAACGGGATTACAAATAGAAAGTAGACAGCAGCATTCTCAGAAACTGCTTTGTGATGTTTGCATTCAAGTCACCTAGTTGAACATTCCCTTTCATAGAGCAGGTTTGAATCACTGTTTCTGTCGTATCTGGAAGTGGATATTTCGAGCGTTTTCAGGCCTAAGGTGAGAAAGGAAATGTCTTCAAATAAGAACTAGACAGAAGCATTCTCAGAAACTTATTTGTGATGTGTGTCCTCAACTAACAGAGATGAACCTTTGTTTTGACACAGCAGTTTAGAAACACTCTTTTTGTAGAATCTACAAGAGGATATTTTGAGAGCATTGAAAATTTCATTGGAAGCGGGAAAACCTTCATATAAAATCTAGACAGCAGCATTCTCAGAAACTTCTTTGTGATGTTTGCATTCAACTCATAGAGTTGAACATTCCCATTCATACAGCAGGTTTGAGACACTCTTTGTATAGTATGTGGAAATGGATATTTGGCGCGCTTTGAGGCCTATGGTGAAGAAGGGAATATCTTCCCAAAAAAACTAGACGAAAGCATTCTCGCAATCTTGTTTGCCATGTGTGTTCTCAACTAACAGAGTTGAACCTATCTTTTGACAGAGCAGTTTTGAAACACTCTTTTTGTGGAATCTGCAAATGGATATTTGGATAGCTTCGAGGATTTACCTTGGAAACGGGAATATCCTCATATAAAATCTAGACGGAAGCATTCTCAGAACCTGCTTTGTGATGTTTGCATTCAACTCACAGAGCTGAACATTCCTGTTCATAGAGCAGGTTTGAAACACTCTTTCTGTACTATCTGGAAGTGGACATTTCGAGCGCTTTCAGGCCTATGGTGAAAAAGGAAATATCTTCAAATAAAAACTAGACAGAAGCATTCTCAGAAACTTATTTGTGATGTGTGTCCTCAACTCACAGAGTTCAACCTTTGTTTTGATACAGCAGTTTGGAAACACTCTTTTTGTAGAATCTACAAATGGATATTTGGAGACCATTGAAAATTTCGTTGGACACGGGAATATCTTCATATAAAATCTAGACAAAAGCATTCTCAGAATCTTCTTTGTGATGTTTGCATTCAACTCATAGAGTTGAACATTCCCTTTCATACAGCACGTTTGGAACACACTTTGTGGAGTATGTGGAAATGGACATTTCGAGCACTCTTAGGCCTAAGGTGAAAAGGGAAATATCTTCAAATAAAAACTAGCCAGCAGCATTCTCAGAAACCTCTTTGTGATGTGTGTACTCAACTAACAGAGTTGAACCTTCCTTTTCACAGAGCAGTTTGGAAACACTCTTTTTGTGGCATTTGCAAGTGGATATTTGGATAGCATTGAGGATTTCGTTGGAAACGGGAATATTTTCATATAAAATCTAGACAGAAGCATTCTCAGAATCTTCTTTGTGATGTATGCCCTCAATTCACAGAGTTGAACCTTTGTTTGGATACAGCATTTTGGAAACATTCCTTTTGTAGAATCTGCAAGATGATATTTGGATAGCTTTGAGGATTTCGTTGGAAACGGGAATATCTACATATAAAATCTAGACAGAAGCATTCTCAGAAACCTCTTTGTAATGCTTGCATTCAACTCATAGGTTTCAACATTCCCTATCATAGAGCAGGTTTGAAACACTCTTTTTGTAGTATGTGGAAGTGGACATTTGGAGCGCTTTGAGGCCTACCGTGAAAAAGGAAATATCTTCCCATAAAAACTAGACAGAAGCATTCTCAGAAACTTGTTTGTGACGTGTGTATTCAACTAACAGAGTTGAACCTTTCTTTTTACAGAGCAGCTTTGAAACACGCTTTTTGTGGAATCTGCAATTGGAAATTTCGATAGTTCTGAGGATTTCGTTGGAAACGGGATTACAAATAGAAAGTAGACAGCAGCATTCTCAGAAACTGCTTTGTGATGTTTGCATTCAAGTCACCTAGTTGAACATTCCCTTTCATAGAGCAGGTTTGAATCACTGTTTCTGTCGTATCTGGAAGTGGATATTTCGAGTGTTTTCAGGCCTAAGGTGAGAAAGGAAATGTCTTCAAATAAGAACTAGACAGAAGCATTCGCAGAAACTTATTTGTGATGTGTGTCCTAAACTAACAGAGTTGAACCTTTCTTTTGACACAGCAGTTTGGAAACACTCTTTTTGTAGAATCTACAAGTGGATATTTTGAGAGCATTGAAAATTTCGTTGGAAACGGGAAAATCTTCACATAAAATCTAGACAGAAGCATTCTCAGAAACTTCTTTGTAATGTTTGCATTCAACTCATAGAGTTGAACATTCCCTTTCATACAGCAGGTTTGAAACACTCTTTTTGTAGTATGTGGAAGTGGACATTTGGAGCGCTTTGAGGCCTACGGTGAAAAAGGAAATATCTTCCCATAAAAACTAGACAGAAGCATTCTCAGAAACTTGTTTGTGACGTGTGTATTCAACTAACAGAGTTGAACCTTTCTTTTTACAGAGCAGCTTTGAAACACGCTTTTTGTGGAATCTGCAATTGGAAATTTCGATAGTTCTGAGGATTTCGTTGGAAACGGGATTACAAATAGAAAGTAGACAGCAGCATTCTCAGAAACTGCTTTGTGATGTTTGCATTCAAGTCACCTAGTTGAACATTCCCTTTCATAGAGCAGGTTTGAATCACAGTTTCTGTCGTATCTGGAAGTGGATATTTCGAGCGCTTTCAGGCCTAAGGTGAGAAAGGAAATGTCTTCAAATAAGAACTAGACAGAAGCATTCTCAGAAACTTATTTGTGATGTGTGTCCTCAACTAACAGAGATGAACCTTTGTTTTGATACAGCAGTTTGGAAACACTCTTTTTGTAGAATCTACAAGAGGATATTTTGAGAGCATTGAAAATTTCGTTGGAAGCGGGAAAACCTTCATATAAAATCTAGACAGCAGCATTCTCAGAAACTTCTTTGTGATGTTTGCATTCAACTCATAGAGTTGAACATTCCCATTCATACAGCAGGTTTGAGACACTCTTTGTATAGCATGTGGAAATGGATATTTGGAGCGCTTTGAGGCCTATGGTGAAGAAGGAAATATCTTCCCAAAAAAACTAGACGAAAGCATTCTCGGAATCTTGTTTGCCATGTGTGTACTCAACTAACAGAGTTGAACCTATCTTTTGACAGAGCAGTTTTGAAACACTCTTTTTGTGGAATCTGCAAGTGGATATTTGGATAGCTTCGAGGATTTCGTTGGAAACGGGAATATCCTCATTTAAAATCTAGACGGAAGCATTCTCAGAACCTGCTTTGTGATGTTTGCATTCAACTCACAGAGCTGAACATTCCCGTTCATAGAGCAGGTTTGAAACACTCTTTCTGTACTATCTGGAAGTGGACATTTCGAGCGCTTTCAGGCCTATGGTGAAAAAGGAAACATCTTCAAATAAAAACTAGACAGAAGCATTCTCAGAAACTTATTTGTGATGTGTGTCCTCAACTCACAGAGTTCAACCTTTGTTTTGATACAGCAGTTTGGAAACACTCTTTTTGTAGAATCTACAAATGGATATTTGGAGACCTTTGAAAATTTCGTTGGACACGGGAATATCTTCATATAAAATGCTAGACAAAAGCATTCTCAGAATCTTCTTTGTGATGTTTGCATTCAACTCATAGAGTTGAACATTCCCTTTCATACAGCACGTTTGAAACACACTTTGTGGAGTATGTGGAAATGGGCATTTCGAGCACTCTTAGGCCTAAGGTGAAAAGGGAAATATCTTCAAATAAAAACTAGTCAGCAGCATTCTCAGAAACCTCTTTGTGATGTGTGTACTCAACTAACAGAGTTGAACCTTCCTTTTCACAGAGCAGTTTGGAAACACTCTTTTTGTGGCATTTGCAAGTGGATATTTGGATAGCTTTGAGGATTTCGTTGGAAACGGGAATATTTTCATATAAAATCTAGACAGAAGCATTCTCAGAATCTTCTTTGTGATGTATGCCCTCAATTCACAGAGTTGAACCTTTGTTTGGATACAGCATTTTGGAAACATTCCTTTTGTAGAATCTGCAAGTTGATATTTGGATAGCTTTGAGGATTTCGTTGGAAACGGGAATATCTACATATAAAATCTAGACAGAAGCATTCTCAGAAACTTCTTTGTAATGCTTGCATTCAACTCATAGGTTTCAACATTCCCTATCATAGGAGCAGGTTTGAAACACTCTTTTTGTAGTATGTGGAAGTGGACATTTGGAGCGCTTTGAGGCCTACGGTGAAAAAGGAAATATCTTCCCATAAAAACTAGACAGAAGCATTCTCAGAAACTTGTTTGTGACGTGTGTATTCAACTAACAGAGTTGAACCTTTCTTTTTACAGAGCAGCTTTGAAACACGCTTTTTGTGGAATCTGCAATTGGAAATTTCGATAGTTCTGAGGATTTCGTTGGAAACGGGATTACAAATAGAAAGTAGACAGCAGCATTCTCAGAAACTGCTTTGTGATGTTTGCATTCAAGTCACCTAGTTGAACATTCCCTTTCATAGAGCAGGTTTGAATCACTGTTTCTGTCGTATCTGGAAGTGGATATTTCGAGCGTTTTCAGGCCTAAGGTGAGAAAGGAAATGTCTTCAAATAAGAACTAGACAGAAGCATTCTCAGAAACTTATTTGTGATGTGTGTCCTCAACTAACAGAGTTGAACCTTTCTTTTGACACAGCAGTTTGGAAACACTCTTTTTGTAGAATCTACAAGTGGATATTTTGAGAGCATTGAAAATTTCGTTGGAAACGGGAAAACCTTCATATAAAATCTAGACAGAAGCATTCTCAGAAACTTCTTTGTAATGTTTGCATTCAACTCATAGAGTTGAACATTCCCTTTCATACAGCAGGTTTGAAACACTCTTTTTGTAGTATGTGGAAGTGGACATTTGGAGCGCTTTGAGGCCTACGGTGAAAAAGGAAATATCTTCCCATAAAAACTAGACAGAAGCATTCTCAGAAACTTGTTTGTGACGTGTGTATTCAACTAACAGAGTTGAACCTTTCTTTTTACAGAGCAGCTTTGAAACCCTGTTTCTGTGGAATCTGCAATTGGAAATTTCGATAGTTCTGAGGATTTCGTTGGAAACGGGATTACAAATAGAAAGTAGACAGCAGCATTCTCAGAAACTGCTTTGTGATGTTTGCATTCAAGTCACATAGTTGAACATTCCCTTTCATAGAGCAGGTTTGAATCACTGTTTCTGTAGTATCTGGAAGTGGGTATTTCGAGCGCTTTCAGGCCTAAGGTGAGAAAGGAAATGTCTTCAAATAAGAACTAGACAGAAGCATTCTCAGAAACTTATTTGTGATGTGTGTCCTCAACTAACAGAGATGAACCTTTGTTTTGATACAGCAGTTTGGAAACACTCTTTTTGTAGAATCTACAAGAGGATATTTAGAGAGCATTGAAAATTTCGTTGGAAGCGGGAAAACCTTCATATAAAATCTAGACAGCAGCATTCTCAGAAACTTCTTTGTGATGTTTGCATTCAACTCATAGAGTTGAACATTCCCATTCATACAGCAGGTTTGAGACACTCTTTGTATAGCATGTGGAAATGGATATTTGGAGCGCTTTGAGGCCTATGGTGAAGAAGGAAATATCTTCCCAAAAAAACTAGACGAAAGCATTCTCGGAATCTTGTTTGCCATGTGTGTACTCAACTAACAGAGTTGAACCTATCTTTTGACAGAGCAGTTTTGAAACACTCTTTTTGTGGAATCTGCAAGTGGATATTTGGATAGCTTCGAGGATTTCGTTGGAAACGGGAATATCCTCATTTAAAATCTAGACGGAAGCATTCTCAGAACCTGCTTTGTGATGTTTGCATTCAACTCACAGAGCTGAACATTCCCGTTCATAGAGCAGGTTTGAAACACTCTTTCTGTACTATCTGGAAGTGGACATTTCGAGCGCTTTCAGGCCTATGGTGAAAAAGGAAACATCTTCAAATAAAAACTAGACAGAAGCATTCTCAGAAACTTATTTGTGATGTGTGTCCTCAACTCACAGAGTTCAACCTTTGTTTTGATACAGCAGTTTGGAAACACTCTTTTTGTAGAATCTACAAATGGATATTTGGAGACCTTTGAAAATTTCGTTGGACACGGGAATATCTTCATATAAAATCTAGACAAAAGCATTCTCAGAATCTTCTTTGTGATGTTTGCATTCAACTCATAGAGTTGAACATTCCCTTTCATACAGCACGTTTGAAACACACTTTGTGGAGTATGTGGAAATGGACATTTCGAGCACTCTTAGGCCTAAGGTGAAAAGGGAAATATCTTCAAATAAAAACTAGTCAGCAGCATTCTCAGAAACCTCTTTGTGATGTGTGTACTCAACTAACAGAGTTGAACCTTCCTTTTCACAGAGCAGTTTGGAAACACTCTTTTTGTGGCATTTGCAAGTGGATATTTGGATAGCTTTGAGGATTTCGTTGGAAACGGGAATATTTTCATATAAAATCTAGACAGAAGCATTCTCAGAATCTTCTTTGTGATGTATGCCCTCAATTCACAGAGTTGAACCTTTGTTTGGATACAGCATTTTGGAAACATTCCTTTTGTAGAATCTGCAAGTTGATATTTGGATAGCTTTGAGGATTTCGTTGGAAACGGGAATATCTACATATAAAATCTAGACAGAAGCATTCTCAGAAACCTCTTTGTAATGCTTGCATTCAACTCATAGGTTTCAACATTCCCTATCATAGAGCAGGTTTGAAACACTCTTTTTGTAGTATGTGGAAGTGGACATTTGGAGCGCTTTGAGGCCTACGGTGAAAAAGGAAATATCTTCCCATAAAAACTAGACAGAAGCATTCTCAGAAACTTGTTTGTGACGTGTGTATTCAACTAACAGAGTTGAACCTTTCTTTTTACACAGCAGCTTTGAAACCCTGTTTCTGTGGAATCTGCAATTGGAAATTTCGATAGTTCTGAGGATTTCGTTGGAAACGGGATTACAAATAGAAAGTAGACAGCAGCATTCTCAGAAACTGCTTTGTGATGTTTGCATTCAAGTCACCTAGTTGAACATTCCCTTTCATAGAGCAGGTTTGAATCACTGTTTCTGTAGTATCTGGAAGTGGGTATTTCGAGCGCTTTCAGGCCTAAGGTGAGAAAGGAAATGTCTTCAAATAAGAACTAGACAGAAGCATTCTCAGAAACTTATTTGTGATGTGTGTCCTCAACTAACAGAGATGAACCTTTGTTTTGATACAGCAGTTTGGAAACACTCTTTTTGTAGAATCTACAAGAGGATATTTTGAGAGCATTGAAAATTTCGTTGGAAGCGGGAAAACCTTCATATAAAATCTAGACAGCAGCATTCTCAGAAACTTCTTTGTGATGTTTGCATTCAACTCATAGAGTTGAACATTCCCATTCATACAGCAGGTTTGAGACACTCTTTGTATAGCATGTGGAAATGGATATTTGGAGCGCTTTGAGGCCTATGGTGAAGAAGGAAATATCTTCCCAAAAAAACTAGACGAAAGCATTCTCGCAATCTTGTTTGCCATGTGTGTACTCAACTAACAGAGTTGAACCTATCTTTTGACAGAGCAGTTTTGAAACACTCTTTTTGTGGAATCTGCAAGTGGATATTTGGATAGCTTCGAGGATTTCGTTGGAAACGGGAATATCCTCATTTAAAATCTAGACGGAAGCATTCTCAGAACCTGCTTTGTGATGTTTGCATTCAACTCACAGAGCTGAACATTCCCGTTCATAGAGCAGGTTTGAAACACTCTTTCTGTACTATCTGGAAGTGGACATTTCGAGCGCTTTCAGGCCTATGGTGAAAAAGGAAACATCTTCAAATAAAAACTAGACAGAAGCATTCTCAGAAACTTATTTGTGATGTGTGTCCTCAACTCACAGAGTTCAACCTTTGTTTTGATACAGCAGTTTGGAAACACTCTTTTTGTAGAATCTACAAATGGATATTTGGAGACCTTTGAAAATTTCGTTGGACACGGGAATATCTTCATATAAAATCTAGACAAAAGCATTCTCAGAATCTTCTTTGTGATGTTTGAATTCAACTCATAGAGTTGAACATTCCCTTTCATACAGCACGTTTGAAACACACTTTGTGGAGTATGTGGAAATGGACATTTCGAGCACTCTTAGGCCTAAGGTGAAAAGGGAAATATCTTCAAATAAAAACTAGTCAGCAGCATTCTCAGAAACCTCTTTGTGATGTGTGTACTCAACTAACAGAGTTGAACCTTCCTTTTCACAGAGCAGTTTGGAAACACTCTTTTTGTGGCATTTGCAAGTGGATATTTGGATAGCTTTGAGGATTTCGTTGGAAACGGGAATATTTTCATATAAAATCTAGACAGAAGCATTCTCAGAATCTTCTTTGTGATGTATGCCCTCAATTCACAGAGTTGAACCTTTGTTTGGATACAGCATTTTGGAAACATTCCTTTTGTAGAATCTGCAAGTTGATATTTGGATAGCTTTGAGGATTTCGTTGGAAACGGGAATATCTACATATAAAATCTAGACAGAAGCATTCTCAGAAACCTCTTTGTAATGCTTGCATTCAACTCATAGGTTTCAACATTCCCTATCATAGAGCAGGTTTGAAACACTCTTTTTGTAGTATGTGGAAGTGGACATTTGGAGCGCTTTGAGGCCTACGGTGAAAAAGGAAATATCTTCCCATAAAAACTAGACAGAAGCATTCTCAGAAACTTGTTTGTGACGTGTGTATTCAACTAACAGAGTTGAACCTTTCTTTTTACAGAGCAGCTTTGAAACACGCTTTTTGTGGAATCTGCAATTGGAAATTTCGATAGTTCTGAGGATTTCGTTGGAAACGGGATTACAAATAGAAAGTAGACAGCAGCATTCTCAGAAACTGCTTTGTGATGTTTGCATTCAAGTCACCTAGTTGAACATTCCCTTTCATAGAGCAGGTTTGAATCACTGTTTCTGTCGTATCTGGAAGTGGATATTTCGAGCGTTTTCAGGCCTAAGGTGAGAAAGGAAATGTCTTCAAATAAGAACTAGACAGAAGCATTCTCAGAAACCTATTTGTGATGTGTGTCCTCAACTGACAGAGTTGAACCTTTCTTTTGACACAGCAGTTTGGAAACACTCTTTTTGTAGAATCTACAAGTGGATATTTTGAGAGCATTGAAAATTTCGTTGGAAACGGGAAAACCTTCATATAAAATCTAGACAGAAGCATTCTCAGAAACTTCTTTGTAATGTTTGCATTCAACTCATAGAGTTGAACATTCCCTTTCATACAGCAGGTTTGAAACACTCTTTTTGTAGTATGTGGAAGTGGACATTTGGAGCGCTTTCAGGCCTACGGTGAAAAAGGAAATATCTTCCCATAAAAACTAGACAGAAGCATTCTCAGAAACTTGTTTGTGACGTGTGTATTCAACTAACAGAGTTGAACCTTTCTTTTTACAGAGCAGCTTTGAAACCCTGTTTCTGTGGAATCTGCAATTGGAAATTTCGATAGTTCTGAGGATTTCGTTGCAAACGGGATTACAAATAGAAAGTAGACAGCAGCATTCTCAGAAACTGCTTTGTGATGTTTGCATTCAAGTCACCTAGTTGAACATTCCCTTTCATAGAGCAGGTTTGAATCACTGTTTCTGTAGTATCTGGAAGTGGGTATTTCGAGCGCTTTCAGGCCTAAGGTGAGAAAGGAAATGTCTTCAAATAAGAACTAGACAGAAGCATTCTCAGAAACTTATTTGTGATGTGTGTCCTCAACTAACAGAGATGAACCTTTGTTTTGATACAGCAGTTTGGAAACACTCTTTTTGTAGAATCTACAAGAGGATATTTTGAGAGCATTGAAAATTTCGTTGGAAGCGGGAAAACCTTCATATAAAATCTAGACAGCAGCATTCTCAGAAACTTCTTTGTGATGTTTGCATTCAACTCATAGAGTTGAACATTCCCATTCATACAGCAGGTTTGAGACACTCTTTGTATAGCATGTGGAAATGGATATTTGGAGCGCTTTGAGGCCTATGGTGAAGAAGGAAATATCTTCCCAAAAAAACTAGACGAAAGCATTCTCGCAATCTTGTTTGCCATGTGTGTACTCAACTAACAGAGTTGAACCTATCTTTTGACAGAGCAGTTTTGAAACACTCTTTTTGTGGAATCTGCAAGTGGATATTTGGATAGCTTCGAGGATTTCGTTGGAAACGGGAATATCCTCATTTAAAATCTAGACGGAAGCATTCTCAGAACCTGCTTTGTGATGTTTGCATTCAACTCACAGAGCTGAACATTCCCGTTCATAGAGCAGGTTTGAAACACTCTTTCTGTACTATCTGGAAGTGGACATTTCGAGCGCTTTCAGGCCTATGGTGAAAAAGGAAACATCTTCAAATAAAAACTAGACAGAAGCATTCTCAGAAACTTATTTGTGATGTGTGTCCTCAACTCACAGAGTTCAACCTTTGTTTTGATACAGCAGTTTGGAAACACTCTTTTTGTAGAATCTACAAATGGATATTTGGAGACCTTTGAAAATTTCGTTGGACACGGGAATATCTTCATATAAAATCTAGACAAAAGCATTCTCAGAATCTTCTTTGTGATGTTTGCATTCAACTCATAGAGTTGAACATTCCCTTTCATACAGCACGTTTGAAACACACTTTGTGGAGTATGTGGAAATGGACATTTCGAGCACTCTTAGGCCTAAGGTGAAAAGGGAAATATCTTCAAATAAAAACTAGTCAGCAGCATTCTCAGAAACCTCTTTGTGATGTGTGTACTCAACTAACAGAGTTGAACCTTCCTTTTCACAGAGCAGTTTGGAAACACTCTTTTTGTGGCATTTGCAAGTGGATATTTGGATAGCTTTGAGGATTTCGTTGGAAACGGGAATATTTTCATATAAAATCTAGACAGAAGCATTCTCAGAATCTTCTTTGTGATGTATGCCCTCAATTCACAGAGTTGAACCTTTGTTTGGATACAGCATTTTGGAAACATTCCTTTTGTAGAATCTGCAAGTTGATATTTGGATAGCTTTGAGGATTTCGTTGGAAACGGGAATATCTACATATAAAATCTAGACAGAAGCATTCTCAGAAACCTCTTTGTAATGCTTGCATTCAACTCATAGGTTTCAACATTCCCTATCATAGAGCAGGTTTGAAACACTCTTTTTGTAGTATGTGGAAGTGGACATTTGGAGCGCTTTGAGGCCTACGGTGAAAAAGGAAATATCTTCCCATAAAAACTAGACAGAAGCATTCTCAGAAACTTGTTTGTGACGTGTGTATTCAACTAACAGAGTTGAACCTTTCTTTTTACAGAGCAGCTTTGAAACCCTGTTTCTGTGGAATCTGCAATTGGAAATTTCGATAGTTCTGAGGATTTCGTTGCAAACGGGATTACAAATAGAAAGTAGACAGCAGCATTCTCAGAAACTGCTTTGTGGATGTTTGCATTCAAGTCACCTAGTTGAACATTCCCTTTCATAGAGCAGGTTTGAATCACTGTTTCTGTCGTATCTGGAAGTGGATATTTCGAGCGTTTTCAGGCCTAAGGTGAGAAAGGAAATGTCTTCAAATAAGAACTAGACAGAAGCATTCTCAGAAACTTATTTGTGATGTGTGTCCTCAACTAACAGAGTTGAACCTTTCTTTTGACACAGCAGTTTGGAAACACTCTTTTTGTAGAATCTACAAGTGGATATTTTGAGAGCATTGAAAATTTCGTTGGAAACGGGAAAACCTTCATATAAAATCTAGACAGAAGCATTCTCAGAAACTTCTTTGTAATGTTTGCATTCAACTCATAGAGTTGAACATTCCCTTTCATACAGCAGGTTTGAAACACTCTTTTTGTAGTATGTGGAAGTGGACATTTGGAGCGCTTTGAGGCCTACGGTGAAAAAGGAAATATCTTCCCATAAAAACTAGACAGAAGCATTCTCAGAAACTTGTTTGTGACGTGTGTATTCAACTAACAGAGTTGAACCTTTCTTTTTACAGAGCAGCTTTGAAACACGCTTTTTGTGGAATCTGCAATTGGAAATTTCGATAGTTCTGAGGATTTCGTTGGAAACGGGATTACAAATAGAAAGTAGACAGCAGCATTCTCAGAAACTGCTTTGTGATGTTTGCATTCAAGTCACCTAGTTGAACATTCCCTTTCATAGAGCAGGTTTGAATCACAGTTTCTGTCGTATCTGGAAGTGGATATTTCGAGCGTTTTCAGGCCTAAGGTGAGAAAGGAAATGTCTTCAAATAAGAACTAGACAGAAGCATTCTCAGAAACTTATTTGTGATGTGTGTCCTCAACTAACAGAGATGAACCTTTGTTTTGATACAGCAGTTTGGAAACACTCTTTTTGTAGAATCTACAAGAGGATATTTTGAGAGCATTGAAAATTTCGTTGGAAGCGGGAAAACCTTCATATAAAATCTAGACAGCAGCATTCTCAGAAACTTCTTTGTGATGTTTGCATTCAACTCATAGAGTTGAACATTCCCATTCATACAGCAGGTTTGAGACACTCTTTGTATAGCATGTGGAAATGGATATTTGGAGCGCTTTGAGGCCTATGGTGAAGAAGGAAATATCTTCCCAAAAAAACTAGACGAAAGAAGCATTCTCGGAATCTTGTTTGCCATGTGTGTACTCAACTAACAGAGTTGAACCTATCTTTTGACAGAGCAGTTTTGAAACACTCTTTTTGTGGAATCTGCAAGTGGATATTTGGATAGCTTCGAGGATTTCGTTGGAAACGGGAATATCCTCATTTAAAATCTAGACGGAAGCATTCTCAGAACCTGCTTTGTGATGTTTGCATTCAACTCACAGAGCTGAACATTCCCGTTCATAGAGCAGGTTTGAAACACTCTTTCTGTACTATCTGGAAGTGGACATTTCGAGCGCTTTCAGGCCTATGGTGAAAAAGGAAACATCTTCAAATAAAAACTAGACAGAAGCATTCTCAGAAACTTATTTGTGATGTGTGTCCTCAACTCACAGAGTTCAACCTTTGTTTTGATACAGCAGTTTGGAAACACTCTTTTTGTAGAATCTACAAATGGATATTTGGAGACCTTTGAAAATTTCGTTGGACACGGGAATATCTTCATATAAAATCTAGACAAAAGCATTCTCAGAGTCTTCTTTGTGATGTTTGCATTCAACTCATAGAGTTGAACATTCCCTTTCATACAGCACGTTTGAAACACACTTTGTGGAGTATGTGGAAATGGACATTTCGAGCACTCTTAGGCCTAAGGTGAAAAGGGAAATATCTTCAAATAAAAACTAGTCAGCAGCATTCTCAGAAACCTCTTTGTGATGTGTGTACTCAACTAACAGAGTTGAACCTTCCTTTTCACAGAGCAGTTTGGAAACACTCTTTTTGTGGCATTTGCAAGTGGATATTTGGATAGCTTTGAGGATTTCGTTGGAAACGGGAATATTTTCATATAAAATCTAGACAGAAGCATTCTCAGAATCTTCTTTGTGATGTATGCCCTCAATTCACAGAGTTGAACCTTTGTTTGGATACAGCATTTTGGAAACATTCCTTTTGTAGAATCTGCAAGCTGATATTTGGATAGCTTTGAGGATTTCGTTGGAAACGGGAATATCTACATATAAAATCTAGACAGAAGCATTCTCAGAAACCTCTTTGTAATGCTTGCATTCAACTCATAGGTTTCAACATTCCCTATCATAGAGCAGGTTTGAAACACTCTTTTTGTAGTATGTGGAAGTGGACATTTGGAGCGCTTTGAGGCCTACCGTGAAAAAGGAAATATCTTCCCATAAAAACTAGACAGAAGCATTCTCAGAAACTTGTTTGTGACGTGTGTATTCAACTAACAGAGTTGAACCTTTCTTTTTACAGAGCAGCTTTGAAACACGCTTTTTGTGGAATCTGCAATTGGAAATTTCGATAGTTCTGAGGATTTCGTTGGAAACGGGATTACAAATAGAAAGTAGACAGCAGCATTCTCAGAAACTGCTTTGTGATGTTTGCATTCAAGTCACCTAGTTGAACATTCCCTTTCATAGAGCAGGTTTGAATCACTGTTTCTGTCGTATCTGGAAGTGGATATTTCGAGCGTTTTCAGGCCTAAGGTGAGAAAGGAAATGTCTTCAAATAAGAACTAGACAGAAGCATTCTCAGAAACTTATTTGTGATGTGTGTCCTCAACTAACAGAGTTGAACCTTTCTTTTGACACAGCAGTTTGGAAACACTCTTTTTGTAGAATCTACAAGTGGATATTTTGAGAGCATTGAAAATTTCGTTGGAAACGGGAAAACCTTCATATAAAATCTAGACAGAAGCATTCTCAGAAACTTCTTTGTAATGTTTGCATTCAACTCATAGAGTTGAACATTCCCTTTCATACAGCAGGTTTGAAACACTCTTTTTGTAGTATGTGGACGTGGACATTTGGAGCGCTTTGAGGCCTACGGTGAAAAAGGAAATATCTTCCCATAAAAACTAGACAGAAGCATTCTCAGAAACTTGTTTGTGACGTGTGTATTCAACTAACAGAGTTGAACCTTTCTTTTTACAGAGCAGCTTTGAAACCCTGTTTCTGTGGAATCTGCAATTGGAAATTTCGATAGTTCTGAGGATTTCGTTGGAAACGGGATTACAAATAGAAAGTAGACAGCAGCATTCTCAGAAACTGCTTTGTGATGTTTGCATTCAAGTCACCTAGTTGAACATTCCCTTTCATAGAGCAGGTTTGAATCACTGTTTCTGTAGTATCTGGAAGTGGGTATTTCGAGCGCTTTCAGGCCTAAGGTGAGAAAGGAAATGTCTTCAAATAAGAACTAGACAGAAGCATTCTCAGAAACTTATTTGTGATGTGTGTCCTCACCTAACAGAGATGAACCTTTGTTTTGATACAGCAGTTTGGAAACACTCTTTTTGTAGAATCTACAAGAGGATATTTTGAGAGCATTGAAAATTTCGTTGGAAGCGGGAAAACCTTCATATAAAATCTAGACAGCAGCATTCTCAGAAACTTCTTTGTGATGTTTGCATTCAACTCATAGAGTTGAACATTCCCATTCATACAGCAGGTTTGAGACACTCTTTGTATAGCATGTGGAAATGGATATTTGGAGCGCTTTGAGGCCTATGGTGAAGAAGGAAATATCTTCCCAAAAAAACTAGACGAAAGCATTCTCGCAATCTTGTTTGCCATGTGTGTACTCAACTAACAGAGTTGAACCTATCTTTTGACAGAGCAGTTTTGAAACACTCGTTTTGTGGAATCTGCAAGTGGATATTTGGATAGCTTCGAGGATTTCGTTGGAAACGGGAATATCCTCATTTAAAATCTAGACGGAAGCATTCTCAGAACCTGCTTTGTGATGTTTGCATTCAACTCACAGAGCTGAACATTCCCGTTCATAGAGCAGGTTTGAAACACTCTTTCTGTACTATCTGGAAGTGGACATTTCGAGCGCTTTCAGGCCTATGGTGAAAAAGGAAACATCTTCAAATAAAAACTAGACAGAAGCATTCTCAGAAACTTATTTGTGATGTGTGTCCTCAACTCACAGAGTTCAACCTTTGTTTTGATACAGCAGTTTGGAAACACTCTTTTTGTAGAATCTACAAATGGATATTTGGAGACCTTTGAAAATTTCGTTGGACACGGGAATATCTTCATATAAAATCTAGACAAAAGCATTCTCAGAATCTTCTTTGTGATGTTTGCATTCAACTCATAGAGTTGAACATTCCCTTTCATACAGCACGTTTGAAACACACTTTGTGGAGTATGTGGAAATGGACATTTCGAGCACTCTTAGGCCTAAGGTGAAAAGGGAAATATCTTCAAATAAAAACTAGTCAGCAGCATTCTCAGAAACCTCTTTGTGATGTGTGTACTCAACTAACAGAGTTGAACCTTCCTTTTCACAGAGCAGTTTGGAAACACTCTTTTTGTGGCATTTGCAAGTGGATATTTGGATAGCTTTGAGGATTTCGTTGGAAACGGGAATATTTTCATATAAAATCTAGACAGAAGCATTCTCAGAATCTTCTTTGTGATGTATGCCCTCAATTCACAGAGTTGAACCTTTGTTTGGATACAGCATTTTGGAAACATTCCTTTTGTAGAATCTGCAAGTTGATATTTGGATAGTTTGAGGATTTCGTTGGAAACGGGAATATCTACATATAAAATCTAGACAGAAGCATTCTCAGAAACCTCTTTGTAATGCTTGCATTCAACTCATAGGTTTCAACATTCCCTATCATAGAGCAGGTTTGAAACACTCTTTTTGTAGTATGTGGAAGTGGACATTTGGAGCGCTTTGAGGCCTACGGTGAAAAAGGAAATATCTTCCCATAAAAACTAGACAGAAGCATTCTCAGAAACTTGTTTGTGACGTGTGTATTCAACTAACAGAGTTGAACCTTTCTTTTTACAGAGCAGCTTTGAAACACGCTTTTTGTGGAATCTGCAATTGGAAATTTCGATAGTTCTGAGGATTTCGTTGGAAACGGGATTACAAATAGAAAGTAGACAGCAGCATTCTCAGAAACTGCTTTGTGATGTTTGCATTCAAGTCACCTAGTTGAACATTCCCTTTCATAGAGCAGGTTTGAATCACTGTTTCTGTAGTATCTGGAAGTGGGTATTTCGAGCGCTTTCAGGCCTAAGGTGAGAAAGGAAATGTCTTCAAATAAGAACTAGACAGAAGCATTCTCAGAAACTTATTTGTGATGTGTGTCCTCAACTAACAGAGATGAACCTTTGTTTTGATACAGCAGTTTGGAAACACTCTTTTTGTAGAATCTACAAGAGGATATTTTGAGAGCATTGAAAATTTCGTTGGAAGCGGGAAAACCTTCATATAAAATCTAGACAGCAGCATTCTCAGAAACTTCTTTGTGATGTTTGCATTCAACTCATAGAGTTGAACATTCCCATTCATACAGCAGGTTTGAGACACTCTTTGTATAGCATGTGGAAATGGATATTTGGAGCGCTTTGAGGCCTATGGTGAAGAAGGAAATATCTTCCCAAAAAAACTAGACGAAAGCATTCTCGGAATCTTGTTTGCCATGTGTGTACTCAACTAACAGAGTTGAACCTATCTTTTGACAGAGCAGTTTTGAAACACTCTTTTTGTGGAATCTGCAAGTGGATATTTGGATAGCTTCGAGGATTTCGTTGGAAACGGGAATATCCTCATTTAAAATCTAGACGGAAGCATTCTCAGAACCTGCTGTGTGATGTTTGCATTCAACTCACAGAGCTGAACATTCCCGTTCATAGAGCAGGTTTGAAACACTCTTTCTGTACTATCTGGAAGTGGACATTTCGAGCGCTTTCAGGCCTATGGTGAAAAAGGAAACATCTTCAAATAAAAACTAGACAGAAGCATTCTCAGAAACTTATTTGTGATGTGTGTCCTCAACTCACAGAGTTCAACCTTTGTTTTGATACAGCAGTTTGGAAACACTCTTTTTGTAGAATCTACAAATGGATATTTGGAGACCTTTGAAAATTTCGTTGGACACGGGAATATCTTCATATAAAATCTAGACAAAAGCATTCTCAGAATCTTCTTTGTGATGTTTGCATTCAACTCATAGAGTTGAACATTCCCTTTCATACAGCACGTTTGAAACACACTTTGTGGAGTATGTGGAAATGGACATTTCGAGCACTCTTAGGCCTAAGGTGAAAAGGGAAATATCTTCAAATAAAAACTAGTCAGCAGCATTCTCAGAAACCTCTTTGTGATGTGTGTACTCAACTAACAGAGTTGAACCTTCCTTTTCACAGAGCAGTTTGGAAACACTCTTTTTGTGGCATTTGCAAGTGGATATTTGGATAGATTTGAGGATTTCGTTGGAAACGGGAATATTTTCATATAAAATCTAGACAGAAGCATTCTCAGAATCTTCTTTGTGATGTATGCCCTCAATTCACAGAGTTGAACCTTTGTTTGGATACAGCATTTTGGAAACATTCCTTTTGTAGAATCTGCAAGTTGATATTTGGATAGCTTTGAGGATTTCGTTGGAAACGGGAATATCTACATATAAAATCTAGACAGAAGCATTCTCAGAAACCTCTTTGTAATGCTTGCATTCAACTCATAGGTTTCAACATTCCCTATCATAGAGCAGGTTTGAAACACTCTTTTTGTAGTATGTGGAAGTGGACATTTGGAGCGCTTTGAGGCCTACGGTGAAAAAGGAAATATCTTCCCATAAAAACTAGACAGAAGCATTCTCAGAAACTTGTTTGTGACGTGTGTATTCAACTAACAGAGTTGAACGTTTCTTTTTACAGAGCAGCTTTGAAACACGCTTTTTGTGGAATCTGCAATTGGAAATTTCGATAGTTCTGAGGATTTCGTTGGAAACGGGATTACAAATAGAAAGTAGACAGCAGCATTCTCAGAAACTTATTTGTGATGTGTGTCTTCAACTAACAGAGTTGAACTTTTCTTTTGACACAGCAGTTTGGAAACACTCTTTTTGTAGAATCTACAAGTGGATATTTTGAGAGCATTGAAAATTTCGTTGGAAACGGGAAAACCTTCATATAAAATCTAGACAGAAGCATTCTCAGAAACTTCTTTGTAATGTTTGCATTCAACTCATAGAGTTGAACATTCCCTTTCATACAGCAGGTTTGAAACACTCTTTTTGTAGTATGTGGAAGTGGACATTTGGAGCGCTTTGAGGCCTACGGTGAAAAAGGAAATATCTTCCCATAAAAACTAGACAGAAGCATTCTCAGAAACTTGTTTGTGACGTGTGTATTCAACTAACAGAGTTGAACCTTTCTTTTTACAGAGCAGCTTTGAAACCCTGTTTCTGTGGAATCTGCAATTGGAAATTTCGATAGTTCTGAGGATTTCGTTGCAAACGGGATTACAAATAGAAAGTAGACAGCAGCATTCTCAGAAACTGCTTTGTGATGTTTGCATTCAAGTCACATAGTTGAAAATTCCCTTTCATAGAGCAGGTTTGAATCACTGTTTCTGTAGTATCTGGAAGTGGGTATTTCGAGCGCTTTCAGGCCTAAGGTGAGAAAGGAAATGTCTTCAAATAAGAACTAGACAGAAGCATTCTGAGAAACTTATTTGTGATGTGTGTCCTCAACTAACAGAGATGAACCTTTGTTTTGATACAGCAGTTTGGAAACACTCTTTTTGTAGAATCTACAAGAGGATATTTTGAGAGAATTGAAAATTTCGTTGGAAGCGGGAAAACCTTCATATAAAATCTAGACAGTAGCATTCTGAGAAACTTCTTTGTGATGTTTGCATTCAACTCATAGAGTTGAACATTTCTTTTCATACAGCAGGTTTGAGACACTCTTTGTATAGTATGTGGAAATGGATATTTGGAGCACTTTGAGGCCTATGGTGAAGAAGGAAATATCTTCCCAAAAAAACTAGACGAAAGCATTCTCGGAATCTTGTTTGCCATGTGTGTACTCAACTAACAGAGTTGAACCTATCTTTTGACAGAGCAGTTTTGAAACACTCTTTTTGTGGAATCTGCAAGTGGATATTTGGATAGCTTCGAGGATTTCGTTGGAAACGGGAATATCCTCATTTAAAACCTAGACGGAAGCATTCTCAGAACCTGCTTTGTGATGTTTGCATTCAACTCACAGAGCTGAACATTCCCGTTCATAGAGCAGGTTTGAAACACTCTTTCTGTACTATCTGGAAGTGGACATTTCGAG
Source organism: Homo sapiens (assembly GCF_000001405.40). Lineage (NCBI taxonomy): Eukaryota > Metazoa > Chordata > Mammalia > Primates > Hominidae > Homo > Homo sapiens. Next base: position 18,611,056 of record NC_000015.10, read on the forward strand.
CGCTTTCAGGCCTATGGTGAAAAAGGAAACATCTTCAAATAAAAACTAGACAGAAGCATTCTCAGAAACTTATTTGTGATGTGTGTCCTCAACTCACAGAGTTCAACCTTTGTTTTGATACAGCAGTTTGGAAACACTCTTTTTGTAGAATCTACAAATGGATATTTGGAGACCTTTGAAAATTTCGTTGGACACGGGAATATCTTCATATAAAATCTAGACAAAAGCATTCTCAGAATCTTCTTTGTGATGTTTGCATTCAACTCATAGAGTTGAACATTCCCTTTCATACAGCACGTTTGAAACACACTTTGTGGAGTATGTGGAAATGGACATTTCGAGCACTCTTAGGCCTAAGGTGAAAAGGGAAATATCTTCAAATAAAAACTAGTCAGCAGCATTCTCAGAAACCTCTTTGTGATGTGTGTACTCAACTAACAGAGTTGAACCTTCCTTTTCACAGAGCAGTTTGGAAACACTCTTTTTGTGGCATTTGCAAGTGGATATTTGGATAGCTTTGAGGATTTCGTTGGAAACGGGAATATTTTCATATAAAATCTAGACAGAAGCATTCTCAGAATCTTCTTTGTGATGTATGCCCTCAATTCACAGAGTTGAACCTTTGTTTGGATACAGCATTTTGGAAACATTCCTTTTGTAGAATCTGCAAGTTGATATTTGGATAGCTTTGAGGATTTCGTTGGAAACGGGAATATCTACATATAAAATCTAGACAGAAGCATTCTCAGAAACCTCTTTGTAATGCTTGCATTCAACTCATAGGTTTCAACATTCCCTATCATAGAGCAGGTTTGAAACACTCTTTTTGTAGTATGTGGAAGTGGACATTTGGAGCACTTTGAGGCCTACGGTGAAAAAGGAAATATCTTCCCATAAAAACTAGACAGAAGCATTCTCAGAAACTTGTTTGTGACGTGTGTATTCAACTAACAGAGTTGAACCTTTCTTTTTACAGAGCAGCTTTGAAACACGCTTTTTGTGGAATCTGCAATTGGAAATTTCGATAGTTCTGAGGATTTCGTTGGAAACGGGATTACAAATAGAAAGTAGACAGCAGCATTCTCAGAAACTGCTTTGTGATGTTTGCATTCAAGTCACCTAGTTGAACATTCCCTTTCATAGCAGCAGGTTTGAATCACTGTTTCTGTCGTATCTGGAAGTGGATATTTCGAGCGTTTTCAGGCCTAAGGTGAGAAAGGAAATGTCTTCAAATAAGAACTAGACAGAAGCATTCTCAGAAACTTATTTGTGATGTGTGTCCTCAACTAACAGAGATGAACCTTTGTTTTGATACAGCAGTTTGGAAACACTCTTTTTGTAGAATCTACAAGAGGATATTTTGAGAGCATTGAAAATTTCGTTGGAAGCGGGAAAACCTTCATATAAAATACTAGACAGCAAGCATTCTCAGAAACTTCTTTGTGATGTTTGCATTCAACTCATAGAGTTGAACATTCCCATTCATACAGCAGGTTTGAGACACTCTTTGTATAGCATGTGGAAATGGATATTTGGAGCGCTTTGAGGCCTATGGTGAAGAAGGAAATATCTTCCCAAAAAAACTAGACGAAAGCATTCTCGCAATCTTGTTTGCCATGTGTGTACTCAACTAACAGAGTTGAACCTATCTTTTGACAGAGCAGTTTTGAAACACTCTTTTTGTGGAATCTGCAAGTGGATATTTGGATAGCTTCGAGGATTTCGTTGGAAACGGGAATATCCTCATTTAAAATCTAGACGGAAGCATTCTCAGAACCTGCTTTGTGATGTTTGCATTCAACTCACAGAGCTGAACATTCCCGTTCATAGAGCAGGTTTGAAACACTCTTTCTGTACTATCTGGAAGTGGACATTTCGAGCGCTTTCAGGCCTATGGTGAAAAAGGAAACATCTTCAAATAAAAACTAGACAGAAGCATTCTCAGAAACTTATTTGTGATGTGTGTCCTCAACTCACAGAGTTCAACCTTTGTTTTGATACAGCAGTTTGGAAACACTCTTTTTGTAGAATCTACAAATGGATATTTGGAGACCTTTGAAAATTTCGTTGGACACGGGAATATCTTCATATAAAATCTAGACAAAAGCATTCTCAGAATCTTCTTTGTGATGTTTGCATTCAACTCATAGAGTTGAACATTCCCTTTCATATAGCACGTTTGAAACACACTTTGTGGAGTATGTGGAAATGGACATTTCGAGCACTCTTAGGCCTAAGGTGAAAAGGGAAATATCTTCAAATAAAAACTAGTCAGCAGCATTCTCAGAAACCTCTTTGTGATGTGTGTACTCAACTAACAGAGTTGAACCTTCCTTTTCACAGAGCAGTTTGGAAACACTCTTTTTGTGGCATTTGCAAGTGGATATTTGGATAGCTTTGAGGATTTCGTTGGAAACGGGAATATTTTCATATAAAATCTAGACAGAAGCATTCTCAGAATCTTCTTTGTGATGTATGCCCTCAATTCACAGAGTTGAACCTTTGTTTGGATACAGCATTTTGGAAACATTCCTTTTGTAGAATCTGCAAGTTGATATTTGGATAGCTTTGAGGATTTCGTTGGAAACGGGAATATCTACATATAAAATCTAGACAGAAGCATTCTCAGAAACCTCTTTGTAATGCTTGCATTCAACTCATAGGTTTCAACATTCCCTATCATAGAGCAGGTTTGAAACACTCTTTTTGTAGTATGTGGAAGTGGACATTTGGAGCGCTTTGAGGCCTACCGTGAAAAAGGAAATATCTTCCCATAAAAACTAGACAGAAGCATTCTCAGAAACTTGTTTGTGACGTGTGTATTCAACTAACAGAGTTGAACCTTTCTTTTTACAGAGCAGCTTTGAAACCCTGTTTCTGTGGAATCTGCAATTGGAAATTTCGATAGTTCTGAGGATTTCGTTGGAAACGGGATACAAATAGAAAGTAGACAGCCAGCATTCTCAGAAACTGCTTTGTGATGTTTGCATTCAAGTCACCTAGTTGAACATTCCCTTTCATAGAGCAGGTTTGAATCACAGTTTCTGTCGTATCTGGAAGTGGATATTTCGAGCGTTTTCAGGCCTAAGGTGAGAAAGGAAATGTCTTCAAATAAGAACTAGACAGAGCATTCTCAGAAACTTATTTGTGATGTGTGTCCTCAACTAACAGAGATGAACCTTTGTTTTGATACAGCAGTTTGGAAACACTCTTTTTGTAGAATCTACAAGAGGATATTTTGAGAGCATTGAAAATTTCGTTGGAAGCGGGAAAACCTTCATATAAAATCTAGACAGCAGCATTCTCAGAAACTTCTTTGTGATGTTTGCATTCAACTCATAGAGTTGAACATTCCCATTCATACAGCAGGTTTGAGACACTCTTTGTATAGCATGTGGAAATGGATATTTGGAGCGCTTTGAGGCCTATGGTGAAGAAGGAAATATCTTCCCAAAAAAACTAGACGAAAGCATTCTCGGAATCTTGTTTGCCATGTGTGTACTCAACTAACAGAGTTGAACCTGTCTTTTGACAGAGCAGTTTTGAAACACTCTTTTTGTGGAATCTGCAAGTGGATATTTGGATAGCTTCGAGGATTTCGTTGGAAACGGGAATATCCTCATTTAAAATCTAGACGGAAGCATTCTCAGAACCTGCTTTGTGATGTTTGCATTCAACTCACAGAGCTGAACATTCCCGTTCATAGAGCAGGTTTGAAACACTCTTTCTGTACTATCTGGAAGTGGACATTTCGAGCGCTTTCAGGCCTATGGTGAAAAAGGAAACATCTTCAAATAAAAACTAGACAGAAGCATTCTCAGAAACTTATTTGTGATGTGTGTCCTCAACTCACAGAGTTCAACCTTTGTTTTGATACAGCAGTTTGGAAACACTCTTTTTGTAGAATCTACAAATGGATATTTGGAGACCTTTGAAAATTTCGTTGGACACGGGAATATCTTCATATAAAATCTAGACAAAAGCATTCTCAGAATCTTCTTTGTGATGTTTGCATTCAACTCATAGAGTTGAACATTCCCTTTCATACAGCACGTTTGAAACACACTTTGTGGAGTATGTGGAAATGGACATTTCGAGCACTCTTAGGCCTAAGGTGAAAAGGGAAATATCTTCAAATAAAAACTAGTCAGCAGCATTCTCAGAAACCTCTTTGTGATGTGTGTACTCAACTAACAGAGTTGAACCTTCCTTTTCACAGAGCAGTTTGGAAACACTCTTTTTGTGGCATTTGCAAGTGGATATTTGGATAGCTTTGAGGATTTCGTTGGAAACGGGAATATTTTCATATAAAATCTAGACAGAAGCATTCTCAGAATCTTCTTTGTGATGTATGCCCTCAATTCACAGAGTTGAACCTTTGTTTGGATACAGCATTTTGGAAACATTCCTTTTGTAGAATCTGCAAGTTGATATTTGGATAGCTTTGAGGATTTCGTTGGAAACGGGAATATCTACATATAAAATCTAGACAGAAGCATTCTCAGAAACCTCTTTGTAATGCTTGCATTCAACTCATAGGTTTCAACATTCCCTATCATAGAGCAGGTTTGAAACACTCTTTTTGTAGTATGTGGAAGTGGACATTTGGAGCGCTTTGAGGCCTACGGTGAAAAAGGAAATATCTTCCCATAAAAACTAGACAGAAGCATTCTCAGAAACTTGTTTGTGACGTGTGTATTCAACTAACAGAGTTGAACCTTTCTTTTTACAGAGCAGCTTTGAAACACGCTTTTTGTGGAATCTGCAATTGGAAATTTCGATAGTTCTGAGGATTTCGTTGGAAACGGGATTACAAATAGAAAGTAGACAGCAGCATTCTCAGAAACTGCTTTGTGATGTTTGCATTCAAGTCACCTAGTTGAACATTCCCTTTCATAGAGCAGGTTTGAATCACTGTTTCTGTCGTATCTGGAAGTGGATATTTCGAGCGTTTTCAGGCCTAAGGTGAGAAAGGAAATGTCTTCAAATAAGAACTAGACAGAAGCATTCTCAGAAACTTATTTGTGATGTGTGTCCTCAACTAACAGAGTTGAACCTTTCTTTTGACACAGCAGTTTGGAAACACTCTTTTTGTAGAATCTACAAGTGGATATTTTGAGAGCATTGAAAATTTCGTTGGAAACGGGAAAACCTTCATATAAAATCTAGACAGAAGCATTCTCAGAAACTTCTTTGTAATGTTTGCATTCAACTCATAGAGTTGAACATTCCCTTTCATACAGCAGGTTTGAAACACTCTTTTTGTAGTATGTGGAAGTGGACATTTGGAGCGCTTTGAGGCCTACGGTGAAAAAGGAAATATCTTCCCATAAAAACTAGACAGAAGCATTCTCAGAAACTTGTTTGTGACGTGTGTATTCAACTAACAGAGTTGAACCTTTCTTTTTACAGAGCAGCTTTGAAACCCTGTTTCTGTGGAATCTGCAATTGGAAATTTCGATAGTTCTGAGGATTTCGTTGGAAACGGGATTACAAATAGAAAGTAGACAGCAGCATTCTCAGAAACTGCTTTGTGATGTTTGCATTCAAGTCACATAGTTGAACATTCCCTTTCATAGAGCAGGTTTGAATCACTGTTTCTGTAGTATCTGGAAGTGGGTATTTCGAGCGCTTTCAGGCCTAAGGTGAGAAAGGAAATGTCTTCAAATAAGAACTAGACAGAAGCATTCTCAGAAACTTATTTGTGATGTGTGTCCTCAACTAACAGAGATGAACCTTTGTTTTGATACAGCAGTTTGGAAACACTCTTTTTGTAGAATCTACAAGAGGATATTTTGAGAGCATTGAAAATTTCGTTGGAAGCGGGAAAACCTTCATATAAAATCTAGACAGAAGCATTCTCAGAAACTTCTTTGTGATGTTTGCATTCAACTCATAGAGTTGAACATTCCCATTCATACAGCAGGTTTGAGACACTCTTTGTATAGCATGTGGAAATGGATATTTGGAGCGCTTTGAGGCCTATGGTGAAGAAGGAAATATCTTCCCAAAAAAACTAGACGAAAGCATTCTCGGAATCTTGTTTGCCATGTGTGTACTCAACTAACAGAGTTGAACCTATCTTTTGACAGAGCAGTTTTGAAACACTCTTTTTGTGGAATCTGCAAGTGGATATTTGGATAGCTTCGAGGATTTCGTTGGAAACGGGAATATCCTCATTTAAAATCTAGACGGAAGCATTCTCAGAACCTGCTTTGTGATGTTTGCATTCAACTCACAGAGCTGAACATTCCCGTTCATAGAGCAGGTTTGAAACACTCTTTCTGTACTATCTGGAAGTGGACATTTCGAGCGCTTTCAGGCCTATGGTGAAAAAGGAAACATCTTCAAATAAAAACTAGACAGAAGCATTCTCAGAAACTTATTTGTGATGTGTGTCCTCAACTCACAGAGTTCAACCTTTGTTTTGATACAGCAGTTTGGAAACAATCTTTATTTGGAGACCTTTGAAAATTTCGTTGGACACGGGAATATCTTCATATAAAATCTAGACAAAAGCATTCTCAGAATCTTCTTTGTGATGTTTGCATTCAACTCATAGAGTTGAACATTCCCTTTCATACAGCACGTTTGAAACACACTTTGTGGAGTATGTGGAAATGGACATTTCGAGCACTCTTAGGCCTAAGGTGAAAAGGGAAATATCTTCAAATAAAAACTAGTCAGCAGCATTCTCAGAAACCTCTTTGTGATGTGTGTACTCAACTAACAGAGTTGAACCTTCCTTTTCACAGAGCAGTTTGGAAACACTCTTTTTGTGGCATTTGCAAGTGGATATTTGGATAGCTTTGAGGATTTCGTTGGAAACGGGAATATTTTCATATAAAATCTAGACAGAAGCATTCTCAGAATCTTCTTTGTGATGTATGCCCTCAATTCACAGAGTTGAACCTTTGTTTGGATACAGCATTTTGGAAACATTCCTTTTGTAGAATCTGCAAGTTGATATTTGGATAGCTTTGAGGATTTCGTTGGAAACGGGAATATCTACATATAAAATACTAGACAGAAGCATTCTCAGAAACCTCTTTGTAATGCTTGCATTCAACTCATAGGTTTCAACATTCCCTATCATAGAGCAGGTTTGAAACACTCTTTTTGTAGTATGTGGAAGTGGACATTTGGAGCGCTTTGAGGCCTACGGTGAATAAAGGAAATATCTTCCCATAAAAACTAGACAGAAGCATTCTCAGAAACTTGTTTGTGACGTGTGTATTCAACTAACAGAGTTGAACCTTTCTTTTTACAGAGCAGCTTTGAAACACGCTTTTTGTGGAATCTGCAATTGGAAATTTCGATAGTTCTGAGGATTTCGTTGGAAACGGGATTACAAATAGAAAGTAGACAGCAGCATTCTCAGAAACTGCTTTCTGATGTTTGCATTCAAGTCACCTAGTTGAACATTCCCTTTCATAGAGCAGGTTTGAATCACTGTTTCTGTCGTATCTGGAAGTGGATATTTCGAGCGTTTTCAGGCCTAAGGTGAGAAAGGAAATGTCTTCAAATAAGAACTAGACAGAAGCATTCTCAGAAACTTATTTGTGATGTGTGTCCTCAACTAACAGAGTTGAACCTTTCTTTTGACACAGCAGTTTGGAAACACTCTTTTTGTAGAATCTACAAGTGGATATTTTGAGAGCATTGAAAATTTCGTTGGAAACGGGAAAACCTTCATATAAAATCTAGACAGAAGCATTCTCAGAAACTTCTTTGTAATGTTTGCATTCAACTCATAGAGTTGAACATTCCCTTTCATACAGCAGGTTTGAAACACTCTTTTTGTAGTATGTGGAAGTGGACATTTGGAGCGCTTTGAGGCCTACGGTGAAAAAGGAAATATCTTCCCATAAAAACTAGACAGAAGCATTCTCAGAAACTTGTTTGTGACGTGTGTATTCAACTAACAGAGTTGAACCTTTCTTTTTACAGAGCAGCTTTGAAACCCTGTTTCTGTGGAATCTGCAATTGGAAATTTCGATAGTTCTGAGGATTTCGTTGGAAACGGGATTACAAATAGAAAGTAGACAGCAGCATTCTCAGAAACTGCTTTGTGATGTTTGCATTCAAGTCACATAGTTGAACATTCCCTTTCATAGAGCAGGTTTGAATCACTGTTTCTGTAGTATCTGGAAGTGGGTATTTCGAGCGCTTTCAGGCCTAAGGTGAGAAAGGAAATGTCTTCAAATAAGAACTAGACAGAAGCATTCTCAGAAACTTATTTGTGATGTGTGTCCTCAACTAACAGAGATGAACCTTTGTTTTGATACAGCAGTTTGGAAACACTCTTTTTGTAGAATCTACAAGAGGATATTTTGAGAGCATTGAAAATTTCGTTGGAAGCGGGAAAACCTTCATATAAAATCTAGACAGCAGCATTCTCAGAAACTTCTTTGTGATGTTTGCATTCAACTCATAGAGTTGAACATTCCCATTCATACAGCAGGTTTGAGACACTCTTTGTATAGCATGTGGAAATGGATATTTGGAGCGCTTTGAGGCCTATGGTGAAGAAGGAAATATCTTCCCAAAAAAACTAGACGAAAGCATTCTCGGAATCTTGTTTGCCATGTGTGTACTCAACTAACAGAGTTGAACCTATCTTTTGACAGAGCAGTTTTGAAACACTGTTTTTGTGGAATCTGCAAGTGGATATTTGGATAGCTTCGAGGATTTCGTTGGAAACGGGAATATCCTCATTTAAAATCTAGACGGAAGCATTCTCGGAACCTGCTTTGTGATGTTTGCATTCAACTCACAGAGCTGAACATTCCCGTTCATAGAGCAGGTTTGAAACACTCTTTCTGTACTATCTGGAAGGGGACATTTCGAGCGCTTTCAGGCCTATGGTGAAAAAGGAAACATCTTCAAATAAAAACTAGACAGAAGCATTCTCAGAAACTTATTTGTGATGTGTGTCCTCAACTCACAGAGTTCAACCTTTGTTTTGATACAGCAGTTTGGAAACACTCTTTTTGTAGAATCTACAAATGGATATTTGGAGACCTTTGAAAATTTCGTTGGACACGGGAATATCTTCATATAAAATCTAGACAAAAGCATTCTCAGAATCTTCTTTGTGATGTTTGCATTCAACTCATAGAGTTGAACATTCCCTTTCATACAGCACGTTTGAAACACACTTTGTGGAGTATGTGGAAATGGACATTTCGAGCACTCTTAGGCCTAAGGTGAAAAGGGAAATATCTTCAAATAAAAACTAGTCAGCAGCATTCTCAGAAACCTCTTTGTGATGTGTGTACTCAACTAACAGAGTTGAACCTTCCTTTTCACAGAGCAGTTTGGAAACACTCTTTTTGTGGCATTTGCAAGTGGATATTTGGATAGCTTTGAGGATTTCGTTGGAAACGGGAATATTTTCATATAAAATCTAGACAGAAGCATTTTCAGAATCTTCATTGTGATGTATGCCCTCAATTCACAGAGTTGAACCTTTGTTTGGATACAGCATTTTGGAAACATTCCTTTTGTAGAATCTGCAAGTTGATATTTGGATAGTTTGAGGATTTCGTTGGAAACGGGAATATCTACATATAAAATCTAGACAGAAGCATTCTCAGAAACCTCTTTGTAATGCTTGCATTCAACTCATAGGTTTCAACATTCCCTATCATAGAGCAGGTTTGAAACACTCTTTTTGTAGTATGTGGAAGTGGACATTTGGAGCGCTTTGAGGCCTACCGTGAAAAAGGAAATATCTTCCCATAAAAACTAGACAGAAGCATTCTCAGAAACTTGTTTGTGACGTGTGTATTCAACTAACAGAGTTGAACCTTTCTTTTTACAGAGCAGCTTTGAAACCCTGTTTCTGTGGAATCTGCAATTGGAAATTTCGATAGTTCTGAGGATTTCGTTGGAAACGGGATTACAAATAGAAAGTAGACAGCAGCATTCTCAGAAACTGCTTTGTGATGTTTGCATTCAAGTCACCTAGTTGAACATTCCCTTTCATACAGCAGGTTTGAATCACTGTTTCTGTCGTATCTGGAAGTGGATATTTCGAGCGTTTTCAGGCCTAAGGTGAGAAAGGAAATGTCTTCAAATAAGAACTAGACAGAAGCATTCTCAGAAACTTATTTGTGATGTGTGTCCTCAACTAACAGAGTTGAACCTTTCTTTTGACACAGCAGTTTGGAAACACTCTTTTTGTAGAATCTACAAGTGGATATTTTGAGAGCATTGAAAATTTCGTTGGAAACGGGAAAACCTTCATATAAAATCTAGACAGAAGCATTCTCAGAAACTTCTTTGTAATGTTTGCATTCAACTCATAGAGTTGAACATTCCCTTTCATACAGCAGGTTTGAAACACTCTTTTTGAAGTATGTGGAAGTGGACATTTGGAGCGCTTTGAGGCCTACGGTGAAAAAGGAAATATCTTCCCATAAAAACTAGACAGAAGCATTCTCAGAAACTTGTTTGTGACGTGTGTATTCAACTAACAGAGTTGAACCTTTCTTTTTACAGAGCAGCTTTGAAACCCTGTTTCTGTGGAATCTGCAATTGGAAATTTCGATAGTTCTGAGGATTTCGTTGGGAACGGGATTACAAATAGAAGGTAGACAGCAGCATTCTCAGAAACTGCTTTGTGATGTTTGCATTCAAGTCACATAGTTGAACATTCCCTTTCATAGAGCAGGTTTGAATCACTGTTTCTGTAGTATCTGGAAGTGGGTATTTCGAGCGCTTTCAGGCCTAAGGTGAGAAAGGAAATGTCTTCAAATAAGAACTAGACAGAAGCATTCTCAGAAACTTATTTGTGATGTGTGTCCTCAACTAACAGAGATGAACCTTTGTTTTGATACAGCAGTTTGGAAACACTCTTTTTGTAGAATCTACAAGAGGATATTTTGAGAGCATTGAAAATTTCGTTGGAAGCGGGAAAACCTTCATATAAAATCTAGACAGCAGCATTCTCAGAAACTTCTTTGTGATGTTTGCATTCAACTCATAGAGTTGAACATTCCCTTTCATACAGCACGTTTGAAACACACTTTGTGGAGTATGTGGAAATGGACATTTCGAGCACTCTTAGGCCTAAGGTGAAAAGGGAAATATCTTCAAATAAAAACTAGTCAGCAGCATTCTCGGAATCTTGTTTGCCATGTGTGTACTCAACTAACAGAGTTGAACCTATCTTTTGACAGAGCAGTTTTGAAACACTCTTTTTGTGGAATCTGCAAGTGGATATTTGGATAGCTTCGAGGATTTCGTTGGAAACGGGAATATCCTCATTTAAAATCTAGACGGAAGCATTCTCAGAACCTGCTTTGTGATGTTTGCATTCAACTCACAGAGCTGAACATTCCCGTTCATAGAGCAGGTTTGAAACACTCTTTCTGTACTATCTGGAAGTGGACATTTCGAGCGCTTTCAGGCCTATGGTGAAAAAGGAAACATCTTCAAATAAAAACTAGACAGAAGCATTCTCAGAAACTTATTTGTGATGTGTGTCCTCAACTCACAGAGTTCAACCTTTGTTTTGATACAGCAGTTTGGAAACACTCTTTTTGTAGAATCTACAAATGGATATTTGGAGACCTTTGAAAATTTCGTTGGACACGGGAATATCTTCATATAAAATCTAGACAAAAGCATTCTCAGAATCTTCTTTGTGATGTTTGCATTCAACTCATAGAGTTGAACATTCCCTTTCATACAGCACGTTTGAAACACACTTTGTGGAGTATGTGGAAATGGACATTTCGAGCACTCTTAGGCCTAAGGTGAAAAGGGAAATATCTTCAAATAAAAACTAGTCAGCAGCATTCTCAGAAACCTCTTTGTGATGTGTGTACTCAACTAACAGAGTTGAACCTTCCTTTTCACAGAGCAGTTTGGAAACACTCTTTTTGTGGCATTTGCAAGTGGATATTTAGATAGCTTTGAGGATTTCGTTGGAAACGGGAATATTTTCATATAAAATCTAGACAGAAGCATTCTCAGAATCTTCTTTGTGATGTATGCCCTCAATTCACAGAGTTGAACCTTTGTTTGGATACAGCATTTTGGAAACATTCCTTTTGTAGAATCTGCAAGTTGATATTTGGATAGCTTTGAGGATTTCGTTGGAAACGGGAATATCTACATATAAAATCTAGACAGAAGCATTCTCAGAAACCTCTTTGTAATGCTTGCATTCAACTCATAGGTTTCAACATTCCCTATCATAGAGCAGGTTTGAAACACTCTTTTTGTAGTATGTGGAAGTGGACATTTGGAGCGCTTTGAGGCCTACGGTGAAAAAGGAAATATCTTCCCATAAAAACTAGACAGAAGCATTCTCAGAAACTTGTTTGTGACGTGTGTATTCAACTAACAGAGTTGAACCTTTCTTTTTACAGAGCAGCTTTGAAACACGCTTTTTGTGGAATCTGCAATTGGAAATTTCGATAGTTCTGAGGATTTCGTTGGAAACGGGATTACAAATAGAAAGTAGACAGCAGCATTCTCAGAAACTGCTTTGTGATGTTTGCATTCAAGTCACCTAGTTGAACATACCCTTTCATAGAGCAGGTTTGAATCCCTGTTTCTGTCGTATCTGGAAGTGGATATTTCGAGCGTTTTCAGGCCTAAGGTGAGAAAGGAAATGTCTTCAAATAAGAACTAGACAGAAGCATTCTCAGAAACTTATTTGTGATGTGTGTCCTCAACTAACAGAGATGAAACTTTGTTTTGACACAGCAGTTTAGAAACACTCTTTTTGTAGAATCTACAAGAGGATATTTTGAGAGCATTGAAAATTTCATTGGAAGCGGGAAAACCTTCATATAAAATCTAGACAGCAGCATTCTCAGAAACTTCTTTGTGATGTTTGCATTCAACTCATAGAGTTGAACATTCCCATTCATACAGCAGGTTTGAGACACTCTTTGTATAGTATGTGGAAATGGATATTTGGCGCGCTTTGAGGCCTATGGTGAAGAAGGGAATATCTTCCCAAAAAAACTAGACGAAAGCATTCTCGGAATCTTGTTTGCCATGTGTGTACTCAACTAACAGAGTTGAACCTATCTTTTGACAGAGCAGTTTTGAAACACTCTTTTTGTGGAATCTGCAAGTGGATATTTGGATAGCTTCGAGGATTTCGTTGGAAACGGGAATATCCTCATTTAAAATCTAGACGGAAGCATTCTCAGAACCTGCTTTGTGATGTTTGCATTCAACTCACAGAGCTGAACATTCCCGTTCATAGAGCAGGTTTGAAACCCTCTTTCTGTACTATCTGGAAGTGGACATTTCGAGCGCTTTCAGGCCTATGGTGAAAAAGGAAACATCTTCAAATAAAAACTAGACAGAAGCATTCTCAGAAACTTATTTGTGATGTGTGTCCTCAACTCACAGAGTTCAACCTTTGTTTTGATACAGCAGTTTGGAAACACTCTTTTTGTAGAATCTACAAATGGATATTTGGAGACCTTTGAAAATTTCGTTGGACACGGGAATATCTTCATATAAAATCTAGACAAAAGCATTCTCAGAATCTTCTTTGTGATGTTTGCATTCAACTCATAGAGTTGAACATTCCCTTTCATACAGCACGTTTGAAACACACTTTGTGGAGTATGTGGAAATGGACATTTCGAGCACTCTTAGGCCTAAGGTGAAAAGGGAAATATCTTCAAATAAAAACTAGTCAGCAGCATTCTCAGAAACCTCTTTGTGATGTGTGTACTCAACTAACAGAGTTGAACCTTCCTTTTCACAGAGCAGTTTGGAAACACTCTTTTTGTGGCATTTGCAAGTGGATATTTGGATAGCTTTGAGGATTTCGTTGGAAACGGGAATATTTTCATATAAAATCTAGACAGAAGCATTCTCAGAATCTTCTTTGTGATGTATGCCCTCAATTCACAGAGTTGAACCTTTGTTTGGATACAGCATTTTGGAAACATTCCTTTTGTAGAATGTGCAAGTTGATATTTGGATAGCTTTGAGGATTTCGTTGGAAACGGGAATATCTACATATAAAATCTAGACAGAAGCATTCTCAGAAACCTCTTTGTAATGCTTGCATTCAACTCATAGGTTTCAACATTCCCTATCATAGAGCAGGTTTGAAACACTCTTTTTGTAGTATGTGGAAGTGGACATTTGGAGCGCTTTGAGGCCTACGGTGAATAAAGGAAATATCTTCCCATAAAAACTAGACAGAAGCATTCTCAGAAACTTGTTTGTGACGTGTGTATTCAACTAACAGAGTTGAACCTTTCTTTTTACAGAGCAGCTTTGAAACACGCTTTTTGTGGAATCTGCAATTGGAAATTTCGATAGTTCTGAGGATTTCGTTGGAAACGGGATTACAAATAGAAAGTAGACAGCAGCATTCTCAGAAACTGCTTTCTGATGTTTGCATTCAAGTCACCTAGTTGAACATTCCCTTTCATAGAGCAGGTTTGAATCACTGTTTCTGTCGTATCTGGAAGTGGATATTTCGAGCGTTTTCAGGCCTAAGGTGAGAAAGGAAATGTCTTCAAATAAGAACTAGACAGAAGCATTCTCAGAAACTTATTTGTGATGTGTGTCCTCAACTAACAGAGTTGAACCTTTCTTTTGACACAGCAGTTTGGAAACACTCTTTTTGTAGAATCTACAAGTGGATATTTTGAGAGCATTGAAAATTTCGTTGGAAACGGGAAAACCTTCATATAAAATCTAGACAGAAGCATTCTCAGAAACTTCTTTGTAATGTTTGCATTCAACTCATAGAGTTGAACATTCCCTTTCATACAGCAGGTTTGAAACACTCTTTTTGTAGTATGTGGACGTGGACATTTGGAGCGCTTTGAGGCCTACGGTGAAAAAGGAAATATCTTCCCATAAAAACTAGACAGAAGCATTCTCAGAAACTTGTTTGTGACGTGTGTATTCAACTAACAGAGTTGAACCTTTCTTTTTACAGAGCAGCTTTGAAACCCTGTTTCTGTGGAATCTGCAATTGGAAATTTCGATAGTTCTGAGGATTTCGTTGCAAACGGGATTACAAATAGAAAGTAGACAGCAGCATTCTCAGAAACTGCTTTGTGATGTTTGCATTCAAGTCACATTGTTGAACATTCCCTTTCATAGAGCAGGTTTGAATCACTGTTTCTGTAGTATCTGGAAGTGGGTATTTCGAGCGCTTTCAGGCCTAAGGTGAGAAAGGAAATGTCTTCAAATAAGAACTAGACAGAAGCATTCTCAGAAACTTATTTGTGATGTGTGTCCTCAACTAACAGAGATGAACCTTTGTTTTGATACAGCAGTTTGGAAACACTCTTTTTGTAGAATCTACAAGAGGATATTTTGAGAGCATTGAAAATTTCGTTGGAAGCGGGAAAACCTTCATATAAAATCTAGACAGCAGCATTCTCAGAAACTTCTTTGTGATGTTTGCATTCAACTCATAGAGTTGAACATTCCCATTCATACAGCAGGTTTGAGACACTCTTTGTATAGCATGTGGAAATGGATATTTGGAGCGCTTTGAGGCCTATGGTGAAGAAGGAAATATCTTCCCAAAAAAACTAGACGAAAGCATTCTCGGAATCTTGTTTGCCATGTGTGTACTCAACTAACAGAGTTGAACCTATCTTTTGACAGAGCAGTTTTGAAACACTCTTTTTGTGGAATCTGCAAGTGGATATTTGGATAGCTTCGAGGATTTCGTTGGAAACGGGAATATCCTCATTTAAAATCTAGACGGAAGCATTCTCAGAACCTGCTTTGTGATGTTTGCATTCAACTCACAGAGCTGAACATTCCCGTTCATAGAGCAGGTTTGAAACACTCTTTCTGTACTATCTGGAAGTGGACATTTCGAGCGCTTTCAGGCCTATGGTGAAAAAGGAAACATCTTCAAATAAAAACTAGACAGAAGCATTCTCAGAAACTTATTTGTGATGTGTGTCCTCAACTCACAGAGTTCAACCTTTGTTTTGATACAGCAGTTTGGAAACACTCTTTTTGTAGAATCTACAAATGGATATTTGGAGACCTTTGAAAATTTCATTGGACACGGGAATATCTTCATATAAAATCTAGACAAAAGCATTCTCAGAATCTTCTTTGTGATGTTTGCATTCAACTCATAGAGTTGAACATTCCCTTTCATACAGCACGTTTGAAACACACTTTGTGGAATATGTGGAAATGGACATTTCGAGCACTCTTAGGCCTAAGGTGAAAAGGGAAATATCTTCAAATAAAAACTAGTCAGCAGCATTCTCAGAAACCTCTTTGTGATGTGTGTACTCAACTAACAGAGTTGAACCTTCCTTTTCACAGAGCAGTTTGGAAACACTCTTTTTGTGGCATTTGCAAGTGGATATTTAGATAGCTTTGAGGATTTCGTTGGAAACGGGAATATTTTCATATAAAATCTAGACAGAAGCATTCTCAGAATCTTCTTTGTGATGTATGCCCTCAATTCACAGAGTTGAACCTTTGTTTGGATACAGCATTTTGGAAACATTCCTTTTGTAGAATCTGCAAGTTGATATTTGGATAGCTTTGAGGATTTCGTTGGAAACGGGAATATCTACATATAAAATCTAGACAGAAGCATTCTCAGAAACCTCTTTGTAATGCTTGCATTCAACTCATAGGTTTCAACATTCCCTATCATAGAGCAGGTTTGAAACACTCTTTTTGTAGTATGTGGAAGTGGACATTTGGAGCGCTTTGAGGCCTACGGTGAAAAAGGAAATATCTTCCCATAAAAACTAGACAGAAGCATTCTCAGAAACTTGTTTGTGACGTGTGTATTCAACTAACAGAGTTGAACCTTTCTTTTTACAGAGCAGCTTTGAAACACGCTTTTTGTGGAATCTGCAATTGGAAATTTCGATAGTTCTGAGGATTTCGTTGGAAACGGGATTACAAATAGAAAGTAGACAGCAGCATTCTCAGAAACTGCTTTGTGATGTTTGCATTCAAGTCACCTAGTTGAACATTCCCTTTCATAGAGCAGGTTTGAATCACTGTTTCTGTCGTATCTGGAAGTGGATATTTCGAGCGTTTTCAGGCCTAAGGTGAGAAAGGAAATGTCTTCAAATAAGAACTAGACAGAAGCATTCTCAGAAACTTATTTGTGATGTGTGTCCTCAACTAACAGAGTTGAACCTTTCTTTTGACACAGCAGTTTGGAAACACTCTTTTTGTAGAATCTACAAGTGGATATTTTGAGAGCATTGAAAATTTCGTTGGAAACGGGAAAATCTTCATATAAAATCTAGACAGAAGCATTCTCAGAAACTTCTTTGTAATGTTTGCATTCAACTCATAGAGTTGAACATTCCCTTTCATACAGCAGGTTTGAAACACTCTTTTTGTAGTATGTGGAAGTGGACATTTGGAGCGCTTTGAGGCCTACGGTGAAAAAGGAAATATCTTCCCATAAAAACTAGACAGAAGCATTCTCAGAAACTTGTTTGTGACGTGTGTATTCAACTAACAGAGTTGAACCTTTCTTTTTACAGAGCAGCTTTGAAACACGCTTTTTGTGGAATCTGCAATTGGAAATTTCGATAGTTCTGAGGATTTCGTTGGAAACGGGATTACAAATAGAAAGTAGACAGCAGCATTCTCAGAAACTGCTTTGTGATGTTTGCATTCAAGTCACCTAGTTGAACATTCCCTTTCATAGAGCAGGTTTGAATCACTGTTTCTGTCGCATCTGGAAGTGGATATTTCGAGCCTTTTCAGGCCTAAGGTGAGAAAGGAAATGTCTTCAAATAAGAACTAGACAGAAGCATTCTCAGAAACTTATTTGTGATGTGTGTCCTCAACTAACAGAGTTGAACCTTTCTTTTGACACAGCAGTTTGGAAACACTCTTTTTGTAGAATCTACAAGTGGATATTTTGAGAGCATTGAAAATTTCGTTGGAAACGGGAAAACCTTCATATAAAATCTAGACAGAAGCATTCTCAGAAACTTCTTTGTAATGTTTGCATTCGACTCATAGAGTTGAACATTCCCTTTCATACAGCAGGTTTGAAACACTCTTTTTGTAGTATGTGGAAGTGGACATTTGGAGCGCTTTGAGGCCTACGGTGAAAAAGGAAATATCTTCCCATAAAAACTAGACAGAAGCATTCTCAGAAACTTGTTTGTGACGTGTGTATTCAACTAACAGAGTTGAACCTTTCTTTTTACAGAGCAGCTTTGAAACCCTGTTTCTGTGGAATCTGCAATTGGAAATTTCGATAGTTCTGAGGATTTCGTTGGAAACGGGATTACAAATAGAAAGTAGACAGCAGCATTCTCAGAAACTGCTTTGTGATGTTTGCATTCAAGTCACATAGTTGAACATTCCCTTTCATAGAGCAGGTTTGAATCCCTGTTTCTGTCGTATCTGGAAGTGGGTATTTCGAGCGTTTTCAGGCCTAAGGTGAGAAAGGAAATGTCTTCAAATAAGAACTAGACAGAAGCATTCTCAGAAACTTATTTGTGATGTGTGTCCTCAACTAACAGAGATGAACCTTTGTTTTGATACAGCAGTTTGGAAACACTCTTTTTGTAGAATCTACAAGAGGATATTTTGAGAGCATTGAAAATTTCGTTGGAAGCGGGAAAACCTTCATATAAAATCTAGACAGCAGCATTCTCAGAAACTTCTTTGTGATGTTTGCATTCAACTCATAGAGTTGAACATTCCCATTCATACAGCAGGTTTGAGACACTCTTTGTATAGCATGTGGAAATGGATATTTGGAGCGCTTTGAGGCCTATGGTGAAGAAGGAAATATCTTCCCAAAAAAACTAGACGAAAGCATTCTCGCAATCTTGTTTGCCATGTGTGTACTCAACTAACGGAGTTGAACCTATCTTTTGACAGAGCAGTTTTGAAACACTCTTTTTGTGGAATCTGCAAGTGGATATTTGGATAGCTTCGAGGATTTCGTTGGAAACGGGAATATCCTCATTTAAAATGCTAGACGGAAGCATTCTCAGAACCTGCTTTGTGATGTTTGCATTCAACTCACAGTAGCTGAACATTCCCGTTCATAGAGCAGGTTTGAAACACTCTTTCTGTACTATCTGGAAGTGGACATTTCGAGCGCTTTCAGGCCTATGGTGAAAAAGGAAACATCTTCAAATAAAAACTAGACAGAAGCATTCTCAGAAACTTATTTGTGATGTGTGTCCTCAACTCACAGAGTTCAACCTTTGTTTTGATACAGCAGTTTGGAAACACTCTTTTTGTAGAATCTACAAATGGATATTTGGAGACCTTTGAAAATTTCGTTGGACACGGGAATATCTTCATATAAAATCTAGACAAAAGCATTCTCAGAATCTTCTTTGTGATGTTTGCATTCAACTCATAGAGTTGAACATTCCCTTTCATACAGCACGTTTGAAACACACTTTGTGGAGTATGTGGAAATGGACATTTCGAGCACTCTTAGGCCTAAGGTGAAAAGGGAAATATCTTCAAATAAAAACTAGTCAGCAGCATTCTCAGAAACCTCTTTGTGATGTGTGTACTCAACTAACAGAGTTGAACCTTCCTTTTCACAGAGCAGTTTGGAAACACTCTTTTTGTGGCATTTGCAAGTGGATATTTGGATAGCTTTGAGGATTTCGTTGGAAACGGGAATATTTTCATATAAAATCTAGACAGAAGCATTCTCAGAATCTTCTTTGTGATGTATGCCCTCAATTCACAGAGTTGAACCTTTGTTTGGATACAGCATTTTGGAAACATTCCTTTTGTAGAATCTGCAAGTTGATATTTGGATAGCTTTGAGGATTTCGTTGGAAACGGGAATATCTATCTACATATAAAATCTAGACAGAAGCATTCTCAGAAACTTCTTTGTAATGCTTGCATTCAACTCATAGGTTTCAACATTCCCTATCATAGAGCAGGTTTGAAACACTCTTTTTGTAGTATGTGGAAGTGGACATTTGGAGCGCTTTGAGGCCTACGGTGAAAAAGGAAATATCTTCCCATAAAAACTAGACAGAAGCATTCTCAGAAACTTGTTTGTGACGTGTGTATTCAACTAACAGAGTTGAACCTTTCTTTTTACAGAGCAGCTTTGAAACACGCTTTTTGTGGAATCTGCAATTGGAAATTTCGATAGTTCTGAGGATTTCGTTGGAAACGGGATTACAAATAGAAAGTAGACAGCAGCATTCTCAGAAACTGCTTTGTGATGTTTGCATTCAAGTCACCTAGTTGAACATTCCCTTTCATAGAGCAGGTTTGAATCACTGTTTCTGTCGTATCTGGAAGTGGATATTTCGAGCGTTTTCAGGCCTAAGGTGAGAAAGGAAATGTCTTCAAATAAGAACTAGACAGAAGCATTCTCAGAAACTTATTTGTGATGTGTGTCCTCAACTAACAGAGTTGAACCTTTCTTTTGACACAGCAGTTTGGAAACACTCTTTTTGTAGAATCTACAAGTGGATATTTTGAGAGCATTGAAAATTTCGTTGGAAACGGGAAAACCTTCATATAAAATCTAGACAGAAGCATTCTCAGAAACTTCTTTGTAATGTTTGCATTCGACTCATAGAGTTGAACATTCCCTTTCATACAGCAGGTTTGAAACACTCTTTTTGTAGTATGTGGAAGTGGACATTTGGAGCGCTTTGAGGCCTACGGTGAAAAAGGAAATATCTTCCCATAAAAACTAGACAGAAGCATTCTCAGAAACTTGTTTGTGACGTGTGTATTCAACTAACAGAGTTGAACCTTTCTTTTTACAGAGCAGCTTTGAAACCCTGTTTCTGTGGAATCTGCAATTGGAAATTTCGATAGTTCTGAGGATTTCGTTGGAAACGGGATTACAAATAGAAAGTAGACAGCAGCATTCTCAGAAACTGCTTTGTGATGTTTGCATTCAAGTCACATAGTTGAACATTCCCTTTCATAGAGCAGGTTTGAATCACTGTTTCTGTCGTATCTGGAAGTGGGTATTTCGAGCGCTTTCAGGCCTAAGGTGAGAAAGGAAATGTCTTCAAATAAGAACTAGACAGAAGCATTCTCAGAAACTTATTTGTGATGTGTGTCCTCAACTAACAGAGATGAACCTTTGTTTTGATACAGCAGTTTGGAAACACTCTTTTTGTAGAATCTACAAGAGGATATTTTGAGAGCATTGAAAATTTCGTTGGAAGCGGGAAAACCTTCATATAAAATCTAGACAGCAGCATTCTCAGAAACTTCTTTGTGATGTTTGCATTCAACTCATAGAGTTGAACATTCCCATTCATACAGCAGGTTTGAGACACTCTTTGTATAGCATGTGGAAATGGATATTTGGAGCGCTTTGAGGCCTATGGTGAAGAAGGAAATATCTTCCCAAAAAAACTAGACGAAAGCATTCTCGGAATCTTGTTTGCCATGTGTGTACTCAACTAACAGAGTTGAACCTATCTTTTGACAGAGCAGTTTTGAAACACTCTTTTTGTGGAATCTGCAAGTGGATATTTGGATAGCTTCGAGGATTTCGTTGGAAACGGGAATATCCTCATTTAAAATCTAGACGGAAGCATTCTCAGAACCTGCTGTGTGATGTTTGCATTCAACTCACAGAGCTGAACATTCCCGTTCATAGAGCAGGTTTGAAACACTCTTTCTGTACTATCTGGAAGTGGACATTTCGAGCGCTTTCAGGCCTATGGTGAAAAAGGAAACATCTTCAAATAAAAACTAGACAGAAGCATTCTCAGAAACTTATTTGTGATGTGTGTCCTCAACTCACAGAGTTCAACCTTTGTTTTGATACAGCAGTTTGGAAACACTCTTTTTGTAGAATCTACAAATGGATATTTGGAGACCTTTGAAAATTTCGTTGGACACGGGAATATCTTCATATAAAATCTAGACAAAAGCATTCTCAGAATCTTCTTTGTGATGTTTGCATTCAACTCATAGAGTTGAACATTCCCTTTCATACAGCACGTTTGAAACACACTTTGTGGAGTATGTGGAAATGGACATTTCGAGCACTCTTAGGCCTAAGGTGAAAAGGGAAATATCTTCAAATAAAAACTAGTCAGCAGCATTCTCAGAAACCTCTTTGTGATGTGTGTACTCAACTAACAGAGTTGAACCTTCCTTTTCACAGAGCAGTTTGGAAACACTCTTTTTGTGGCATTTGCAAGTGGATATTTGGATAGCTTTGAGGATTTCGTTGGAAACGGGAATATTTTCATATAAAATCTAGACAGAAGCATTCTCAGAATCTTCTTTGTGATGTATTCCCTCAATTCACAGAGTTGAACCTTTGTTTGGATACAGCATTTTGGAAACATTCCTTTTGTAGAATCTGCAAGTTGATATTTGGATAGCTTTGAGGATTTCGTTGGAAACGGGAATATCTACATATAAAATCTAGACAGAAGCATTCTCAGAAACCTCTTTGTAATGCTTGCATTCAACTCATAGGTTTCAACATTCCCTATCATAGAGCAGGTTTGAAACACTCTTTTTGTAGTATGTGGAAGTGGACATTTGGAGCGCTTTGAGGCCTACGGTGAAAAAGGAAATATCTTCCCATAAAAACTAGACAGAAGCATTCTCAGAAACTTGTTTGTGACGTGTGTATTCAACTAACAGAGTTGAACCTTTCTTTTTACAGAGCAGCTTTGAAACACGCTTTTTGTGGAATCTGCAATTGGAAATTTCGATAGTTCTGAGGATTTCGTTGGAAACGGGATTACAAATAGAAAGTAGACAGCAGCATTCTCAGAAACTGCTTTGTGATGTTTGCATTCAAGTCACCTAGTTGAACATTCCCTTTCATAGAGCAGGTTTGAATCACTGTTTCTGTCGTATCTGGAAGTGGATATTTCGAGCGTTTTCAGGCCTAAGGTGAGAAAGGAAATGTCTTCAAATAAGAACTAGACAGAAGCATTCTCAGAAACTTATTTGTGATGTGTGTCCTCAACTAACAGAGTTGAACCTTTCTTTTGACACAGCAGTTTGGAAACACTCTTTTTGTAGAATCTACAAGTGGATATTTTGAGAGCATTGAAAATTTCGTTGGAAACGGGAAAACCTTCATATAAAATCTAGACAGAAGCATTCTCAGAAACTTCTTTGTAATGTTTGCATTCAACTCATAGAGTTGAACATTCCCTTTCATACAGCAGGTTTGAAACACTCTTTTTGTAGTATGTGGACGTGGACATTTGGAGCGCTTTGAGGCCTACGGTGAAAAAGGAAATATCTTCCCATAAAAACTAGACAGAAGCATTCTCAGAAACTTGTTTGTGACGTGTGTATTCAACTAACAGAGTTGAACCTTTCTTTTTACAGAGCAGCTTTGAAACCCTGTTTCTGTGGAATCTGCAATTGGAAATTTCGATAGTTCTGAGGATTTCGTTGGAAACGGGATTACAAATAGAAAGTAGACAGCACAGCATTCTCAGAAACTGCTTTGTGATGTTTGCATTCAAGTCACCTAGTTGAACATTCCCTTTCATAGAGCAGGTTTGAATCACTGTTTCTGTCGTATCTGGAAGTGGATATTTCGAGCGTTTTCAGGCCTAAGGTGAGAAAGGAAATGTCTTCAAATAAGAACTAGACAGAGCATTCTCAGAAACTTATTTGTGATGTGTGTCCTCAACTAACAGAGATGAACCTTTGTTTTGATACAGCAGTTTGGAAACACTCTTTTTGTAGAATCTACAAGAGGATATTTTGAGAGCATTGAAAATTTCGTTGGAAGCGGGAAAACCTTCATATAAAATCTAGACAGCAGCATTCTCAGAAACTTCTTTGTGATGTTTGCATTCAACTCATAGAGTTGAACATTCCCATTCATACAGCAGGTTTGAGACACTCTTTGTATAGCATGTGGAAATGGATATTTGGAGCGCTTTGAGGCCTATGGTGAAGAAGGAAATATCTTCCCAAAAAAACTAGACGAAAGCATTCTCGCAATCTTGTTTGCCATGTGTGTACTCAACTAACGGAGTTGAACCTATCTTTTGACAGAGCAGTTTTGAAACACTCTTTTTGTGGAATCTGCAAGTGGATATTTGGATAGCTTCGAGGATTTCGTTGGAAACGGGAATATCCTCATTTAAAATCTAGACGGAAGCATTCTCAGAACCTGCTTTGTGATGTTTGCATTCAACTCACAGAGCTGAACATTCCCGTTCATAGAGCAGGTTTGAAACACTCTTTCTGTACTATCTGGAAGTGGACATTTCGAGCGCTTTCAGGCCTATGGTGGAAATGGAAACATCTTCAAATAAAAACTAGACAGAAGCATTCTCAGAAACTTATTTGTGATGTGTGTCCTCAACTCACAGAGTTCAACCTTTGTTTTGATACAGCAGTTTGGAAACACTCTTTTTGTAGAATCTACAAATGGATATTTGGAGACCTTTGAAAATTTCGTTGGACACGGGAATATCTTCATATAAAATCTAGACAAAAGCATTCTCAGAATCTTCTTTGTGATGTTTGCATTCAACTCATAGAGTTGAACATTCCCTTTCATACAGCACGTTTGAAACACACTTTGTGGAGTATGTGGAAATGGACATTTCGAGCACTCTTAGGCCTAAGGTGAAAAGGGAAATATCTTCAAATAAAAACTAGTCAGCAGCATTCTCAGAAACCTCTTTGTGATGTGTGTACTCAACTAACAGAGTTGAACCTTCCTTTTCACAGAGCAGTTTGGAAACACTCTTTTTGTGGCATTTGCAAGTGGATATTTGGATAGCTTTGAGGATTTCGTTGGAAACGGGAATATTTTCATATAAAATCTAGACAGAAGCATTCTCAGAATCTTCTTTGTGATGTATGCCCTCAATTCACAGAGTTGAACCTTTGTTTGGATACAGCATTTTGGAAACATTCCTTTTGTAGAATCTGCAAGTTGATATTTGGATAGCTTTGAGGATTTCGTTGGAAACGGGAATATCTACATATAAAATCTAGACAGAAGCATTCTCAGAAACCTCTTTGTAATGCTTGCATTCAACTCATAGGTTTCAACATTCCCTATCATAGAGCAGGTTTGAAACACTCTTTTTGTAGTATGTGGAAGTGGACATTTGGAGCGCTTTGAGGCCTACGGTGAAAAAGGAAATATCTTCCCATAAAAACTAGACAGAAGCATTCTCAGAAACTTGTTTGTGACGTGTCTATTCAACTAACAGAGTTGAACCTTTCTTTTTACAGAGCAGCTTTGAAACACGCTTTTTGTGGAATCTGCAATTGGAAATTTCGATAGTTCTGAGGATTTCGTTGGAAACGGGATTACAAATAGAAAGTAGACAGCAGCATTCTCAGAAACTGCTTTGTGATGTTTGCATTCAAGTCACCTAGTTGAACATTCCCTTTCATAGAGCAGGTTTGAATCACTGTTTCTGTCGTATCTGGAAGTGGATATTTCGAGCGTTTTCAGGCCTAAGGTGAGAAAGGAAATGTCTTCAAATAAGAACTAGACAGAAGCATTCTCAGAAACTTATTTGTGATGTGTGTCCTCAACTAACAGAGTTGAACCTTTCTTTTGACACAGCAGTTTGGAAACACTCTTTTTGTAGAATCTACAAGTGGATATTTTGAGAGCATTGAAAATTTCGTTGGAAACGGGAAA
Organism: Homo sapiens; assembly: GCF_000001405.40. Classification (NCBI taxonomy): domain Eukaryota; kingdom Metazoa; phylum Chordata; class Mammalia; order Primates; family Hominidae; genus Homo; species Homo sapiens. The sequence goes on from NC_000015.10 coordinate 18,636,650, forward strand.
ACCTTCATATAAAATCTAGACAGAAGCATTCTCAGAAACTTCTTTGTAATGTTTGCATTCAACTCATAGAGTTGAACATTCCCTTTCATACAGCAGGTTTGAAACACTCTTTTTGTAGTATGTGGAAGTGGACATTTGGAGCGCTTTGAGGCCTACGGTGAAAAAGGAAATATCTTCCCATAAAAACTAGACAGAAGCATTCTCTGAAACTTGTTTGTGACGTGTGTATTCAACTAACAGAGTTGAACCTTTCTTTTTACAGAGCAGCTTTGAAACCCTGTTTCTGTGGAATCTGCAATTGGAAATTTCGATAGTTCTGAGGATTTCGTTGGAAACGGGATTACAAATAGAAAGTAGACAGCAGCATTCTCAGAAACTGCTTTGTGATGTTTGCATTCAAGTCACCTAGTTGAACATTCCCTTTCATAGAGCAGGTTTGAATCACTGTTTCTCTCGTATCTGGAAGTGGATATTTCGAGCGCTTTCAGGCCTAAGGTGAGAAAGGAAATGTCTTCAAATAAGAACTAGACAGAAGCATTCTCAGAAACTTATTTGTGATGTGTGTCCTCAACTATCAGAGATGAACCTTTGTTTTGATACAGCAGTTTGGAAACACTCTTTTTGTAGAATCTACAAGAGGATATTTTGAGAGCATTGAAAATTTCGTTGGAAGCGGGAAAACCTTCATATAAAATCTAGACAGCAGCATTCTCAGAAACTTCTTTGTGATGTTTGCATTCAACTCATAGAGTTGAACATTCCCATTCATACAGCAGGTTTGAGACACTCTTTGTATAGCATGTGGAAATGGATATTTGGAGCGCTTTGAGGCCTATGGTGAAGAAGGAAATATCTTCCCAAAAAAACTAGACGAAAGCATTCTCGGAATCTTGTTTGCCATGTGTGTACTCAACTAACAGAGTTGAACCTATCTTTTGACAGAGCAGTTTTGAAACACTCTTTTTGTGGAATCTGCAAGTGGATATTTGGATAGCTTCGAGGATTTCGTTGGAAACGGGAATATCCTCATTTAAAATCTAGACGGAAGCATTCTCGGAACCTGCTTTGTGATGTTTGCATTCAACTCACAGAGCTGAACATTCCCGTTCATAGAGCAGGTTTGAAACACTCTTTCTGTACTATCTGGAAGTGGACATTTCGAGCGCTTTCAGGCCTATGGTGAAAAAGGATACATCTTCAAATAAAAACTAGACAGAAGCATTCTCAGAAACTTATTTGTGATGTGTGTCCTCAACTCACAGAGTTCAACCTTTGTTTTGATACAGCAGTTTGGAAACACTCTTTTTGTAGAATCTACAAATGGATATTTGGAGACCTTTGAAAATTTCGTTGGACACGGGAATATCTTCATATAAAATCTAGACAAAAGCATTCTCAGAATCTTCTTTGTGATGTTTGCATTCAACTCATAGAGTTGAACATTCCCTTTCATACAGCACGTTTGAAACACACTTTGTGGAGTATGTGGAAATGGACATTTCGAGCACTCTTAGGCCTAAGGTGAAAAGGGAAATATCTTCAAATAAAAACTAGTCAGCAGCATTCTCAGAAACCTCTTTGTGATGTGTGTACTCAACTAACAGAGTTGAACCTTCCTTTTCACAGAGCAGTTTGGAAACACTCTTTTTGTGGCATTTGCAAGTGGATATTTGGATAGCTTTGAGGATTTCGTTGGAAACGGGAATATTTTCATATAAAATCTAGACAGAAGCATTCTCAGAATCTTCTTTGTGATGTATGCCCTCAATTCACAGAGTTGAACCTTTGTTTGGATACAGCATTTTGGAAACATTCCTTTTGTAGAATCTGCAAGTTGATATTTGGATAGCTTTGAGGATTTCGTTGGAAACGGGAATATCTACATATAAAATCTAGACAGAAGCATTCTCAGAAACCTCTTTGTAATGCTTGCATTCAACTCATAGGTTTCAACATTCCCTATCATAGAGCAGGTTTGAAACACTCTTTTTGTAGTATGTGGAAGTGGACATTTGGAGCGCTTTGAGGCCTACGGTGAAAAAGGAAATATCTTCCCATAAAAACTAGACAGAAGCATTCTCAGAAACTTGTTTGTGACGTGTGTATTCAACTAACAGAGTTGAACCTTTCTTTTTACAGAGCAGCTTTGAAACACGCTTTTTGTGGAATCTGCAATTGGAAATTTCGATAGTTCTGAGGATTTCGTTGCAAACGGGATTACAAATAGAAAGTAGACAGCAGCATTCTCAGAAACTGCTTTGTGATGTTTGCATTCAAGTCACCTAGTTGAACATTCCCTTTCATAGAGCAGGTTTGAATCACAGTTTCTGTCGTATCTGGAAGTGGATATTTCGAGCGTTTTCAGGCCTAAGGTGAGAAAGGAAATGTCTTCAAATAAGAACTAGACAGAAGCATTCTCAGAAACTTATTTGTGATGTGTGTCCTCAACTAACAGAGATGAACCTTTGTTTTGATACAGCAGTTTGGAAACACTCTTTTTGTAGAATCTACAAGAGGATATTTTGAGAGCATTGAAAATTTCGTTGGAAGCGGGAAAACCTTCATATAAAATCTAGACAGCAGCATTCTCAGAAACTTCTTTGTGATGTTTGCATTCAACTCATAGAGTTGAACATTCCCATTCATACAGCAGGTTTGAGACACTCTTTGTATAGCATGTGGAAATGGATATTTGGAGCGCTTTGAGGCCTATGGTGAAGAAGGAAATATCTTCCCAAAAAAACTAGACGAAAGCATTCTCGGAATCTTGTTTGCCATGTGTGTACTCAACTAACAGAGTTGAACCTATCTTTTGACAGAGCAGTTTTGAAACACTCTTTTTGTGGAATCTGCAAGTGGATATTTGGATAGCTTCGAGGATTTCGTTGGAAACGGGAATATCCTCATTTAAAATCTAGACGGAAGCATTCTCAGAACCTGCTTTGTGATGTTTGCATTCAACTCACAGAGCTGAACATTCCCGTTCATAGAGCAGGTTTGAAACACTCTTTCTGTACTATCTGGAAGTGGACATTTCGAGCGCTTTCAGGCCTATTGTGAAAAAGGAAACATCTTCAAATAAAAACTAGACAGAAGCATTCTCAGAAACTTATTTGTGATGTGTGTCCTCAACTCACAGAGTTCAACCTTTGTTTTGATACAGCAGTTTGGAAACACTCTTTTTGTAGAATCTACAAATGGATATTTGGAGACCTTTGAAAATTTCGTTGGACACGGGAATATCTTCATATAAAATCTAGACAAAAGCATTCTCAGAATCTTCTTTGTGATGTTTGCATTCAACTCATAGAGTTGAACATTACCTTTCATACAGCACGTTTGAAACACACTTTGTGGAGTATGTGGAAATGGACATTTCGAGCACTCTTAGGCCTAAGGTGAAAAGTGAAATATCTTCAAATAAAAACTAGTCAGCAGCATTCTCAGAAACCTCTTTGTGATGTGTGTACTCAACTAACAGAGTTGAACCTTCCTTTTCACAGAGCAGTTTGGAAACACTCTTTTTGTGGCATTTGCAAGTGGATATTTGGATAGCTTTGAGGATTTCGTTGGAAACGGGAATATTTTCATATAAAATCTAGACAGAAGCATTCTCAGACTCTTCTTTGTGATGTATGCCCTCAATTCACAGAGTTGAACCTTTGTTTGGATACAGCATTTTGGAAACATTCCTTTTGTAGAATCTGCAAGTTGATATTTGGATAGCTTTGAGGATTTCGTTGGAAACGGGAATATCTACATATAAAATCTAGACAGAAGCATTCTCAGAAACCTCTTTGTAATGTTTGCATTCAACTCATAGGTTTCAACATTCCCTATCATAGAGCAGGTTTGAAACACTCTTTTTGTAGTATGTGGAAGTGGACATTTGGAGCGCTTTGAGGCCTACGGTGAAAAAGGAAATATCTTCCCATAAAAACTAGACAGAAGCATTCTCAGAAACTTGTTTGTGACGTGTGTATTCAACTAACAGAGTTGAACCTTTCTTTTTACAGAGCAGCTTTGAAACACGCTTTTTGTGGAATCTGCAATTGGAAATTTCGATAGTTCTGAGGATTTCGTTGGAAACGGGATTACAAATAGAAAGTAGACAGCAGCATTCTCAGAAACTGCTTTGTGATGTTTGCATTCAAGTCACCTAGTTGAACATTCCCTTTCATAGAGCAGGTTTGAATCACTGTTTCTGTCGTATCTGGAAGTGGATATTTCGAGCGTTTTCAGGCCTAAGGTGAGAAAGGAAATGTCTTCAAATCAGAACTAGACAGAAGCATTCTCAGAAACTTATTTGTGATGTGTGTCCTCAACTAACAGAGATGAACCTTTGTTTTGATACAGCAGTTTGGAAACACTCTTTTTGTAGAATCTACAAGAGGATATTTTGAGAGCATTGAAAATTTCGTTGGAAGCGGGAAAACCTTCATATAAAATCTAGACAGCAGCATTGTCAGAAACTTCTTTGTGATGTTTGCATTCAACTCATAGAGTTGAACATTCCCATTCATACAGCAGGTTTGAGACACTCTTTGTATAGCATGTGGAAATGGATATTTGGAGCGCTTTGAGGCCTATGGTGAAGAAGGAAATATCTTCCCAAAAAAACTAGACGAAAGCATTCTCGGAATCTTGTTTGCCATGTGTGTACTCAACTAACAGAGTTGAACCTATCTTTTGACAGAGCAGTTTTGAAACACTCTTTTTGTGGAATCTGCAAGTGGATATTTGGATAGCTTCGAGGATTTCGTTGGAAACGGGAATATCCTCATTTAAAATCTAGACGGAAGCATTCTCAGAACCTGCTTTGTGATGTTTGCATTCAACTCACAGAGCTGAACATTCCCGTTCATAGAGCAGGTTTGAAACACTCTTTCTGTACTATCTGGAAGTGGACATTTCGAGCGCTTTCAGGCCTATGGTGAAAAAGGAAACATCTTCAAATAAAAACTAGACAGAAGCATTCTCAGAAACTTATTTGTGATGTGTGTCCTCAACTCACAGAGTTCAACCTTTGTTTTGATACAGCAGTTTGGAAACACTCTTTTTGTAGAATCTACAAATGGATATTTGGAGACCTTTGAAAATTTCGTTGGACACGGGAATATCTTCATATAAAATCTAGACAAAAGCATTCTCAGAATCTTCTTTGTGATGTTTGCATTCAACTCATAGAGTTGAACATTCCCTTTCATACAGCACGTTTGAAACACACTTTGTGGAGTATGTGGAAATGGACATTTCGAGCACTCTTAGGCCTAAGGTGAAAAGGGAAATATCTTCAAATAAAAACTAGTCAGCAGCATTCTCAGAAACCTCTTTGTGATGTGTGTACTCAACTAACAGAGTTGAACCTTCCTTTTCACAGAGCAGTTTGGAAACACTCTTTGTGTGGCATTTGCAAGTGGATATTTGGATAGCTTTGAGGATTTCTTTGGAAACGGGAATATTTTCATATAAAATCTAGACAGAAAGCATTCTCAGAATCTTCTTTGTGATGTATGCCCTCAATTCACAGAGTTGAACCTTTGTTTGGATACAGCATTTTGGAAACATTCCTTTTGCAGAATCTGCAAGCTGATATTTGGATAGCTTTGAGGATTTCGTTGGAAACGGGAATATCTACATATAAAATCTAGACAGAAGCATTCTCAGAAACCTCTTTGTAATGCTTGCATTCAACTCATAGGTTTCAACATTCCCTATCATAGAGCAGGTTTGAAACACTCTTTTTGTAGTATGTGGAAGTGGACATTTGGAGCGCTTTGAGGCCTACCGTGAAAAAGGAAATATCTTCCCATAAAAACTAGACAGAAGCATTCTCAGAAACTTGTTTGTGACGTGTGTATTCAACTAACAGAGTTGAACCTTTCTTTTTACAGAGCAGCTTTGAAACACGCTTTTTGTGGAATCTGCAATTGGAAATTTCGATAGTTCTGAGGATTTCGTTGGAAACGGGATTACAAATAGAAAGTAGACAGCAGCATTCTCAGAAACTGCTTTGTGATGTTTGCATTCAAGTCACCTAGTTGAACATTCCCTTTCATAGAGCAGGTTTGAATCACTGTTTCTGTCGTATCTGGAAGTGGATATTTCGAGCGTTTTCAGGCCTAAGGTGAGAAAGGAAATGTCTTCAAATAAGAACTAGACAGAAGCATTCTCAGAAACTTATTTGTGATGTGTGTCCTCAACTAACAGAGTTGAACCTTTCTTTTGACACAGCAGTTTGGAAACACTCTTTTTGTAGAATCTACAAGTGGATATTTTGAGAGCATTGAAAATTTCGTTGGAAACGGGAAAACCTTCATATAAAATCTAGACAGAAGCATTCTCAGAAACTTCTTTGTAATGTTTGCATTCAACTCATAGAGTTGAACATTCCCTTTCATACAGCAGGTTTGAAACACTCTTTTTGTAGTATGTGGAAGTGGACATTTGGAGCGCTTTGAGGCCTACGGTGAAAAAGGAAATATCTTCCCATAAAAACTAGACAGAAGCATTCTCAGAAACTTGTTTGTGACGTGTGTATTCAACTAACAGAGTTGAACCTTTCTTTTTACAGAGCAGCTTTGAAACCCTGTTTCTGTGGAATCTGCAATTGGAAATTTCGATAGTTCTGAGGATTTCGTTGCAAACGGGATTACAAATAGAAAGTAGACAGCAGCATTCTCAGAAACTGCTTTGTGATGTTTGCATTCAAGTCACATAGTTGAACATTCCCTTTCATAGAGCAGGTTTGAATCACTGTTTCTGTAGTATCTGGAAGTGGGTATTTCGAGCGCTTTCAGGCCTAAGGTGAGAAAGGAAATGTCTTCAAATAAGAACTAGACAGAAGCATTCTCAGAAACTTATTTGTGATGTGTGTCCTCAACTAACAGAGATGAACCTTTGTTTTGATACAGCAGTTTGGAAACACTCTTTTTGTAGAATCTACAAGAGGATATTTTGAGAGCATTGAAAATTTCGTTGGAAGCGGGAAAACCTTCATATAAAATCTAGACAGCAGCATTCTCAGAAACTTCTTTGTGATGTTTGCATTCAACTCATAGAGTTGAACATTCCCATTCATACAGCAGGTTTGAGACACTCTTTGTATAGCATGTGGAAATGGATATTTGGAGCGCTTTGAGGCCTATGGTGAAGAAGGAAATATCTTCCCAAAAAAACTAGACGAAAGCATTCTCGCAATCTTGTTTGCCATGTGTGTACTCAACTAACAGAGTTGAACCTATCTTTTGACAGAGCAGTTTTGAAACACTCTTTTTGTGGAATCTGCAAGTGGATATTTGGATAGCTTCGAGGATTTCGTTGGAAACGGGAATATCCTCATTTAAAATCTAGACGGAAGCATTCTCAGAACCTGCTTTGTGATGTTTGCATTCAACTCACAGAGCTGAACATTCCCGTTCATAGAGCAGGTTTGAAACACTCTTTCTGTACTATCTGGAAGTGGACATTTCGAGCGCTTTCAGGCCTATGGTGAAAAAGGAAACATCTTCAAATAAAAACTAGACAGAAGCATTCTCAGAAACTTATTTGTGATGTGTGTCCTCAACTCACAGAGTTCAACCTTTGTTTTGATACAGCAGTTTGGAAACACTCTTTTTGTAGAATCTACAAATGGATATTTGGAGACCTTTGAAAATTTCGTTGGACACGGGAATATCTTCATATAAAATCTAGACAAAAGCATTCTCAGAATCTTCTTTGTGATGTTTGCATTCAACTCATAGAGTTGAACATTCCCTTTCATACAGCACGTTTGAAACACACTTTGTGGAGTATGTGGAAATGGACATTTCGAGCACTCTTAGGCCTAAGGTGAAAAGGGAAATATCTTCAAATAAAAACTAGTCAGCAGCATTCTCAGAAACCTCTTTGTGATGTGTGTACTCAACTAACAGAGTTGAACCTTCCTTTTCACAGAGCAGTTTGGAAACACTCTTTTTGTGGCATTTGCAAGTGGATATTTGGATAGCTTTGAGGATTTCGTTGGAAACGGGAATATTTTCATATAAAATCTAGACAGAAGCATTCTCAGAATCTTCTTTGTGATGTATGCCCTCAATTCACAGAGTTGAACCTTTGTTTGGATACAGCATTTTGGAAACATTCCTTTTGCAGAATCTGCAAGCTGATATTTGGATAGCTTTGAGGATTTCGTTGGAAACGGGAATATCTACATATAAAATCTAGACAGAAGCATTCTCAGAAACCTCTTTGTAATGCTTGCATTCAACTCATAGGTTTCAACATTCCCTATCATAGAGCAGGTTTGAAACACTCTTTTTGTAGTATGTGGAAGTGGACATTTGGAGCGCTTTGAGGCCTACGGTGAAAAAGGAAATATCTTCCCATAAAAACTAGACAGAAGCATTCTCAGAAACTTGTTTGTGACGTGTGTATTCAACTAACAGAGTTGAACCTTTCTTTTTACAGAGCAGCTTTGAAACACGCTTTTTGTGGAATCTGCAATTGGAAATTTCGATAGTTCTGAGGATTTCGTTGGAAACGGGATTACAAATAGAAAGTAGACAGCAGCATTCTCAGAAACTGCTTTCTGATGTTTGCATTCAAGTCACCTAGTTGAACATTCCCTTTCATAGAGCAGGTTTGAATCACTGTTTCTGTCGTATCTGGAAGTGGATATTTCGAGCGTTTTCAGGCCTAAGGTGAGAAAGGAAATGTCTTCAAATAAGAACTAGACAGAAGCATTCTCAGAAACTTATTTGTGATGTGTGTCCTCAACTCACAGAGTTCAACCTTTGTTTTGATACAGCAGTTTGGAAACACTCTTTTTGTAGAATCTACAAATGGATATATGGAGACCTTTGAAAATTTCGTTGGACACGGGAATATCTTCATATAAAATCTAGACAAAAGCATTCTCAGAGTCTTCTTTGTGATGTTTGCATTCAACTCATAGAGTTGAACATTCCCTTTCATACAGCACGTTTGAAACACACTTTGTGGAGTATGTGGAAATGGACATTTCGAGCACTCTTAGGCCTAAGGTGAAAAGGGAAATATCTTCAAATAAAAACTAGTCAGCAGCATTCTCAGAAACCTCTTTGTGATGTGTGTACTCAACTAACAGAGTTGAACCTTCCTTTTCACAGAGCAGTTTGGAAACACTCTTTTTGTGGCATTTGCAAGTGGATATTTGGATAGCTTTGAGGATTTCGTTGGAAACGGGAATATTTTCATATAAAATCTAGACAGAAGCATTCTCAGAATCTTCTTTGTGATGTATGCCCTCAATTCACAGAGTTGAACCTTTGTTTGGATACAGCATTTTGGAAACATTCCTTTTGTAGAATCTGCAAGTTGATATTTGGATAGCTTTGAGGATTTCGTTGGAAACGGGAATATCTACATATAAAATCTAGACAGAAGCATTCTCAGAAACCTCTTTGTAATGCTTGCATTCAACTCATAGGTTTCAACATTCCCTATCATAGAGCAGGTTTGAAACACTCTTTTTGTAGTATGTGGAAGTGGACATTTGGAGCGCTTTGAGGCCTACCGTGAAAAAGGAAATATCTTCCCATAAAAACTAGACAGAAGCATTCTCAGAAACTTGTTTGTGACGTGTGTATTCAACTAACAGAGATGAACCTTTCTTTTTACAGAGCAGCTTTGAAACACGCTTTTTGTGGAATCTGCAATTGGAAATTTCGATAGTTCTGAGGATTTCGTTGGTAACGGGATTACAAATAGAAAGTAGACAGCAGCATTCTCAGAAACTGCTTTGTGATGTTTGCATTCAAGTCACCTAGTTGAACATTCCCTTTCATAGAGCAGGTTTGAATCACTGTTTCTGTCGTATCTGGAAGTGGATATTTCGAGCGTTTTCAGGCCTAAGGTGAGAAAGGAAATGTCTTCAAATAAGAACTAGACAGAAGCATTCTCAGAAACTTATTTGTGATGTGTGTCCTCAACTAACAGAGTTGAACCTTTCTTTTGACACAGCAGTTTGGAAACACTCTTTTTGTAGAATCTACAAGTGGATATTTTGAGAGCATTGAAAATTTCGTTGGAAACGGGAAAACCTTCATATAAAATCTAGACAGAAGCATTCTCAGAAACTTGCTTTGTAATGTTTGCATTCAACTCATAGAGTTGAACATTCCCTTTCATACAGCAGGTTTGAAACACTCTTTTTATAGTATGTGGAAGTGGACATTTGGAGCGCTTTGAGGCCTACGGTGAAAAAGGAAATATCTTCCCATAAAAACTAGACAGAAGCATTCTCAGAAACTTGTTTGTGACGTGTGTATTCAACTAACAGAGTTGAACCTTTCTTTTTACAGAGCAGCTTTGAAACCCTGTTTCTGTGGAATCTGCAATTGGAAATTTCGATAGTTCTGAGGATTTCGTTGGAAACGGGATTACAAATAGAAAGTAGACAGCAGCATTCTCAGAAACTGCTTTGTGATGTTTGCATTCAAGTCACATAGTTGAACATTCCCTTTCATAGAGCAGGTTTGAATCACTGTTTCTGTAGTATCTGGAAGTGGGTATTTCGAGCGCTTTCAGGCCTAAGGTGAGAAAGGAAATGTCTTCAAATAAGAACTAGACAGAAGCATTCTCAGAAACTTATTTGTGATGTGTGTCCTCAACTAACAGAGATGAACCTTTGTTTTGATACAGCAGTTTGGAAACACTCTTTTTGTAGAATCTACAAGAGGATATTTTGAGAGCATTGAAAATTTCGTTGGAAGCGGGAAAACCTTCATATAAAATCTAGACAGCAGCATTCTCAGAAACTTCTTTGTGATGTTTGCATTCAACTCATAGAGTTGAACATTCCCATTCATACAGCAGGTTTGAGACACTCTTTGTATAGCATGTGGAAATGGATATTTGGAGCGCTTTGAGGCCTATGGTGAAGAAGGAAATATCTTCCCAAAAAAACTAGACGAAAGCATTCTCGGAATCTTGTTTGCCATGTGTGTACTCAACTAACAGAGTTGAACCTATCTTTTGACAGAGCAGTTTTGAAACACTCTTTTTGTGGAATCTGCAGGTGGATATTTGGATAGCTTCGAGGATTTCGTTGGAAACGGGAATATCCTCATTTAAAATCTAGACGGAAGCATTCTCAGAACCTGCTTTGTGATGTTTGCATTCAACTCACAGAGCTGAACATTCCCGTTCATAGAGCAGGTTTGAAACACTCTTTCTGTACTATCTGGAAGTGGACATTTCGAGCGCTTTCAGGCCTATGGTGAAAAAGGAAACATCTTCAAATAAAAACTAGACAGAAGCATTCTCAGAAACTTATTTGTGATGTGTGTCCTCAACTCACAGAGTTCAACCTTTGTTTTGATACAGCAGTTTGGAAACAATCTTTATTTGGAAACCTTTGAAAATTTCGTTGGACACGGGAATATCTTCATATAAAATCTAGACAAAAGCATTCTCAGAATCTTCTTTGTGATGTTTGCATTCAACTCATAGAGTTGAACATTCCCTTTCATACAGCACGTTTGAAACACACTTTGTGGAGTATGTGGAAATGGACATTTCGAGCACTCTTAGGCCTAAGGTGAAAAGGGAAATATCTTCAAATAAAAACTAGTCAGCAGCATTCTCAGAAACCTCTTTGTGATGTGTGTACTCAACTAACAGAGTTGAACCTTCCTTTTCACAGAGCAGTTTGGAAACACTCTTTTTGTGGCATTTGCAAGTGGATATTTGGATAGCTTTGAGGATTTCGTTGGAAACGGGAATATTTTCATATAAAATCTAGACAGAAGCATTCTCAGAATCTTCTTTGTGATGTATGCCCTCAATTCACAGAGTTGAACCTCTGTTTGGATACAGCATTTTGGAAACATTCCTTTTGCAGAATCTGCAAGCTGATATTTGGATAGCTTTGAGGATTTCATTGGAAACGGGAATATCTACATATAAAATCTAGACAGAAGCATTCTCAGAAACCTCTTTGTAATGTTTGCATTCAACTCACAGGTTTCAACATTCCCTATCATAGAGCAGGTTTGAAACACTCTTTTTGTAGTATGTGGAAGTGGACATTTGGAGCGCTTTGAGGCCTACGGTGAAAAAGGAAATATCTTCCCATAAAAACTAGACAGAAGCATTCTCAGAAACTTGTTTGTGACGTGTGTATTCAACTAACAGAGTTGAACCTTTCTTTTTACAGAGCAGCTTTGAAACCCTGTTTCTGTGGAATCTGCAATTGGAAATTTCGATAGTTCTGAGGATTTCGTTGGAAACGGGATTACAAATAGAAAGTAGACAGCAGCATTCTCAGAAACTGCTTTGTGATGTTTGCATTCAAGTCACATAGTTGAACATTCCCTTTCATAGAGCAGGTTTGAATCACTGTTTCTGTAGTATCTGGAAGTGGGTATTTCGAGCGCTTTCAGGCCTAAGGTGAGAAAGGAAATGTCTTCAAATAAGAACTAGACAGAAGCATTCTCAGAAACTTATTTGTGATGTGTGTCCTCACCTAACAGAGATGAACCTTTGTTTTGATACAGCAGTTTGGAAACACTCTTTTTGTAGAATCTACAAGAGGATATTTTGAGAGCATTGAAAATTTCGTTGGAAGCGGGAAAACCTTCATATAAAATCTAGACAGCAGCATTCTCAGAAACTTCTTTGTGATGTTTGCATTCAACTCATAGAGTTGAACATTCCCATTCATACAGCAGGTTTGAGACACTCTTTGTATAGCATGTGGAAATGGATATTTGGAGCGCTTTGAGGCCTATGGTGAAGAAGGAAATATCTTCCCAAAAAAACTAGACGAAAGCATTCTCGCAATCTTGTTTGCCATGTGTGTACTCAACTAACAGAGTTGAACCTATCTTTTGACAGAGCAGTTTTGAAACACTCTTTTTGTGGAATCTGCAAGTGGATATTTGGATAGCTTCGAGGATTTCGTTGGAAACGGGAATATCCTCATTTAAAATCTAGACGGAAGCATTCTCAGAACCTGCTTTGTGATGTTTGCATTCAACTCACAGAGCTGAACATTCCCGTTCATAGAGCAGGTTTGAAACACTCTTTCTGTACTATCTGGAAGTGGACATTTCGAGCGCTTTCAGGCCTATGGTGAAAAAGGAAACATCTTCAAATAAAAACTAGACAGAAGCATTCTCAGAAACTTATTTGTGATGTGTGTCCTCAACTCACAGAGTTCAACCTTTGTTTTGATACAGCAGTTTGGAAACACTCTTTTTGTAGAATCTACAAATGGATATTTGGAGACCTTTGAAAATTTCGTTGGACACGGGAATATCTTCATATAAAATCTAGACAAAAGCATTCTCAGAATCTTCTTTGTGATGTTTGCATTCAACTCATAGAGTTGAACATTCCCTTTCATACAGCACGTTTGAAACACACTTTGTGGAGTATGTGGAAATGGACATTTCGAGCACTCTTAGGCCTAAGGTGAAAAGGGAAATATCTTCAAATAAAAACTAGTCAGCAGCATTCTCAGAAACCTCTTTGTGATGTGTGTACTCAACTAACAGAGTTGAACCTTCCTTTTCACAGAGCAGTTTGGAAACACTCTTTTTGTGGCATTTGCAAGTGGATATTTGGATAGCTTTGAGGATTTCGTTGGAAACGGGAATATTTTCATATAAAATCTAGACAGAAGCATTCTCAGAATCTTCTTTGTGATGTATGCCCTCAATTCACAGAGTTGAACCTTTGTTTGGATACAGCATTTTGGAAACATTCCTTTTGTAGAATCTGCAAGTTGATATTTGGATAGCTTTGAGGATTTCGTTGGAAACGGGAATATCTACATATAAAATCTAGACAGAAGCATTCTCAGAAACCTCTTTGTAATGCTTGCATTCAACTCATAGGTTTCAACATTCCCTATCATAGAGCAGGTTTGAAACACTCTTTTTGTAGTATGTGGAAGTGGACATTTGGAGCGCTTTGAGGCCTACGGTGAAAAAGGAAATATCTTCCCATAAAAACTAGACAGAAGCATTCTCAGAAACTTGTTTGTGACGTGTGTATTCAACTAACAGAGTTGAACCTTTCTTTTTACAGAGCAGCTTTGAAACACGCTTTTTGTGGAATCTGCAATTGGAAATTTCGATAGTTCTGAGGATTTCGTTGGAAACGGGATTACAAATAGAAAGTAGACAGCAGCATTCTCAGAAACTGCTTTGTGATGTTTGCATTCAAGTCACCTAGTTGAACATTCCCTTTCATAGAGCAGGTTTGAATCACAGTTTCTGTCGTATCTGGAAGTGGATATTTCGAGCGCTTTCAGGCCTAAGGTGAGAAAGGAAATGTCTTCAAATAAGAACTAGACAGAAGCATTCTCAGAAACTTGTTTGTGATGTGTGTCCTCAACTAACAGAGATGAACCTTTGTTTTGATACAGCAGTTTGGAAACACTCTTTTTGTAGAATCTACAAGAGGATATTTTGAGAGCATTGAAAATTTCGTTGGAAGCGGGAAAACCTTCATATAAAATCTAGACAGCAGCATTCTCAGAAACTTCTTTGTGATGTTTGCATTCAACTCATAGAGTTGAACATTCCCATTCATACAGCAGGTTTGAGACACTCTTTGTATAGCATGTGGAAATGGATATTTGGAGCGCTTTGAGGCCTATGGTGAAGAAGGAAATATCTTCCCAAAAAAACTAGACGAAAGCATTCTCGGAATCTTGTTTGCCATGTGTGTACTCAACTAACAGAGTTGAACCTATCTTTTGACAGAGCAGTTTTGAAACACTCTTTTTGTGGAATCTGCAAGTGGATATTTGGATAGCTTCGAGGATTTCGTTGGAAACGGGAATATCCTCATTTAAAATCTAGACGGAAGCATTCTCAGAACCTGCTTTGTGATGTTTGCATTCAACTCACAGAGCTGAACATTCCCGTTCATAGAGCAGGTTTGAAACACTCTTTCTGTACTATCTGGAAGTGGACATTTCGAGCGCTTTCAGGCCTATGGTGAAAAAGGAAACATCTTCAAATAAAAACTAGACAGAAGCATTCTCAGAAACTTATTTGTGATGTGTGTCCTCAACTCACAGAGTTCAACCTTTGTTTTGATACAGCAGTTTGGAAACACTCTTTTTGTAGAATCTACAAATGGATATTTGGAGACCTTTGAAAATTTCGTTGGACACGGGAATATCTTCATATAAAATCTAGACAAAAGCATTCTCAGAGTCTTCTTTGTGATGTTTGCATTCAACTGATAGAGTTGAACATTCCCTTTCATAC
Source organism: Homo sapiens (assembly GCF_000001405.40). Taxonomy (NCBI): domain Eukaryota; kingdom Metazoa; phylum Chordata; class Mammalia; order Primates; family Hominidae; genus Homo; species Homo sapiens. The sequence continues at coordinate 18,651,901 of NC_000015.10, forward strand.
AGCACGTTTGAAACACACTTTGTGGAGTATGTGGAAATGGACATTTCGAGCACTCTTAGGCCTAAGGTGAAAAGGGAAATATCTTCAAATAAAAACTAGTCAGCAGCATTCTCAGAAACCTCTTTGTGATGTGTGCACTCAACTAACAGAGTTGAACCTTCCTTTTCACAGAGCAGTTTGGAAACACTCTTTTTGTGGCATTTGCAAGTGGATATTTGGATAGCTTTGAGGATTTCGTTGGAAACGGGAATATTTTCATATAAAATCTAGACAGAAGCATTCTCAGAATCTTCTTTGTGATGTATGCCCTCAATTCACAGAGTTGAACCTTTGTTTGGATACAGCATTTTGGAAACATTCCTTTTGTAGAATCTGCAAGTTGATATTTGGATAGCTTTGAAGATTTCGTTGGAAACGGGAATATCTACATATAAAATCTAGACAGGAAGCATTCTCAGAAACCTCTTTGTAATGCTTGCATTCAACTCATAGGTTTCAACATTCCCTATCATAGAGCAGGTTTGAAACACTCTTTTTGTAGGATGTGGAAGTGGACATTTGGAGCGCTTTGAGGCCTACGGTGAAAAAGGAAATATCTTCCCATAAAAACTAGACAGAAGCATTCTCAGAAACTTGTTTGTGACGTGTGTATTCAACTAACAGAGTTGAACCTTTCTTTTTACAGAGCAGCTTTGAAACACGCTTTTTGTGGAATCTGCAATTGGAAATTTCGATAGTTCTGAGGATTTCGTTGGAAACGGGATTACAAATAGAAAGTAGACAGCAGCATTCTCAGAAACTGCTTTGTGATGTTTGCATTCAAGTCACATAGTTGAACATTCCCTTTCATAGAGCAGGTTTGAATCACTGTTTCTGTAGTATCTGGAAGTGGGTATTTCGAGCGCTTTCAGGCCTAAGGTGAGAAAGGAAATGTCTTCAAATAAGAACTAGACAGAAGCATTCTCAGAAACTTATTTGTGATGTGTGTCCTCAACTAACAGAGATGAACCTTTGTTTTGATACAGCAGTTTGGAAACACTCTTTTTGTAGAATCTACAAGAGGATATTTTGAGAGCATTGAAAATTTCGTTGGAAGCGGGAAAACCTTCATATAAAATCTAGACAGCAGCATTCTCAGAAACTTCTTTGTGATGTTTGCATTCAACTCATAGAGTTGAACATTCCCATTCATACAGCAGGTTTGAGACACTCTTTGTATAGCATGTGGAAATGGATATTTGGAGCGCTTTGAGGCCTATGGTGAAGAAGGAAATATCTTCCCAAAAAAACTAGACGAAAGCATTCTCGCAATCTTGTTTGCCATGTGTGTACTCAACTAACAGAGTTGAACCTATCTTTTGACAGAGCAGTTTTGAAACACTCTTTTTGTGGAATCTGCAAGTGGATATTTGGATAGCTTCGAGGATTTCGTTGGAAACGGGAATATCCTCATTTAAAATCTAGACGGAAGCATTCTCAGAACCTGCTTTGTGATGTTTGCATTCAACTCACAGAGCTGAACATTCCCGTTCATAGAGCAGGTTTGAAACACTCTTTCTGTACTATCTGGAAGTGGACATTTCGAGCGCTTTCAGGCCTATGGTGAAAAAGGAAACATCTTCAAATAAAAACTAGACAGAAGCATTCTCAGAAACTTATTTGTGATGTGTGTCCTCAACTCACAGAGTTCAACCTTTGTTTTGATACAGCAGTTTGGAAACACTCTTTTTGTAGAATCTACAAATGGATATTTGGAGACCTTTGAAAATTTCGTTGGACACGGGAATATCTTCATATAAAATCTAGACAAAAGCATTCTCAGAATCTTCTTTGTGATGTTTGCATTCAACTCATAGAGTTGAACATTCCCTTTCATACAGCACGTTTGAAACACACTTTGTGGAGTATGTGGAAATGGACATTTCGAGCACTCTTAGGCCTAAGGTGAAAAGGGAAATATCTTCAAATAAAAACTAGTCAGCAGCATTCTCAGAAACCTCTTTGTGATGTGTGTACTCAACTAACAGAGTTGAACCTTCCTTTTCACAGAGCAGTTTGGAAACACTCTTTTTGTGGCATTTGCAAGTGGATATTTGGATAGCTTTGAGGATTTCGTTGGAAACGGGAATATTTTCATATAAAATCTAGACAGAAGCATTCTCAGAATCTTCTTTGTGATGTATGCCCTCAATTCACAGAGTTGAACCTTTGTTTGGATACAGCATTTTGGAAACATTCCTTTTGTAGAATCTGCAAGTTGATATTTGGATAGCTTTGAGGATTTCGTTGGAAATGGGAATATCTACATATAAAATCTAGACAGAAGCATTCTCAGAAACCTCTTTGTAATGCTTGCATTCAACTCATAGGTTTCAACATTCCCTATCATAGAGCAGGTTTGAAACACTCTTTTTGTAGTATGTGGAAGTGGACATTTGGAGCGCTTTGAGGCCTACCGTGAAAAAGGAAATATCTTCCCATAAAAACTAGACAGAAGCATTCTCAGAAACTTGTTTGTGACGTGTGTATTCAACTAACAGAGTTGAACCTTTCTTTTTACAGAGCAGCTTTGAAACCCTGTTTCTGTGGAATCTGCAATTGGAAATTTCGATAGTTCTGAGGATTTCGTTGGAAACGGGATTACAAATAGAAAGTAGACAGCAGCATTCTCAGAAACTGCTTTGTGATGTTTGCATTCAAGTCACCTAGTTGAACATTCCCTTTCATAGAGCAGGTTTGAATCACTGTTTCTGTAGTATCTGGAAGTGGGTATTTCGAGCGCTTTCAGGCCTAAGGTGAGAAAGGAAATGTCTTCAAATAAGAACTAGACAGAAGCATTCTCAGAAACTTATTTGTGATGTGTGTCCTCAACTAACAGAGATGAACCTTTGTTTTGATACAGCAGTTTGGAAACACTCTTTTTGTAGAATCTACAAGAGGATATGTTGAGAGCATTGAAAATTTCGTTGGAAGCGGGAAAACCTTCATATAAAATCTAGACAGCAGCATTCTCAGAAACTTCTTTGTGATGTTTGCATTCAACTCATAGAGTTGAACATTCCCATTCATACAGCAGGTTTGAGACACTCTTTGTATAGCATGTGGAAATGGATATTTGGAGCGCTTTGAGGCCTATGGTGAAGAAGGAAATATCTTCCCCAAAAAACTAGACGAAAGCATTCTCGGAATCTTGTTTGCCATGTGTGTACTCAACTAACAGAGTTGAACCTATCTTTTGACAGAGCAGTTTTGAAACACTCTTTTTGTGGAATCTGCAAGTGGATATTTGGATAGCTTCGAGGATTTCGTTGGAAACGGGAATATCCTCATTTAAAATCTAGACGGAAGCATTCTCAGAACCTGCTTTGTGATGTTTGCATTCAACTCACAGAGCTGAACATTCCCGTTCATAGAGCAGGTTTGAAACACTCTTTCTGTACTATCTGGAAGTGGACATTTCGAGCGCTTTCAGGCCTATGGTGAAAAAGGAAACATCTTCAAATAAAAACTAGACAGAAGCATTCTCAGAAACTTATTTGTGATGTGTGTCCTCAACTCACAGAGTTCAACCTTTGTTTTGATACAGCAGTTTGGAAACACTCTTTTTGTAGAATATACAAATGGATATTTGGAGACCTTTGAAAATTTCGTTGGACACGGGAATATCTTCATATAAAATCTAGACAAAAGCATTCTCAGAATCTTCTTTGTGATGTTTGCATTCAACTCATAGAGTTGAACATTCCCTTTCATACAGCACGTTTGAAACACACTTTGTGGAGTATGTGGAAATGGACATTTCGAGCACTCTTAGGCCTAAGGTGAAAAGGGAAATATCTTCAAATAAAAACTAGTCAGCAGCATTCTCAGAAACCTCTTTGTGATGTGTGTACTCAACTAACAGAGTTGAACCTTCCTTTTCACAGAGCAGTTTGGAAACACTCTTTTTGTGGCATTTGCAAGTGGATATTTGGATAGCTTTGAGGATTTCGTTGGAAACGGGAATATTTTCATATAAAATCTAGACAGAAGCATTCTCAGAATCTTCTTTGTGATGTATGCCCTCAATTCACAGAGTTGAACCTTTGTTTGGATACAGCATTTTGGAAACATTCCTTTTGCAGAATCTGCAAGCTGATATTTGGATAGCTTTGAGGATTTCGTTGGAAACGGGAATATCTACATATAAAATCTAGACAGAAGCATTCTCAGAAACCTCTTTGTAATGCTTGCATTCAACTCATAGGTTTCAACATTCCCTATCATAGAGCAGGTTTGAAACACTCTTTTTGTAGTATGTGGAAGTGGACATTTGGAGCGCTTTGAGGCCTACGGTGAAAAAGGAAATATCTTCCCATAGAAACTAGACAGAAGCATTCTCAGAAACTTGTTTGTGACGTGTGTATTCAACTAACAGAGTTGAACCTTTCTTTTTACAGAGCAGCTTTGAAACACGCTTTTTGTGGAATCTGCAATTGGAAATTTCGATAGTTCTGAGGATTTCGTTGGAAACGGGATTACAAATAGAAAGTAGACAGCAGCATTCTCAGAAACTGCTTTGTGATGTTTGCATTCAAGTCACCTAGTTGAACATTCCCTTTCATAGAGAAGGTTTGAATCACTGTTTCTGTCGTATCTGGAAGTGGATATTTCGAGCGTTTTCAGGCCTAAGGTGAGAAAGGAAATGTCTTCAAATAAGAACTAGACAGAAGCATTCTCAGAAACTTATTTGTGATGTGTGTCCTCAACTAACAGAGATGAACCTTTGTTTTGATACAGCAGTTTGGAAACACTCTTTTTGTAGAATCTACAAGAGGATATTTTGAGAGCATTGAAAATTTCGTTGGAAGCGGGAAAACCTTCATATAAAATCTAGACAGCAGCATTCTCAGAAACTTCTTTGTGATGTTTGCATTCAACTCATAGAGTTGAACATTCCCATTCATACAGCAGGTTTGAGACACTCTTTGTATAGCATGTGGAAATGGATATTTGGAGCGCTTTGAGGCCTATGGTGAAGAAGGAAATATCTTCCCAAAAAAACTAGACGAAAGCATTCTCGGAATCTTGTTTGCCATGTGTGTACTCAACTAACAGAGTTGAACCTATCTTTTTAAAGAGCAGTTTTGAAACACTCTTTTTGTGGAATCTGCAAGTGGATATTTGGATAGCTACGAGGATTTCGTTGGAAACGGGAATATCCTCATTTAAAATCTAGACGGAAGCATTCTCAGAACCTGCTTTGTGATGTTTGCATTCAACTCACAGAGCTGAACATTCCCGTTCATAGAGCAGGTTTGAAACACTCTTTCTGTACTATCTGGAAGTGGACATTTCGAGCGCTTTCAGGCCTATGGTGAAAAAGGAAACATCTTCAAATAAAAACTAGACAGAAGCATTCTCAGAAACTTATTTGTGATGTGTGTCCTCAACTCACAGAGTTCAACCTTTGTTTTGATACAGCAGTTTGGAAACACTCTTTTTGTAGAATCTACAAATGGATATTTGGAGACCTTTGAAAATTTCGTTGGACACGGGAATATCTTCATATAAAATCTAGACAAAAGCATTCTCAGAATCTTCTTTGTGATGTTTGCATTCAACTCATAGATTTGAACGTTCCCTTTCATACAGCACGTTTGAAACACACTTTGTGGAGTATGTGGAAATGGACATTTCGAGCACTCTTAGGCCTAAGGTGAAAAGGGAAATATCTTCAAATAAAAACTAGTCAGCAGCATTCTCAGAAACCTCTTTGTGATGTGTGTACTCAACTAACAGAGTTGAACCTTCCTTTTCACAGAGCAGTTTGGAAACACTCTTTTTGTGGCATTTGCAAGTGGATATTTGGATAGCTTTGAGGATTTCGTTGGAAACGGGAATATTTTCATATAAAATCTAGACAGAAGCATTCTCAGAATCTTCTTTGTGATGTATGCCCTCAATTCACAGAGTTGAACCTTTGTTTGGATACAGCATTTTGGAAACATTCCTTTTGTAGAATCTGCAAGTTGATATTTGGATAGTTTGAGGATTTCGTTGGAAACGGGAATATCTACATATAAAATCTAGACAGAAGCATTCTCAGAAACCTCTTTGTAATGCTTGCATTCAACTCATAGGTTTCAACATTCCCTATCATAGAGCAGGTTTGAAACACTCTTTTTGTAGTATGTGGAAGTGGACATTTGGAGCGCTTTGAGGCCTACGGTGAAAAAGGAAATATCTTCCCATAAAAACTAGACAGAAGCATTCTCAGAAACTTGTTTGTGACGTGTGTATTCAACTAACAGAGTTGAACCTTTCTTTTTACAGAGCAGCTTTGAAACACGCTTTTTGTGGAATCTGCAATTGGAAATTTCGATAGTTCTGAGGATTTCGTTGGAAACGGGATTACAAATAGAAAGTAGACAGCAGCATTCTCAGAAACTGCTTTGTGATGTTTGCATTCAAGTCACCTAGTTGAACATTCCCTTTCATAGAGCAGGTTTGAATCACTGTTTCTGTCGTATCTGGAAGTGGATATTTCGAGCGTTTTCAGGCCTAAGGTGAGAAAGGAAATGTCTTCAAATAAGAACTAGACAGAAGCATTCTCAGAAACTTATTTGTGATGTGTGTCCTCAACTAACAGAGTTGAACCTTTCTTTTGACACAGCAGTTTGGAAACACTCTTTTTGTAGAATCTACAAGTGGATATTTTGAGAGCATTGAAAATTTCGTTGGAAACGGGAAAACCTTCATATAAAATCTAGACAGAAGCATTCTCAGAAACTTCTTTGTAATGTTTGCATTCAACTCATAGAGTTGAACATTCCCTTTCATACAGCAGGTTTGAAACACTCTTTTTGTAGTATGTGGAAGTGGACATTTGGAGCGCTTTGAGGCCTACGGTGAAAAAGGAAATATCTTCCCATAAAAACTAGACAGAAGCATTCTCAGAAACTTGTTTGTGACGTGTGTATTCAACTAACAGAGTTGAACCTTTCTTTTTACAGAGCAGCTTTGAAACCCTGTTTCTGTGGAATCTGCAATTGGAAATTTCGATAGTTCTGAGGATTTCGTTGGAAACGGGATACAAATAGAAAGTAGACAGCAGCATTCTCAGAAACTGCTTTGTGATGTTTGCATTCAAGTCACCTAGTTGAACATTCGCTTTCATAGAGCAGGTTTGAATCACTGTTTCTGTAGTATCTGGAAGTGTGTATTTCGAGCGCTTTCAGGCCTAAGGTGAGAAAGGAAATGTCTTCAAATAAGAACTAGACAGAAGCATTCTCAGAAACTTATTTGTGATGTGTGTCCTCAACTAACAGAGATGAACCTTTGTTTTGATACAGCAGTTTGGAAACACTCTTTTTGTAGAATCTACAAGAGGATATTTTGAGAGCATTGAAAATTTCGTTGGAAGCGGGAAAACCTTCATATAAAATCTAGACAGCAGCATTCTCAGAAACTTCTTTGTGATGTTTGCATTCAACTCATAGAGTTGAACATTCCCATTCATACAGCAGGTTTGAGACACTCTTTGTATAGCATGTGGAAATGGATATTTGGAGCGCTTTGAGGCCTATGGTGAAGAAGGAAATATCTTCCCAAAAAAACTAGACGAAAGCATTCTCGGAATCTTGTTTGCCATGTGTGTACTCAACTAACAGAGTTGAACCTATCTTTTGATAGAGCAGTTTTGAAACACTATTTTTGTGGAATCTGCAAGTGGATATTTGGATAGCTTCGAGGATTTCGTTGGAAACGGGAATATCCTCATTTAAAATCTAGACGGAAGCATTCTCAGAACCTGCTTTGTGATGTTTGCATTCAACTCACAGAGCTGAACATTCCCGTTCATAGAGCAGGTTTGAAACACTCTTTCTGTACTATCTGGAAGTGGACATTTCGAGCGCTTTCAGGCCTATGGTGAAAAAGGAAACATCTTCAAATAAAAACTAGACAGAAGCATTCTCAGAAACTTATTTGTGATGTGTGTCCTCAACTCACAGAGTTCAACCTTTGTTTTGATACAGCAGTTTGGAAACACTCTTTTTGTAGAATCTACAAATGGATATTTGGAGACCTTTGAAAATTTCGTTGGACACGGGAATATCTTCATATAAAATCTAGACAAAAGCATTCTCAGAATCTTCTTTGTGATGTTTGCATTCAACTCATAGAGTTGAACATTCCCTTTCATACAGCACGTTTGAAACACACTTTGTGGAGTATGTGGAAATGGACATTTCGAGCACTCTTAGGCCTAAGGTGAAAAGGGAAATATCTTCAAATAAAAACTAGTCAGCAGCATTCTCAGAAACCTCTTTGTGATGTGTGTACTCAACTAACAGAGTTGAACCTTCCTTTTCACAGAGCAGTTTGGAAACACTCTTTTTGTGGCATTTGCAAGTGGATATTTGGATAGCTTTGAGGATTTCGTTGGAAACGGGAATATTTTCATATAAAATCTAGACAGAAGCATTCTCAGAATCTTCTTTGTTATGTATGCCCTCAATTCACAGAGTTGAACCTTTGTTTGGATACAGCATTTTGGAAACATTCCTTTTGTAGAATCTGCAAGTTGATATTTGGATAGCTTTGAGGATTTCGTTGGAAACGGGAATATCTACATATAAAATCTAGACAGAAGCATTCTCAGAAACCTCTTTGTAATGCTTGCATTCAACTCATAGGTTTCAACATTCCCTATCATAGAGCAGGTTTGAAACACTCTTTTTGTAGTATGTGGAAGTGGACATTTGGAGCGCTTTGAGGCCTACGGTGAAAAAGGAAATATCTTCCCATAAAAACTAGACAGAAGCATTCTCAGAAACTTGTTTGTGACGTGTGTATTCAACTAACAGAGTTGAACCTTTCTTTTTACAGAGCAGCTTTGAAACACGCTTTCTGTGGAATCTGCAATTGGAAATTTCGATAGTTCTGAGGATTTCGTTGGAAACGGGATTACAAATAGAAAGTAGACAGCAGCATTCTCAGAAACTGCTTTGTGATGTTTGCATTCAAGTCACCTAGTTGAACATTCCCTTTCATAGAGCAGGTTTGAATCACTGTTTCTGTCGTATCTGGAAGTGGATATTTCGAGCGTTTTCAGGCCTAAGGTGAGAAAGGAAATGTCTTCAAATAAGAACTAGACAGAAGCATTCTCAGAAACTTATTTGTGATGTGTGTCCTCAACTAACAGAGTTGAACCTTTCTTTTGACACAGCAGTTTAGAAACACTCTTTTTGTAGAATCTACAAGTGGATATTTTGAGAGCATTGAAAATTTCGTTGGAAACGGGAAAACCTTCATATAAAATCTAGACAGAAGCATTCTCAGAAACTTCTTTGTAATGTTTGCATTCAACTCATAGAGTTGAACATTCCCTTTCATACAGCAGGTTTGAAACACTCTTTTTGTAGTATGTGGAAGTGGACATTTGGAGCGCTTTGAGGCCTATGGTGAAAAAGGAAATATCTTCCCATAAAAACTAGACAGAAGCATTCTCAGAAACTTGTTTGTGACGTGTGTATTCAACTAACAGAGTTGAACCTTTCTTTTTACAGAGCAGCTTTGAAACCCTGTTTCTGTGGAATCTGCAATTGGAAATTTCGATAGTTCTGAGGATTTCGTTGGAAACGGGATTACAAATTGAAAGTAGACAGCAGCATTCTCAGAAACTGCTTTGTGATGTTTGCATTCAAGTCACATAGTTGAACATTCCCTTTCATAGAGCAGGTTTGAATCACTGTTTCTGTAGTATCTGGAAGTGGGTATTTCGAGCGCTTTCAGGCCTAAGGTGAGAAAGGAAATGTCTTCAAATAAGAACTAGACAGAAGCATTCTCAGAAACTTATTTGTGATGTGTGTCCTCAACTAACAGAGATGAACCTTTGTTTTGATACAGCAGTTTGGAAACACTCTTTTTGTAGAATCTACAAGAGGATATTTTGAGAGCATTGAAAATTTCGTTGGAAGCGGGAAAACCTTCATATAAAATCTAGACAGCAGCATTCTCAAAAACTTCCTTGTGATGTTTGCATTCAACTCATAGAGTTGAACATTCCCATTCATACAGCAGGTTTGAGACACTCTTTGTATAGCATGTGGAAATGGATATTTGGAGCGCTTTGAGGCCTATGGTGAAGAAGGAAATATCTTCCCAAAAAAACTAGACGAAATCATTCTCGGAATCTTGTTTGCCATGTGTGTACTCAACTAACAGTAGTTGAACCTATCTTTTGACAGAGCAGTTTTGAAACACTCTTTTTGTGGAATCTGCAAGTGGATATTTGGATAGCTTCGAGGATTTCGTTGGAAACGGGAATATCCTCATTTAAAATCTAGACGGAAGCATTCTCAGAACCTGCTTTGTGATGTTTGCATTCAACTCACAGAGCTGAACATTCCCGTTCATAGAGCAGGTTTGAAACACTCTTTCTGTACTATCTGGAAGTGGACATTTCGAGCGCTTTCAGGCCTATGGTGAAAAAGGAAACATCTTCAAATAAAAACTAGACAGAAGCATTCTCAGAAACTTATTTGTGATGTGTGTCCTCAACTCACAGAGTTCAACCTTTGTTTTGATACAGCAGTTTGGAAACACTCTTTTTGTAGAATCTACAAATGGATATTTGGAGACCTTTGAAAATTTCGTTGGACACGGGAATATCTTCATATAAAATCTAGACAAAAGCATTCTCAGAATCTTCTTTGTGATGTTTGCATTCAACTCATAGAGTTGAACATTCCCTTTCATACAGCACGTTTGAAACACACTTTGTGGAGTATGTGGAAATGGACATTTCGAGCACTCTTAGGCCTAAGGTGAAAAGGGAAATATCTTCAAATAAAAACTAGTCAGCAGCATTCTCAGAAACCTCTTTGTGATGTGTGTACTCAACTAACAGAGTTGAACCTTCCTTTTCACAGAGCAGTTTGGAAACACTCTTTTTGTGGCATTTGCAAGTGGATATTTGGATAGCTTTGAGGATTTCGTTGGAAACGGGAATATTTTCATATAAAATCTAGACAGAAGCATTCTCAGAATCTTCTTTGTGATGTATGCCCTCAATTCACCGAGTTGAACCTTTGTTTGGATACAGCATTTTGGAAACATTCCTTTTGTAGAATCTGCAAGTTGATATTTGGATAGTTTGAGGATTTCGTTGGAAACGGGAATATCTATCTACATATAAAATCTAGACAGAAGCATTCTCAGAAACCTCTTTGTAATGCTTGCATTCAACTCATAGGTTTCAACATTCCCTATCATAGAGCAGGTTTGAAACACTCTTTTTGTAGTATGTGGAAGTGGACATTTGGAGCGCTTTGAGGCCTACGGTGAAAAAGGAAATATCTTCCCATAAAAACTAGACAGAAGCATTCTCAGAAACTTGTTTGTGACGTGTGTATTCAACTAACAGAGTTGAACCTTTCTTTTTACAGAGCAGCTTTGAAACACGCTTTTTGTGGAATCTGCAATTGGAAATTTCGATAGTTCTGAGGATTTCGTTGGAAACGGGATTACAAATAGAAAGTAGACAGCAGCATTCTCAGAAACTGCTTTGTGATGTTTGCATTCAAGTCACCTAGTTGAACATTCCCTTTCATAGAGCAGGTTTGAATCACTGTTTCTGTCGTATCTGGAAGTGGATATTTCGAGCGTTTTCAGGCCTAAGGTGAGAAAGGAAATGTCTTCAAATAAGAACTAGACAGAAGCATTCTCAGAAACTTATTTGTGATGTGTGTCCTCAACTAACAGAGTTGAACCTTTCTTTTGACACAGCAGTTTGGAAACACTCTTTTTGTAGAATCTACAAGTGGATATTTTGAGAGCATTGAAAATTTCGTTGGAAACGGGAAAACCTTCATATAAAATCTAGACAGAAGCATTCTCAGAAACTTCTTTGTAATGTTTGCATTCAACTCATAGAGTTGAACATTCCCTTTCATACAGCAGGTTTGAAACACTCTTTTTGTAGTATGTGGAAGTGGACATTTGGAGCGCTTTGAGGCCTACGGTGAAAAAGGAAATATCTTCCCATAAAAACTAGACAGAAGCATTCTCAGAAACTTGTTTGTGACGTGTGTATTCAACTAACAGAGTTGAACCTTTCTTTTTACAGAGCAGCTTTGAAACCCTGTTTCTGTGGAATCTGCAATTGGAAATTTCGATAGTTCTGAGGATTTCGTTGCAAACGGGATTACAAATAGAAAGTAGACAGCAGCATTCTCAGAAACTGCTTTGTGATGTTTGCATTCAAGTCACCTAGTTGAACATTCCCTTTCATAGAGCAGGTTTGAATCACTGTTTCTGTAGTATCTGGAAGTGGGTATTTCGAGCGCTTTCAGGCCTAAGGTGAGAAAGGAAATGTCTTCAAATAAGAACTAGACAGAAGCATTCTCAGAAACTTATTTGTGATGTGTGTCCTCAACTAACAGAGATGAACCTTTGTTTTGATACAGCAGTTTGGAAACACTCTTTTTGTAGAATCTACAAGAGGATATTTTGAGAGCATTGAAAATTTCGTTGGAAGCGGGAAAACCTTCATATAAAATCTAGACAGCAGCATTCTCAGAAACTTCTTTGTGATGTTTGCATTCAACTCATAGAGTTGAACATTCCCATTCATACAGCAGGTTTGAGACACTCTTTGTATAGCATGTGGAAATGGATATTTGGAGCGCTTTGAGGCCTATGGTGAAGAAGGAAATATCTTCCCAAAAAAACTAGACGAAAGCATTCTCGGAATCTTGTTTGCCATGTGTGTACTCAACTAACAGAGTTGAACCTATCTTTTGACAGAGCAGTTTTGAAACACTCTTTTTGTGGAATCTGCAAGTGGATATTTGGATAGCTTCGAGGATTTCGTTGGAAACGGGAATATCCTCATTTAAAATCTAGACGGAAGCATTCTCAGAACCTGCTTTGTGATGTTTGCATTCAACTCACAGAGCTGAACATTCCCGTTCATAGAGCAGGTTTGAAACACTCTTTCTGTACTATCTGGAAGTGGACATTTCGAGCGCTTTCAGGCCTATGGTGAAAAAGGAAACATCTTCAAATAAAAACTAGACAGAAGCATTCTCAGAAACTTATTTGTGATGTGTGTCCTCAACTCACAGAGTTCAACCTTTGTTTTGATACAGCAGTTTGGAAACACTCTTTTTGTAGAATCTACAAATGGATATTTGGAGACCTTTGAAAATTTCGTTGGACACGGGAATATCTTCATATAAAATCTAGACAAAAGCATTCTCAGAATCTTCTTTGTGATGTTTGCATTCAACTCATAGAGTTGAACATTCCCTTTCATACAGCACGTTTGAAACACACTTTGTGGAGTATGTGGAAATGGACATTTCGAGCACTCTTAGGCCTAAGGTGAAAAGGGAAATATCTTCAAATAAAAACTAGTCAGCAGCATTCTCAGAAACCTCTTTGTGATGTGTGTACTCAACTAACAGAGTTGAACCTTCCTTTTCACAGAGCAGTTTGGAAACACTCTTTTTGTGGCATTTGCAAGTGGATATTTGGATAGCTTTGAGGATTTCGTTGGAAACGGGAATATTTTCATATAAAATCTAGACAGAAGCATTCTCAGAATCTTCTTTGTGATGTATGCCCTCAATTCACAGAGTTGAACCTTTGTTTGGATACAGCATTTTGGAAACATTCCTTTTGCAGAATCTGCAAGCTGATATTTGGATAGCTTTGAGGATTTCGTTGGAAACGGGAATATCTACATATAAAATCTAGACAGAAGCATTCTCAGAAACCTCTTTGTAATGCTTGCATTCAACTCATAGGTTTCAACATTCCCTATCATAGAGCAGGTTTGAAACACTCTTTTTGTAGTATGTGGAAGTGGACATTTGGAGCGCTTTGAGGCCTACGGTGAAAAAGGAAATATCTTCCCATAAAAACTAGACAGAAGCATTCTCAGAAACTTGTTTGTGACGTGTGTATTCAACTAACAGAGTTGAACCTTTCTTTTTACAGAGCAGCTTTGAAACACGCTTTTTGTGGAATCTGCAATTGGAAATTTCGATAGTTCTGAGGATTTCGTTGGAAACGGGATTACAAATAGAAAGTAGACAGCAGCATTCTCAGAAACTGCTTTGTGATGTTTGCATTCAAGTCACCTAGTTGAACATTCCCTTTCATAGAGCAGGTTGGAATCACTGTTTCTGTCGTATCTGGAAGTGGATATTTCGAGCGTTTTCAGGCCTAAGGTGAGAAAGGAAATGTCTTCAAATAAGAACTAGACAGAAGCATTCTCAGAAACTTATTTGTGATGTGTGTCCTCAACTAACAGAGTTGAACCTTTCTTTTGACACAGCAGTTTGGAAACACTCTTTTTGTAGAATCTACAAGTGGATATTTTGAGAGCATTGAAAATTTCGTTGGAAACGGGAAAACCTTCATATAAAATCTAGACAGAAGCATTCTCAGAAACTTCTTTGTAATGTTTGCATTCAACTCATAGAGTTGAACATTCCCTTTCATACAGCAGGTTTGAAACACTCTTTTTGTAGTATGTGGAAGTGGACATTTGGAGCGCTTTGAGGCCTACGGTGAAAAAGGAAATATCTTCCCATAAAAACTAGACAGAAGCATTCTCAGAAACTTGTTTGTGACGTGTGTATTCAACTAACAGAGTTGAACCTTTCTTTTTACAGAGCAGCTTTGAAACCCTGTTTCTGTGGAATCTGCAATTGGAAATTTTGATAGTTCTGAGGATTTCGTTGGAAACGGGATTATAAATAGAAAGTAGACAGCAGCATTCTCAGAAACTGCTTTGTGATGTTTGCATTCAAGTCACCTAGTTGAACATTCCCTTTCATAGAGCAGGTTTGAATCACTGTTTCTGTAGTATCTGGAAGTGGGTATTTCGAGCGCTTTCAGGCCTAAGGTGAGAAAGGAAATGTCTTCAAATAAGAACTAGACAGAAGCATTCTCAGAAACTTATTTGTGATGTGTGTCCTCAACTAACAGAGATGAACCTTTGTTTTGATACAGCAGTTTGGAAACACTCTTTTTGTAGAATCTACAAGAGGATATTTTGAGAGCATTGAAAATTTCGTTGGAAGCGGGAAAACCTTCATATAAAATCTAGACAGCAGCATTCTCAGAAACTTCTTTGTGATGTTTGCATTCAACTCATAGAGTTGAACATTCCCATTCATACAGCAGGTTTGAGACACTCTTTGTATAGCATGTGGAAATGGATATTTGGAGCGCTTTGAGGCCTATGGTGAAGAAGGAAATATCTTCCCAAAAAAACTAGACGAAAGCATTCTCGGAATCTTGTTTGCCATGTGTGTACTCAACTAACAGAGTTGAACCTATCTTTTGACAGAGCAGTTTTGAAACACTCTTTTTGTGGAATCTGCAAGTGGATATTTGGATAGCTTCGAGGATTTCGTTGGAAACGGGAATATCCTCATTTAAAATCTAGACGGAAGCATTCTCAGAACCTGCTTTGTGATGTTTGCATTCAACTCACAGAGCTGAACATTCCCGTTCATAGAGCAGGTTTGAAACACTCTTTCTGTACTATCTGGAAGTGGACATTTCGAGCGCTTTC